>NC_000018.10:50928576-51229242 GCF_000001405.40 Homo sapiens | reverse complement strand
TTCTGCGTGATACCACCTGAAAGTGGACAGCTGTAGCACTACAGCCCCTTTCTGGAACATCCCCCAAGGACAATGATGAAGGGAAATCTTCCCAGTGGGCAGAACTTCTAACAATATACCTGGTTGTGCACTTTGCATGGAAGGAGAAATGGCCAAATGTGCATTTACATAATGATTAATGAGCTGTAGCCAATGGTTTGGCTGGATTGTCAGGGACTTGGAAGGATCATGATTGGAAAACTGGTGACAAATGTGGGGAAGAGGTATGTTAATGGACCTTTCTGAGTGATCAAAAACTGAAGGTATTTGTGTCACACATAAATGCTCATTAAAAGTTGCCCTCAGCACAGGAAGATTTTAATAATCAAGTGGATAGGATGACCCAGTCTGTGGACACCACTCAGCCCCTTTCCCCAGCTACCCCTGTTATCGCCCAATAGGCTCATGAACAAAGTGGTCACGGTGGCACTGATGGACATTGGCTCAGCCATATGCTCAGCACATGAACTTACACTCACCAAGGCTGACCTGGCTACAGCCACTGCTGAGTGCCCAATCATCACCAGCAGAGACCAATACTGAGCCCTCGATATGGCACCATTCCTCAGGGTGATCATCCAGCTACCTGGTGGCAGGTTGATTATACTGGACCACTCCCATCATGGAAAGGGCAGTGGTTTCTCCTTATTGGAATAGATTCTTACTTCCGATATGGATTTGCCTTTCCTGCACACAATGCTTCTGCTAAGGCTGGACTCATAGAATGCCTTATCCACAGCCATGGTATTCCACACAGCATTGCTTCTGACCAAGGAACTCACTTCACAGCCAAAGAAGTACAGCAATGGGCTCACACTCATGGCATTCACTGGTTTTACCATATTCCCCATCATCCTGAAGCAGCTGGCTTGATAGAACAGTAGAATGGCCTTTTGAAGTTGCAATTATAATGCCAACTAGGTGACAATACTTTGCGGGATCAGGACAAAGTTCTCCAGAAGGCTGTATATGCTCTGAATCTGCGTTCAGTATATGGTACTGTTTCTCCCATAGCCAGGATTCATGGGTCCAGGAACCAAGGGATGAAAGTAGAAATGGCACCACTCATCATCATCCCTAGTCACCCACTAGCAAAATTTTTGCTTCCTGTTCCTGGGACATTATGTTCTGCTGCCTAGAGGTCTTAGTTCCAGGGGAGAAATGCTGCCACCAGGAGACACAATACAATTCTGTCCAACTGGAAGTTAAGACTGCCACTGGCTACTTTACTCCTCATGCCTCTAAGTCGACAGGTTAAGAAGAGAGTTACAATTTGGCTGGGGTGATTGACCCAGACTGTCAAGATGAAATCAGACTACCACTTCACAATGGAGATAAGGAAGAATGCCTGGAATTTAGGTTATCCCTTAGGGTGTCTCTTAGTATCACCCTGCCCTATAATTAAAGCCAATGGGAAACCACAACAACCCAATCCTAGGAAGACTACAAATGGCCCAGACCCTTCAGAAATGAAGGCTTGGGTCACTCCATCAGGTTAAAAACCATGACCAGCTGAGGTGCTTGCTGAAGGCAAAGGAAATATAGAATGGGTAGTAGAAGAAGGTAGTTTTCAATACCAGCTACAATCATGTGACTAGTTACAGAAAAGAGGACTGTAATTATTATGAGTATTTCCTTCTTACTTTGATAAGAATAAATTTGTGCATATATATAGTTGTATTAAGCAGGTATCTTTGTTTTATTTCCTTTCTTATTCCTTTATCATGTAACATAAGATTTATTGACTTCATATCAGCATTTAAGTGTTAATTCTATGTAATAGTACTTAAGGATTAGTGCAAGTTTGGTTGTACAAAGGATAGTTGTATTATGTTAGGCATAATTGTGACCTTATTATGATCTTTATTGGAGATAAGTATGATTCAAGGACATATGTATGGGTGCCATGTTGACAAAGGGTAGACTTGTGATGGTTAATATAGGTGTCAGCTTGACTGGATTGAGGGATGCCTAGATGGCTGGGGAAGAATTGTTCTTGGGTGCGTCTGTGGTGGTGTTGCCAGAGGAGACTGACATTTGAGTCAGAGGACTGGGAAAGGCAGATCCACCCTCAATGTGGGTGGGCACCATCCAATTGGCTGCCAGCATGGCCAGAATAGAGCAGGTGGAAGAAGGTGGGATAGGTTTGCTGGCTGAGTCTTTTAGCTCTCTCTTCTCATGCCAGATGGTTGCTTCCCCTCCTCCTGCCCTTGGACATCAGACTCTAGGTTCTTCAGCCTTTGGACTCTGGGACCTGCATCAGCTGCCTCTTGGGGGTTCTCGGGCCTTGGGCCACAGACTGAAGGCTGCACTGTCAGCTTTCCTGGTTTTGAGGTTTTCAGACTTGGACTGAGACATGCTACTTGCCTCTCTCTTTCCCTAGCTTGCAGTCAGCTTATCATGGGACTTCGCCTTTTAATCGTGTGAGTCAATTCTTCTGAATAAACTCCCTTTCATATATACATATATTCTATTAGTTCTGTCCCTTTGGAAAGCCCTGACTAATACACAGCCCATCTCTATTTAGACACTGAATTTCATCAGAAATATTTGGCCTGTATCTAGATTTCATAAATTTTACAGTTGACAAAGTAGATTCACATCCCCAAGTAGTTCCAAGCATGCTTACAAATTTTCCAAAAACGTTATTAGTTCTTAAATTTAAATTAATAAAAAATAAGTAAAATTTAACATTCAGTTCCTCAGATATGTTAGCCCCATTCCAAGTGCTCAGCACCCATGTGTGCCTGGCGGCTACTCTATAGAATAATGCAGCTTTAGAGGAGACGACACACAAGAATCAAACGCTCTCATTAACAGCTCTACAGCTAAAATTATAATAAGTAACAGGAAGTATAGATACATAGTGTTAAGAGGTTGTAGAATACCTGACTTTGCCTGAGGGTAAGTGCTACTTAAGAATTCTGAAGATTAATTCTTCAGAAGGAGAGCACACTTGGGAAGAAGGGCTTTCCTGGCACAGGAAGAAGCATTTTCAAAGGTCCGAGGCAGAAGGGAATTAGTCATCATCTTGTGGGGAATCAGATGGCCCTTTCAAACTGGGTAATTGTACTGGTGTTCAATAAAGGACTATTTAACAACAAGAGGCCAAGCCATAGGGAAAATAGTACAAGATAGTGCAGTACCCTAGGCTAGCAACAGCAAGGAGCCATTAACCACCACACCACCCAGCTTAAAGGAGGAAGGGGATAAAACAGTTATCAGAATGTGGAATGGGTGTGGTGAGGGCCTTCTAATAGGAGCTGTGGCCTTCACAATGGATATGCTTCCAGTCCACAGAGTTCCAGCAGGATGGTAGCAGGGGAAACAAATAGCCCAACTTCACTTTCCTTCCATCCCCCAATGTCCTACATGTGCCTCCCTTTGGCCAAGTCCAATCAGGACCAGAAGGGAAGAGAGCCCACTGATGCAAAACACACAGGTCATCCTTGAGCAGGAGGAGTAGAGAGTCAGCCTCTACTCTTAGGGAAGAAGGGCAAGCTGAAGATACTCAGCTCAATCGTTTGTGTATTAGCTTCCTATTGCTGCTGTAACAAGTTACTGCAAACTTAGTAGCTTGAAACAGAAATTAATTATCTTGCAGTTCTAAAGTCCTAAAATCAAGGTGTTGCAGAGCTTCATTCATTCTGGAAGCTGTAGAAGAGGATTTATTTCCTTGCCTTTTCTAGCTATTAGAGGCCTCCCACATTCGTTGGCTCACAGCCTTCTCCTCCCATCACTCTGCCCCCTGCTTCTGTCATCACATCACTTTCTCTGCCTTAGACCCTCCTGACTTCCTCTTATGAGGACCCTTGTGATTACACTGGGCCCAGCTGGATATTCCAGAATAATCTCTCCATTTCAAGGTTCCTAACTTCATCACATCTGCAAAATACCTTTTGCCATATAAAGTAACATATTCAGAGGTTTCAGTGATTAAGTTGTGGACATTTGTCATGGAGGGGGTGAACTGGCCATTATTCCATCTACAAGGTGTGTCAAGAAAGTGAACTAAGGCCACTGTGGTGGAACACAAAGGGTAAAGAGGGGATATGGAGAGTTACAGTGTTGATGGGGTAAGAAGGAGCCCTATCAGCAAAGTCTTGTAGACCATGATAGAAATCTTGTTCTATATCTTAAGACCAGTGGAAAGTCATTGAATTTGCATTTTGAAAAAAATGCACTCTAACTATAAAATGGAAAATAGATTGGAAGAAGGAGGAAACACATTGAAGATGAGGCAGTTGTATGATTGAAAATAATGGCTCAGACTAAGGAGGTAGAGAGAGGTCAGAGGATTTGAGAAATATTGAGAAAGTAAAGTTTGTAGGACTTTCAGAACAGCTAAGCAATGAGGAGTGAGGGCTGGAACAGGTTAAAGATGAGGCTTAGGTTTCTAACTTGCAGAACTGGATCGATAGTGGTACAATTCACTGCAAGGAGAAACACTGTACTCAGCACAAGTTTATTTGGGGATATGGTTTTGAACATGTTGAGTTTGAAGTGACTTTTAAAAAAACTAAGTAGAAAAATCAAATGGGCAATTGGGGACAGAAGTATAGAGTGCAGAATTTCCTCTGGTTGCACAGGAAATTTTAAACGCTTGGTTTTGAGGTGATCATTAAAGCCTCACGGATGAATGAAATCACCTAGGAGGGAATTCAGTTAGGAGAGTGCCTAGGACTCAGCCTTGAGAGACTGGAACATTTAATGACCAGAGAAAAGAGATAATGACCTGAAAAAGAAGAGACAAGTCTGAGGCATCGTAAAAGCAAAAAAAAACCCTATTATTTAAATAATAATAATAATAATAAGATTATAGTCAACAAGGTTGATTGCTCCTGAGAGTTCAACATAAGTGATGTCTGGAAGATCAATATCAACTCCACCCATACAATCATATCATGAGATTCTGATAGAGAATTAAACACCCTTGATGCTAGGGGCTGTCTACCCTGCCTCCCCACCAATTTTAAGTAGATAATGGCCATGTTGATTGGTTTAGGGATGGGCACATAACCACTGAGAGCCAATGAGAGGCACTGACAGCCTTCCAGGAAAGAGTATCTTTCCTGCTCTCTTGAAATGTAAGATATAGGGCCTGGAGCTATTGCAACTCTGTTGCTATCACATGAAGCCTAGGACTAAAGGCAACACTTGAAAAGCAGAAGAGAAAGATAATGAAAAACCAAATATTTATGCTATCTTTTGAGCTCTAACTCAGCTGTGCCTGAAGTTTGATCTAGCCCCACACTTTCAGTTTAGGTGAGTTGATAAATTCTTTTTTTGCATAGGCCAAGTACTTTGTCACTTACAATGAAAAGAATACTAAATTCTAGGGGAGGATAAAAATGTAAACAGTGTCCAAGATCTTTAGAAGAAAAACACCTCATAAATCAAGATGATCAAGAGGTTAACTAAAATTCTCATCAAAATTGTAGTAAAGCCATGAAAAAAGATAAGAGAGGTTTGTTTTGTTCTGTTTTTGAGACAGAATCTTGCTCTGTCTCTCAGGCTGGAGTGCAGTGGTGCAATCTCAGCCCACTGCAACCTCCACCTCCCAAGCTCAAGTGATCCTCCCACCTCAGCCTCTCCAGTAGCTGGGACTACAGGCGTGCACCACCATGCCTAGCTAATTTTTCTATTTTTTTGTAGAGACAGGGTTTCACCATATTGCCCAGGCTGGTCTCAAACTCCCAGCTCAAGAGATCCTCCCGCCTTGGCTTCCCAGTGCTGGGATTACAGATGTGAGCCAGCATGCCCAGCCAAGATGGTCTTGAGAGCAGAAAAATAAAATAGACAGAAATACTAGAAGAGTATCTATGTTTATAAGCTCCAATTTAAGATGAAATACACAGAAATAAATAGGAATATATGTAAAGATAATTAAAAATTATAATCCCAGACCATCTTCAAGTAACTTCTTTATTATAACCAGAAATCTGGTTCCAAGGTTTTCATTGTATCTTTCATGAGCCCTGAAATGGCAATTTTACAGATGCATAAATTATGGTGTTCAAGATTTCCACAGCATTGTAACTGTACTCAGTAATTATAATTTTTTATTGACACAAAAGTTAGACTCCTGGGCCTGTCTCAGTAGAACTTAAGACTATTGCTCAGCATCTCACAAAAGTGATTATCCCCTTTGTGGGAATTAAGGAATTTGACCTCGAAATAACTTTTACATTTGGAAGTTAAAAAAATTTACTGGCCTTGTCTTCTCTGAACCCATTTGTTAAAAACTCACCAAAATGTGGTGCTACCACTACCATGACCTAAGAGAAGAAAATGGATCCAATGGAACAGCAGTCCCCAACCTTTTTGGCACCAGGGACCAGTTTCATGGAAGACCATTTTTTCTTGGAAGCAGGGGATGATTTCAGGATGAAATAGTCCCACCTGAGATCACCAGGCGTTAGATTCTCATAAGGAGCACTCAACCTAGATCCCTCCCATGTGCAGTTCACAATAGGGTTCGTGCTCCTATGAGAATCTAATGCCACCACTGAACAGACAGGAGGCGGGGCTCAGGTGATAACGCTTCCCTGCCCTCCAGTCACTTCCTGCTGTGCAGCCCCATTCCTAGCAGGCCACAGACCTGCACCCATCTACAGCCCAGGGGTTGGGGACCCCTGCATTAGAAGAAAATCCACGAACATCTAATGAGGACCCATCATATACAAGACAGCATGCTAGGCTCACTCAGTGGTGTGAGGCATGATCCTTGCCCTCACAGAGCTTGGAGACCTGTGGCAGAGGTAAGACATACTCACGAAGAGTCAAATATCAATATAAAGCTCTATGTAATAAGTGATAAAAAGAGTAAGACAAACACTAAGAACTTAGAGGCTGGAAGAGCAAGAAATCAGTAGAGATTGGAATGCTTCAGAGTAGGTATAAGTAAACGGACAGGAAAGAAGCGCAGGGCTCTGCAGGCAGAAAGATCTGTATAAACAACTATCCAGGGGAGGAAAGAGTGTGGTAAGTAACTGTAATTATTATAGAATATTCTGACTGAAGCAATGATTCTTAGAGAGTTTTAGTTGGGGGGAAAGGGGTTGAAAAATTAGGGAGAAAATTAAATAACAAGCTAAAAACTTAGGCTTCTTGTTATATGAAATGAAGTGCTGAAGACTGTTGAAAATTAAGTCAATGGAAATAGACCATCTCTTTTCTTCAGTATCAAAGCCATCAAAGCCACTGATCTAAGAGCTTGCACTTGGTTTGTGTGTGAAATAATAAGCTTTTGAACACAGGAGACTTCAATCTAGGTTGAGTGCCCCTTATGAGACTCTAATGCCTGATGATCTCAGGTGGGACTATTTCATCCTGAAATCATCCCCTGCTTCCAAGAAAAAATGGTCTTCCATGAAACTGACAATCAAGCATTATATTATATGAAAAGTGAGAAATTTGGAGAGGGTGGGAATGAGTCATGGGAAACAGGCATCATACTGATAAGGTGAGGTTTGCATTTCAGGTATCTTGCTGTAGCTGCTACTTGGAGGATGGATTTAACAACGATGAGATTGGAAGGAGCCCAGGTAGAAGGCTATTGCAAAACTCCAGGCAAGAGTTAATGAAGGCCTGTACTGAGCTATTGACAACAGGGATGGAGACGAGAAGAATGCAAGGCATATTTAGGATGCATCATTGGGACTTGATGATTATCACTGACTATTGAGCGGGGTGATGAGAAGGAGGAATTCTAGACTGACCCACAAGCTTCTGACCTGGGGGATGCTATAAACTGAATTCTGTGCCCCACTCCCTACCCAGTTTCGTATGTTGAAGCTTTAACCCTTAATGTGATGGTATTTGGAGATGGGGTGTTTGGAAGTTAAATGTATTTATTTAAATTTTTTATTTCCATAGGTTATTGGGGAACAGGTAGTGTTTAGTTACATGAGTAAGCTCTTTAGTGGTGATTTGTGAGATTTTGGTGCGCCCATCACCTGAGCAGTGTACACTGCACCAATCTGTAGTCTTTTATCTCTCACCCACTTCCCCTCCTTTTCCTCTGACTCCCCAAAGTCCATTGTGTCATTCTTATGCCTTTGCATCCTCATAGCTTAGCTCCCACTTATGAGTGAGAACACACGATATTTGGTTTTCCATTCCTGAGTTAGGAAGTTAATTAGATTTAGAAGAGGTCATGAGGTTGAGGCCCTCATGATGTGATTAGTGCCCTTATAAGAAGAGACACCAGAGTTTGTTTCCTCTCTCTCTCTCTTCACCTTGTGAGGGCACAGGAAGAAAGTGGCCATCTGCAAGAAAAAGGCCCTTACTAGGGAAAAGAATTGGCTGGTGCCTTGATCTTGGACTTCTCAGCCCACAGAACTGTAATAAATAAATTCCTCTTGTTTAACCCACTCAGGCTCCAGTATTTTGTTTGGCAGCTGGAGCTGACTAACACAGGAGACTAGGTAGAGAGTACTATTAACCAGGATACAGAAGGAGGTTCTTTTGGGAGAGGAAGATGGTGAGTTCAGTGTTAACACTGTATAAATCAGGACTCTTTGGCTGCCAAGTCATGGAAATCCATATCAAACTACTTTAGGGAACTTCATAAATTCACCAAATGGTGGAAAGTAGGGGTTGAGAAAACTTCTTCAAAACTGAACTCCAAAAGCACCAGGATTAGCTCTCTGTCCTGACCTCTGTCTCTCTCTTTCCCTCTCACCCTTTGGCTTCACCTGTATTTGGGCTCATTCTCTCAAAGCCCTTCAAGTGGCAAGGGATATTCCACCAGCAGTTCTGGAATCCAAGAAGAAAGAGAGCTACTCCTTCCTTGCAACTTTGAAAAATTCCTGGAAAGAGATCCCACAGGAATCAGAAAAATGAATGAGATAGTCTAAGTCCCTTCTTTTGAGGAATTATAGTCAAAAAAACACAAAAACTTGAAGACACCTCTGATATTTCCAAAGAGCGGACCCCAATCCTGGCATGTAATAAGAGCTCAATAAATATTAAATCAAAGGACAATGAAAGGACACTTTCCATAAGATAATTTGGCATTTATGAAGTACCTTCATGGCATACATTTTCATCTATTATAGAGTCTCTCCTTCGGCCCTGGCCTCAACTCATATGTCAAACAGTAACAAGTAGGTTGAAGTTTTTGGACAGAAGAGCCAAATTCTGCAGTCACACTTCACTCAAAACTCCTGGGAGACCAAGCAACAGGAGGCAAAAGCTGGAAAACACATTACACTTCGCATAAAGAATTTCTCCCCACCCCCACCCACCACCATCACACCATTTAAATTGTCCCGCCAACTCACCAACACAGCAGTACCCACTGCACCATGTGTTAGGAGAGGAGGCTCAGAGCCCTAGCGAACCGCTTCTAAAGACTATAAAACCAGCTTTACACTATCACAGTGAACACTGGTTTCTCTTCATAATTCTACTGAGCTTCTCTAAAGACAAAGATTGGATGGGCATGTTTAACAGCGATATTCATAAATGACAAAGACTAAAATCAGATTTCAAAACTGCACAGTGCATCTTCAGTATTACAGCACACAATGTTTTTTGCCTTTTGTCTGAACCTCAATATATTTAGTTTTATTATATACTAATTTTATTTTATTTTATTTTATTTAGGCTGCCAGTAACATTTATTGAGGGCTCCCTCATGCATGACCCTGAACTATGTACCAAGAGAAAGATAAAAGCAGCTAAGTTTCCCCAGGGCACAATCAAAAGAGTATCAAGAACATTATTTATTTGATAAGTCTAGATTAGACCCCTCTTTCTCAATCTCTGAATCCCAGTCCCCCAGAAACCTCTTTGTTCTGATCCTATGGGACTCCACACAGACTCATAAGTGGTCATGACCATTCTTTCCCCTACCTTATTGGTGGCCTCCAGTTCTTTCACCATTTCCCTGCTGCCACTGTCACAGCCCTGTCATCACCAGCTGGGTATCGCCTTGACTGTAGCCAAGGAACATTTATTTGTTCCAGCTGAATGATCTACTTATCTATTGAGTGGGGTGATGAGAAGGAACAATTCTAGACTGACCCACAGGTTTCTGATGTGAGAGATGCCATAAACTGAATTGCATGCCCCACTCCATACCCAATTTCATATGTTGAAGCCTTAACCCCCAATGTGATGGTACTTGGAGATGGGGTGTGCATGTGTCCACACACGTGCACACACACACACACACACAACCCCGTGATGTATTCCATTACTCATCACAAGATAACTCTACCCTGGCCTCCATTACTTAAAGAACTCTAAAGATATAGTTCGCTCCACTTGCTTTTCATTACAACCCTCCTGCCAACAACCCTGGCACAAGTCTACAGGGACTAGCTTAACAATATAACACTGTTAACATCTCTAGCGGTTAGGCCAAAAGGCCTTCTGGAAACCTCCACCCTCACCAGCCCTTAGCCTCCTGTTCTTCCTGCCTCCAGCGAAGGTCTTACATCAAGCTCATGTGCATCCTCTCCTCCCTCAGGTCTGTATTTCCCTTCTGGGTGCTCACTCAGAGGGGACTCCTGGTTACCCTAATGACTCAGGAGTCTTGGGCTTGGAGTGGGCGTCCTGTGAGCGAAGCCACTCAAAGGGGCCCACACACCTATCAGAGTCCATAGCAGAGAAACATTCTAGACCTATGCCCCTGGGGCTCCCTCTACACAAAGATGATTTATGGTCAATTGTTTGGAACTCAGAGCCATTTTCCTCCCTAAACAAACTAAAGAGTGGTGGGTAGGTGCTCAGGAGAACTCACAAAACTCTATTTGACCAACAGACCTCATCTGGAGTTCTACACATATGATAGAACCTACCTAACAATATCCTGCGGTTCTATGGTTGCCATGGGGAAGTGAGTTCTAAGTTCCAGCCAGGATCACAACTCTGCCACTGCCATCAGCAGGAACAACCCAGCTTTCACCTTCCACTGCTTGCCATCCCAAAGGTAGGGAATTGCCTGAAGCCTAGAGAGTGTTTGTTTGTTTGTTTGTTTGTTTGTTTGTTTTTTAACGGACAGGGGCAGCCACTTTGAGGGCTGAGGTAAGAGGATCACTTGAGCCCAAGAAGTAGAGGCTGCAGTGAGCTGTGATCACACCACTGTACTCTAGTCTGGACTACAGAGTGAAACCCTGTCAAAAATGAAATGAGGCTGGGTGCAATGGTTCATTCACACCTGTAATCCCAGCACTTTGGGAGGCCCAGGCAGGTAGAGCATCTGAGGTCAGGAGTTCGACACCACCCTGGCCAAGATGGTGAAATCCCATCTCTACTAAAAATACAAAAATAAGCAGGGTGTGGTGGCATGCACATGTAATCCTAGCTACTGGGGAGGCTGAGACAGGAGAATCACTTGAACCGGGGAGGCAGAGGCTGCAGTGAACCAAGATCGTGCCACCGCACTCCAGCCTGGGAAAGACAGAGAAAGATTCTGTCTCAAAAAAACCACAAAAGAACAAAAATGAAATTAAAAGGGATGAGGGAAACAGAAAGATGTGACTCTGGGAGATGAAGCAGGCTGTACAGGCAGGGGAGTTCAGAAGGGCTGCCTCAGGGTTTTGGGCTCCTCCAGAGACTCAGGCTGCTCCCCTGTGTGTCAACTCAGAAGACAGGCCTTGATGGCATGTTCAGCCCGGATAGGACTCCCATCACAGAGTCTACACTACTGCACTGATGCTGCAGAGAGCAATGGATTTGGGGGTTCTAATGGAAGAGAAGGTGGGAACTAAGAAAAGTCTGTCAGGTTTCTGGGTGAGGTCAAATAAGGAATTTTTAAAAAACGATTAACAACTAAAGCTAGATCAGTATTTGATCAGTATTGTACTTAATGAGGTCAAATCCAATTTAATACACTATTATTATGGAATTCTGAATACAAATATTGAATGTTTGTCAATCCTATTAGATAGGGCCCTTTTGTAGATTTGAGAGACCCCTCGGCCTTTGTCTATGTCTAATCTGTCTCTCTTATTTGCACTTTAATTAATACTTGGCTTGTGTAGAGTCAGATAAACTTACTTATAAGTTAAGAAAGCTAAATGTAAAGAAAACAAGTATTAACCTCTATTATATTTCCCTGGATCTGTTCAGAAAGGTAAAAAATATATATATATATATATATTTTTTTTTTTTTTTCTAGATGGTGGAGTAGGAGGAGGTGTGAAAAAGTTTTCTATATTTTTAATAACCTTTGTTCAGAGACCCAAAAAGTAATTTTTTAAATGGCAGTAATAATATGAAAATGTTTCTTTTCATTGCAAATATGAATGGATTTAAACGACTTTTATCTAAGTCTACTGTCTTATTCTGCTCTCATCTAAGTCTATACTCTCATTTTATTTAAGATATTATGGTGTCAAATTACTTTCACCTGACCACGTACCTGAAGTGGAAAAAAGGGAAATGATGATTTAGAAAGTTTACCAGATTCAGGAAAGGAACTGAAGGGCTATTTTAAATTCCACAATCCTGGTAGCTTTGGTGTTCTGTATTAACAGATTAAATAGTTCCATGAGAATTATTTAGATGCAATCAATTCAATGGTATTTTCTGAAACTATTATGTGCTAAACAATGCATTGTAGTGTGTCACACGAGGATCTACACACAAAAGCACACAGCATGGTACCTTCATTGATGGAACTTATAATTATTTACATATGTGAAAAGCCAGAGAACTCTGTTTAACATGTAACCAACTACTAAACCCAGTGCCTATTGCTTTCTTAAATAAGAGAAGATGAGGGACCCAAGGTAGCTCCAGCAAACAAGTTACAATTTAAATAGACTGACAAATCCTTTGAATGTTGGAAATTAACAAGAGCCCAAGTAAGGTTAAGCTTGGCCTTTTATAAGAAAGTATGGGCCAGGCTGGGTGGCTCACTCCTGTAATTCCAGCACATAGGGAGGCCGAGGTTAGCGGATCACCTGAGGTCGGGAGTTCGAGACCAGCCTGGCCAACACAATGAAACCCCGTCTCCACTAGAAATACAAAAATTAGCCAGGTGTGGTGGCACGTGCCTGTAGTCCCAGCTATTCAGGAGGCTGAGGTAGGAGAATTGTTTGAACCCGGGAGGCAGAGGTTGCAGTGAGCCAAGATTGTGCCACTGTACTCCAGCCTGGGCAACAGAGTGAGACTCCATCTCAAAAAAAAAGAGAGAGAGAGTATGAAGAAACTGGGCTGGGCACAGTGGCTCATGCCTGTAATCCCAGCACTTTGGAAGGCTGGGCAGGCAAATTGCTTGAGCCTAGGAGTTTGAGACCAGCTTAGGCAACATGGCAAAACCTTGTCTCTACGAAAAATAAAAAAATTTAGCTGGGCGTGGTGGTACATGCCTGTGGTCCCAGCTACTGGGGAGGCTGACGTGGGAGAATCACCTGAGCCCGAGGGGAAGGCTGCAGTGAGCCATGATCACACCCACTGCACTCCAGCCTGGACGACAGAGTGAGATCCTGTCTCAAAAAAAAAGAAAAGGAAAGGAAAAAAACTGGCCTGAAGTGGGAAAGTTACTTTGGAACACATGGGAAGAGATAAGAGAGAGGAGAACGTGTTTTGAGAAGATGAGCTTGTCAGTGGTGTGGAGGTGCATAAGAGGAAAATATATCAATTATGAGGTCACTGCAGTCTTCTAAGGGGAATGTGGCCAGAGTTAGCACTAGTGTGGACGTATGAAAATGAAAAGGGAGAAAGACAAAAGGTATTTCAGCAGAAATACAGACACAACGTGTGCATCATTAGAGTAGGAGACAATTCTTGTTCCTTTTAAAATTTTCATCTTGGTTCTTTCCTTTTGTCTGGATCCATTTCCTCTATGTCTTTTATTTTTTTGTCTTGTTTTTTGTTGGTGGTGATTGGGTTTAAATTTTTTTTAATTTTTTTAATTTGTGTTTTAAATTATACAAGCATACATGTTAGTTTTGGAAATTTTGAAAAATATACAGGAAAAGTATAAAGACATTAAAAAACACCTGTACTCCCACCACTCAGATGATTTCAGATAACATTTTTTTCCAATCTTGATGGATGCATTTAGGAGTGATTATTAAACAAGATGGGCTGGGTGGAGTCCATAGATGAAGCAGCTTGATGGCTTCCTTCCCACCATGGCCTTGGAGCATACTTCATCAGTTCCCCATTCTCTGCCCTGAGCCACGGTTCAGGAAGATCCCATAGCTTTCCTGTCATTTTCAGGTATTGGCACTGAGTCACGTGCCGGCATTAAAAGTCCATATCTAAGTCAAATCAATACTTCCGCCTCCCTGAGCTCAGGATCTGCAGTTTAGGGGCTTGGAGTGGAACAGGTCATGGTCTGCTTTGTCATTCTTGTCACCCCATCCTATTCACACTGTGAGAAAATCCATATACCCTTACTCCAAGGGTGGAAGTGAGGCTTGTGCCTACTGGTGCTCGCTCTCTCTTTGCCCTGACTTTGTGGACTACTCTAGCCAACTTCCCACTTTCGGATATTGCCACAGCTGTCTCAGGCACCAGGGTCTATGCCACAAAGCACTCTCTACCCCCATAAATTCACTTCAATTGTCCTTTCTGAGAAATCTCTTATATAGGCTGCTGCTGGTGATAACGGTGAGCACTAGGCTTTTCTTTTTTAAATTTACAGTAAATATTGTGAAGCTCTGTCTAACCCCTTTTTTGAGAATATGAGGATATTTGTTATCAATTACTCTTAGCTTTGGGCTTTGGCCAAAAGTTCAAGACGATAGAAAAAGTCCATTTCACATCCTAATACATATACACACACACATACACACAAAATAATAATACTTAGGCCATGCACAGTGGCTCATGCCCGTAATCTCAACGCTTTGGGAGGTCAAGATGGGAGGACTGCTTGAAGCCAGGAGTTCAAGGCCAGCCTGGCCAACATAGTGAGACCCCATTTCTTTTTCTAGGAAAAAAAAGAAATAATAATAATAATTGAGACCACATCACATCATTTGCATCATACTTATTTTCCACTAGCATTATAGAGTGAGCATTTCCTGTGTCACAAAACTATATTCCAAAAACATGAATTTTTTCTTTTTTTTTTTGTTAATAACTGCATCGTATAATGGCAGTAATACAATTATAGGATTAAGAGACCACAGGAGAAAAGGCAGGTGATGTTTCTGGAAGATAGATATGGAGTACAAAAAGGGAGTGGAAGAGTCATGTGACAATCATTGTAAAAATACAGTACAAGGCCGGGTGCGGTGGCTCACACCTGTAATCCCAACACTTTGGGAGGCCGAGGCTGGTGGATCACCTGACGTCGGGAGTTCAAGACCAGCCTGACCAGCATGGAGAAACCCTATCTCTACTAAAAACACAAAATTAGCCAGGTATGGTGGCTCATGCCTGTAATCCCAGCTATTCGGGAGGCTGAGGCAGGAGAATCACTTGAACCCGGGAGGCGGAGGTTGCAGTGAACTGAGATTGCACCACTACACTCCAGCCTGGGCAACAAGTGTGAAACTCAGTTTCAAAAAAAAAAAATACAGTACAAAAACATGATTTTTTTTAAACATGATGTTTATTGGCTTATAATTTTTCATCATATGACTGTTCATTTCTCATTATCTATTCAGCCATCACCCAATTACACATTTATAATTTTGCTAACATAAATGTCATTGCAATAAATATCCTTGTATGCAAATCTTTGTGCACATCTTTGTTTATATTCTTAGGATAATCCTAGAAATAGAATGTTTCAATCAAAGGTTATGGACATTTTTAAGGCTCTTAATACCACAAGAAAACCCCTCAAGAAAAGTGGAATAACCACTCAGTGTGTGGAAGAACACACACATTGTACCCAAATATTATTACCAGATTTTTTACATTTACAATTCGATTAGTGAAGTATCATACTTTCCTGTCATGGTTTATATTTCTTTGTTATTGAGGCAGACTCTTATTTACTCTGTATTTTTTCTTCGGCAAATGGTCTGTTCATGACCTCTGCTTATTTTTCTCTTGGAATCTTAATGTTTTCTTATTGATTTAGAAACTCTGTCCATGTAATAAGAATAGTTATCCTTTTTATCATATTGTATTTGTTGCAAATGTTTCCCAATTTGTTCAACTTGATTTTGCAGTAATCAGGGCAACTCTGTGGGCCTTAGGTAATAAAATTATCATCAACTTTTACCAAGCTTCTAAATCTTTCTGTTTCTCCTTTAATCTCTTGTGGTCTCCATTTGGCTTCATATGCTTCTGCCAGCAGCTTTCTCCAGATTGACAACCTTCTAGCTTCTATATCCAGGGAGGCCAAAAAGATTTAATGTCAGGTAGAAAAACTCAGAGCAGGCTGACCGGCCCAGCTTTATAACATGCTCACCTCCACACCAATCACTGGTGCCAAGAAAAGCAAGTGCTCTGATTTGCCAGATTAAGACATGTTGTTAAAGTGAGACGAGAGCCCCTAAACAAAGGAAAGAGCTGGATAAACTGGTCAGACAAAGCAAAACAAAACAGAAACAAACACAAATACTAACATAGGTCTTCATTAGTATTTCCTTCTACTAGTGTGATACTTCTTTCTTTAACCCAAAATTAATACATTTTTCTTCTGGATTTTTTTATTATTATTATTATTGAGACAGAGTCTCACTCCATCACCCAGGCTGGAGTGCAATGGCACGATCTCAGCTCAGTGCAACCTCCGCCTCCTGGGTTCAAGCAATTCTCCTGCCTCAGCTTCCCAAGTAGCTGGGATTACAGGCGTCTGCCACCACGCCCCAGCTAATTTTTTTTTTTAATTTTATTTTTAGTAGAGACAGGGTTTCACCATGTTGGCCAGCCTAGTCTCGAACTCCTGACTTCAGGTGATCCACCCGCCTCAGCCTCCCAAAGTGCTGGGATTACAGACATGAGCCACCGCACAGGGCCTGGATTCTATTTTTTACATCTAGCTTATCTTCTCCAAATCCCTTTGTGTCCTGTCCTCTAAGGTTCACTTTGTTTTCGCTTTGTTTGTTTGTTTGTTTGTTTGTTTGTTTGTTTTTTAAGAGGCAGGGTCTCTGTCACCCAAGGCTGGAGTGCAGTGGCACCATCATAGTTCATTTTAGGATCAAACTCCTGGGCTCAAGCAATCCTTCAGCCTCAGCCTCTTGAGTACCTAGGATTACAGGTGTGCACCACCATGCCCAGCTGGCTTCATCATTTCTGCTGGCTTGGTCATAGCCAGTACAGCCAGTTCCAGCCCCGGTTCTTCCTGGGTGGTCTAATGTTCCCTTCACCTCCAACACACACACACTCCCTTTCTTCAGTTCATTCTGCACACCATCACAAAATTAACAGTCCCCAAACCTCACATCTATCCCTTCAATGATGTCATTTTCCTCTTCACAAGCCCTTAGTGTGGCCTCCCTGCCCCACCCACTTACCACAGAGAGGAAGTGACCACTAATGTCATGACCACTCACTTGGCTAGATCACAATGAACTGTTATTTCACACAGCTTTCACAACTCTGCTCGCAGATATAATCTCCCTTGTACGGAAGGGAAACTGAAGTTCAAAGAAGTTAAATCATTAAGTAATGCATTGTTCATATGTAGCGAGGCTGGGACTTAACCGCTACTCTGCCTGAATCTTTACACAAGAAACCAACCCATCCACAGTAGATGGGCCTCCAAGCAGAGTCTAAACCCCTTAGCCTTTTCAAATTTCCAGGTTTTGCTTCCTCTTGTTGCCATATATCAATCCCTCATTGTAATCAGATGTGTCTACTCACCTCCCAATCCCACCCCTGAGGCTCCCAAGTCTGTGGGCTTCTCTTTTGCCTCTGTGTCTTTACTTGTGGTAATTCTCACCAAGAAACTGCCTTTCCCCCTCTTTTTTACCCATTTAGAGTCCACCTCCCCTAAATGTCTGCTTAATTTCACTACTTCCGTCAAGACTTTACTATCTTTTTTTTTTAATTATATCTTCTCAAAATGCCTACAATATGTTTCTCTGGCATCCACTGAATTATTAGATCCTTGCCTTCCATGCCCTCGTGCATTCTAACTTTCAACCATTCTGCCACCTAGATTATGAGTCTTTTGTGGTCTAGTGCATGACTTATATTTCCTTGTATTCCCCATATGTTTGGTACAATAACTTGTAAGAAGTTAGTCAATATTTGTTGATCCGTGTCTTTCTCCTCCAAGGGGCTGTATTACCAACAGGGTCTCACTCTGTCACCCAGGCTGGAGTGCAATGATGTGAACACAGTTCACCGCAGCCTCAACCTCTTGGGCTTCAGCAATCCTCCTGCCTCAGCCCCCCAAGTAGCTGGGACTACAGGCACACACCACCATGCCCAGCTAATTTTTTTTTATTTTTGGAAGAGGTGGGGTTTCACCATATTGCCTAGGCTGGTCTCAAACTCCTGGGCTCAGGCGATCTGCCCACCTTGGCCTCCCATCGTGCTGGGATTACAGGTGTGAGCCACCATACCATGCCAAGTCATAATAATTCTTGAAAAGCTTTTCCCCTTTGGCAAAATATTAATTTGATCTTAAGACTCAAATATTTGGACATTCCTATTACATTGGTAATTTTCAAGAGTCAAGATCATAACAGTTGTAAAATGCTGAGAGTATAGATAAATTATTGGGAAATTTACACTAGCAAATATTTAGTTTACCTCCTAATAAACCGCTAATAAACACGCATAGAGAATTTACTACCAAATACCACTATATGGAATGTTTTATTGATGTACCTTAATAGTAGTTCATAGCATCTAAAGAGACGCGAAATCAATTTTAGAGGACCTTAAACTTATTAAACATTACTATTTACTTTCTACCAGATTTTACAATGTTACTTTATATAATAAATAGAAGTTACAGGAAAACAAAATATGTTTGGGGAATATGGAAAATGATCTAAAGATTGTTTTATATTGGAGGTTAGAGTACCTGTTTTAACTAGCAAGGCTTTGAAAATTGCATGAAACTTAGGAGATGATAAATGTTTACAATTTGCATCCACATTGTTACTAACACAATAGCCTGTTAAATCCCTTGGCAGGAATATGAGCAGACTGCAGGCCATCCACATTATTCATCTAGGGGGAAAAAACATTATTCACAAATTTTAATTGCTCCTGTGACACCAACAGTCTGAAAATGAAACATAAAAATGTAGCCTTTGGGAAGTTTTACTGTGCAACGACTTTATGCAACCCTGACCAGAGGGATCGATGTCTCTATCACAATTACACAAAGACCTGAATAAAATAAGTTAATAGTTTCAACTCGGGTCCTAGTGAACCGTTGACATATTTTAAAATTCATTCTATCCACTGTAAACTCAACAAGTCCTACACCTGACCCAAAATAAATAAGTCACCACCTCCCCTAAGAACCAGTGCCCTGAGGGAGAGGTTTTAGCAGAGAGATTTACATTTAGGCTCTCCAGGTAAAGGGAACCAGCCGTTGCCTGCCTAGAGAATTAGGTTGACCTTCCACCTCTAAAGCTAAGACTTAGAGGGTTGCAAAGAAAAAGAGGAGGATTGGCAGGAGAGATGGTGAGAAACACCAAATCAGAGAAGTGACCTTTAGATTCAAGCTACAACAGAAGCCACCGACTGTCATGAAACCCTTGAAACCCTAGAAACATTTACCCCAGACTCACTCTACCTGCAGCCCTCCCCATTAAGAGCAACAGCATCTTCTGCTTGCACAGGCCAAAAACCTTGGAGTTTGCTGGCACTGTCTTCAAAAGTGTGTCCCAAATCCCACTGTTTCTTGTCACTCTGCTCCTCTTTGTGTCATCTACACTCAATTCTCAACATGTTTATATATAAGTATCACTTTTTTTTCCTTTTTGGTACCAATTCCTTGCTTAAAACTCAGCAATGCCTTCTCATTTCCCACAGAGTAAGGCTGAAATCCTTTAATTTTTTACTTTTTTTCTAACAGAGACAGGGTCTCACTCTGTGAGTGCAGTAGCTGGAGTGCAGTAGCACCACCTCAGCTCACTGCAGTGCTGGGCTCAAGCAATTCCTCCACCTCAGCCTCTCCCATACCTCCAACTATAGGTGTGCACCACCAGGCACAACTAATGAAGTCCTTTAAATGGCCTAAAAGTTCTGCATGCTCCACTCCTAATTTAGCCTTCACTCTAGATGTGTGGCTCTTCCTGGAACACTTTTTCCCCAAATACCCCCTTGGCTAACTCCTTAACCTGCAAATCTTTGCTCAGACATGACCCTCTCAATCAGGCCTACCCTGACCCACCATCGTGGGTCAGGATCCTGCCCAAGACCCCTGTAGTTGATATCCTCCTTACCATATTGCACTCTTGTTTATATATATACAGATGTGTGTGTGTGTGTATATATATATATATATGTGTGTGTGTATATATATATATATATGTGTGTATATATATATGTATATATATTTATTTTAAGATGGAGTCTCGCTCTGTTGCCCAGTCAGGTTGGAGTGCAGTGGCACAATCTCAGCTCACTGCAACCTCTCCTTCCCAGGTTTAAGTGATTCTCCTGCCTCAGCCTCCTGAGTAACTGGACCACAGGCACATGCCACCACACCCAGCTAATTTTTGTATTTTTAGTAGAGACAGGGTTTCGCTATGTTGGCCAGGCTGGTCTCAAACTCCTGACCTCAAGTGATTGCCTGCCTCAGCCTATATGACTGGTATTACAGGTATGAGCCACTGCTCCGGGCCTTTGTTTTTCATATAGCATTATCACCTTCTAACATGCTGTACAATTTATTTTGTTATATATTGTTGTTTAACTTTTGTGCCCCACCCCCCTTATAGAATGTGTAGGTTCTGCAGAAGAAGGGATCTTTTTTGTTGTTGTTCACGAATGTGTTCCAGATACTTAGAACAGTGCCTGGGACATAGTAGAGGCTATGTAATTATCTGTTAGATAAATAAATGAATTCATGTTTTATCTGTGAAGAAAATGAGGCACTAACAGGATAAGTGATTTTTAAGCTAAAAAGCAGCCAACTCCCCTTTACTGCATGTCCCCCACGGTCTCTGGAAGATGTATTCCATAGGTTAGGTTATAATGGCAAATTGACATTTTTGTCAGTGTTAGAATACAGTGGTAGAGAAGTTCAGTTCTACATCAATGAATCTTAGAAGTTAAGAAAACGATCATTTCACATTAACTCCTTTTTTTTCCTATCTTTCTTTCTTTCTTTTTCCCTTTTTTTTTTTTTTTTTTTGAGACAAGAGTCTTGCTCTGTGGCCCAGGCTGGAGTGCAGTGGCGTGATCTCGGCTCACTGCAAACTCCACCTCCTGGGTTCAAGCAATTCTCCTGTCTCAGCCTCCTGAGTAGCTGGGACCGCAGGCGTGCGCCACCATGTCCGGCTAATTTTTGTATTTTTAGTAGAGACAGGGTTTCAATATATTGGTCAGGCTGGTCTCAAACTCCTGACCTCAGGTGATCCACCCACCTCGGCCTCCCAAAGTGCTGGGATTACAGGCATGAGCCACTGGCACCCAGCCTTCCAGCCTTTTTTTCATTTTTCTTTTTTTCCTGACCATTAGATCATCAGGAATCATGTTATCTGAAACTATCGCAGAGTGGTGAGAGTACAGGCACTTTTTAATGTCTTCTTTATCTTTAGTAGAACTCTAGATTTCTTTTTTGGAAGCTTTTCAGTTATGAGTTTAATTTCCTTATCATTATAGGAATATTTAGGTTGTTTAATCTTGGTTGAATTTTGGTACTATATAGTTTTCAAAACGTTGGTCCATTTCTTCCAAGTTGTTGAATTTATGAACATAAAGTTGTTTGTGGTAGTCTCCTTTTATGCTTTTAATGGCTTCAGGATCTATAGTGGGATCCCATTTCATTGCCAATGTTGATAATTTGTGTCTTCTTTCTTATTTTTCTCAGTTTTGCTAAATGTTTAGCAATTTTATTGATGTTTTTAAGGATCCATATGTTACATGGAGTTTCTCTACTATTTCCATATTTTCAATTTTATTGATTTCTGCTCTTAACTTTATTAGTTTCTTTTTTTCTGCTTGTTTGGGTTTATTTTGTTCTTTTTCTAGTTTCTTCAGGTGGGGATTTAGGTTATTGATTTGAACCCTTTCCTTTTTTTCTAATATATTTTAGTGCCATAAATTTCTCAGGTGTGCTTTAGCTGTGTCCCACAAGTTTTCTGGGTTTTTTCTCTTTCTTTTTTTTTTTTTTTTTTTTTGAGATGGGGTCTCGCTGTCACCTAGTCTAGAGTGGCGCAATCTCGGCTCACTGAAGCCTCCGCCTCCCGGGTTCAAGCAATTCTCCCATCTCAGCCTCCTGAGTAGCTGAGTAGCTGAGTAGTAGTAGTAGGTGTACGCCACCACACCCAGCTAATTGTTGCATTTTTAGTAAAGATGGGGTTTTACCATGTTGGCCAGGCTGGTCTCAAACTCATGACCTCAGGTGATCCACCTGCCTTGGCCTCCCAAAGTGTTGTGATTACAGGCATGAGCTACTGTGCTTGGCCATCCCACACGTTTTCATATATTATATTTTAATTTTCATTCAGATCAATGTATTTTTTTATTTTCCCTGAAAGATTTCATTGACTCATGGATTATGTGTTGTGTAATCTTCATGTATTGAGGTTTTCTTGTTTTCTTCATGTTATTGATTTCTAGTTCAATTTTTTTATAGTCATAGTGCATACTTCATATAGCTTCAATTATTTTGAATTTGTTGACGTCTGCTTTATAATCCAGGATATGGCCTATGTATACAACTGTTGCATGGGCACTTGGAAAAAAGTTATATTCTGCTGTTGTTAAGTGGAGTCATCTATAAACATCAATTACATCCTCTTGGCTAATGGTGTTATGTAGTTCTACTTTTTTGCTTTCTGTTTACTAATACTTCTATTAATTACTGACAGGGAGTGTTGAGGTCCCCAACTATAATTGTGGATTTGTAGTTCTCCTTTCAGCTTTATTGTTTTCACATTGTTTGGTTTTGTTTGTTTTCCATGTTTTTGTTTTTGTTTTCAATTTTTTAGACACACCCAGGCTGGAGTACAGTGGCACGTTCTTGGCTCACTGAAACCTCTGCCTCCAGGGTTCAAGTGATTTCCCCTGCCTCAGCCTCCTGAGTAGCTGGGACTACAGGCATGCACCACCAGCCTGGCTAATTTTTGTATTTTTAGTAGAGACGTGGTTTCTCCATGTTGGCCAGGCTGCTTTTGAACTCCCAAACTCAGGTGCTCCACCCACCTTGGCCTACCAAAGTGCTGGGATTACAGGCGTGAGCCACCGCACCTGGCCTTTTTTCCATATATTTTGAAGCCTTATTGTTGGAGCATGCACATTTAGAGCTGCTGTGTTATCTGGGTAGATTGATCCTCATGTAAATAAATATGTATTATCAGGCTCTGTGCTATAAAGTGAAATAGTCTTGGGCAGTTTGTGATTAGAGCATATAAGTAGCTTAAACTATGTATTTTAAATGTGTTGGCCAGGTATGGTGGCTCGTGTCTCTAATCCCAGCACTTTGGGAGGCCAAGGTGGGAGCATCACTTGAGCCCACGAGTTTGAGACTAGTCTGGGCAACATAGTGAGACCCCCATCTCTACAAAAAAAAAAAAATTAATTATAAATGTGTAAACCAGGGTTTTGTTGTGTTTTTTGTTTTTGTTTTTGTTTTCAGTAGATTTCATTTTCTAAAGCGGTTTTAGTTCACAGCAAAATTAAGCAGAAAGTACAGAGAGTTCCTATGTACCCCCTCTCCACACAGACACACAGCCACCCCATTATCAACATCCAGTACCACAGTGGAACATTTGTTAGAATTCTTGAACCTACAAACCTACATTGACTCATCATTACCACCCAAAGTCCATAGTCTACATTAGGATTCAGTCTTGGTTCTGTACACTTTATGGGTTTTGACAAATGTATAAAGATGTGTATCTACCATTATAGTATTAAAAATGGTAGTTTCACTGCCCTAAAAATTCTCTAAGCTCCACCTATCTATTCCTCCCTTCCTCCAACCCCTGGCAACCACTAAGCTTTTTACTATCTTCTTACAAACCAGGGGTTTTTAACTTGGTGTTTTATGTTAGTTAAGACAGGCTAACTGGGATGGCTGGGCCTTGGTGTGGACCTGCACCTCCCTTAGCAAAAATTTATAAAATTAAAAAAAAAAAAGATAGGCTAACTGCTATAACCAATGTATACAAAAATATATTTCAAACTCCTTAAAAATCTTTTTTTTTTCCACTCATATAAAGTATGAAACAGGTACATCTGATTGGAGGGCACCTCTGCTCCATGTGGTGACTCAAGCTCCTTTTATCTTGCGGCTCTGTCATCTTTAACATGTGGCTTCCAAGTTCATCATACTCATTTACATCCACAGATAGAGGAGGAACAAGGATGATAATATGAGGGACTCTTGAAGGAAATTCTGTACACTTGGCTAAAACTCAGTCTTCCCAACCACAGTGGAGGCCAGGAAATGTAGTCTAGCTGTGTGCTCAGGAAGAGGAGGAAACAGATTTAGTGAACATCTAGCCAGTCTGTTTCATAGGCCTACAGAACCCCAAGAGATCCATGGGTAGACTTTAAGGGGTCGTTTAAGCATACAGAAATATACGAGAAATGTTGCCTTCATATGTATTTTCCTGGGGAGAGGAAGGGAAGGACTAGCCCTGATTCTATTGACTAGGAATGTAGGTTGGAAGAAGTCAAATGTAAGCTGAGGATTAAAAATGTGTGGAGATGGGGAAGGTGGGATAGAAGGTCAGGGCAATCTGAGCAGAAAAACAACACTAGCAAAGGCACAAAGATGGGATAGTACAATGCATATTTCAAAAACGGCCAAAGGTTCAGATTAGCTGTTGAACTGAGTTTATTTGAAATAATATCCATTTAGTTGGTCAGTCAGCAAGGACATACTGGCCCCTCCTAGGTACCAAGTGCTATGGTAAAGCTGGCTTTATAAAGAAGAGAAGAAGAGAGACAATTCCAGAACAAAGAATGCAAAGTGTTGCTAGGGACATAGAGGACACCATAAGAGCCAATTGCAGGACATCTACCTTACCTAATAGGTTAGGGAAGACACCCTAGAGGAAGTGATGTTTAAGCTGAGCTCTGAAGGACAACTTGTATTGACGTTAGCTTAGCTAAGAGTGAAAGGAGAGGCCAGGTGCCATGGCTCACACCTGTAATCCCAGCACTCTGGGAGGCCGAGGCGGGTGGATCACGTGAGGTCAGGAGTTCAAGACCAGCCTGGCCAACATGGTGAAACCCCTTCTCTACTAAAAAATACAAAAATTAGCATGGTGTGGTGGTGGGTGCCTGTAATCCCAGCTACTCAGGAGGCTGAGGCAGGAGAATTGCTTGAACCTGGGAGGTGGAGGTTGCAGTGAGCTGAGATTGCACCACTGCACTACAGCCTGGGCCACAGAGCAAGACTCCGTCTCCAAAAAAAAAAAAAAAAAAAAAAGACTGAAGGCAGAAGAGCCCTATTCCAGGCCTGGAGGCATAAGAAGAATATGTAGAATATATGAACACTTGCCAGAAGGCCTTTATGGTAAGAACAACAATGTAAAAGGAAGCCTAGCATGAACAAGGATAAGAGGTAGACATAGCCCAGATGCAGAAGACCTTGTATGTTAGGAAATGTGGATATTATCCTAAGGACGACAAAAAGGGTTTTAAGAGAAGTAGAAGAAGTAATCCTGAATTAAAATTATTCCAGCTGCAGCATGGACAATGAATTAGAGTGGTGCAAGACTAGATGTAAGAATATTTGTCTTGGGGACTCCTGTTCATCATCTAGACTGTGGTAATGATGGTTCTGAACAGTTTTAGTCTCAGCACTTCTAACACCAAATGTATGGGGTTTTGTCTCCAAATCAAACAATGCTCCAACTTTCTGGACATCGAGTGGGTGTCTCAAAATTCAATTCAGTTCTGGCACTAACTACTTGGAGTTAACATAGATCCCATAGGTTAAGGGCTCAGCCCCACAAGACTGCCCCACTGCAGATGCCAACACAAGTTTTGAGTATCCAGGGTACCCAACCTTCTATCCAATTTGGCTACAAAGTCAGGGGTTCCCAGGGACACAAATATTTGCTAGAGTGGCTCACAGAACTCAGAAAAGCATCTTACTATTACTGGTTGAGTATAAAGGATCCGAACGAACAGCCAGGTGAAGAGGTACACAGGGTGAGATCTGGAAGGATCCTGTGCTCAGGAGCTTCTGTCCTAGTAGAGTTGGAGCACACTACCCTCCTGGTATGTGTGTGCCTTCACTAACCCAGAAGCTCTCCAAGGGTTTTTTTTTAATGGAGGTTTTATCATACATGCATGTTTATTAACTCAATCTCCTATCACCACCAATTATTCAGGAAATTACAAGAGTTTTAGGAGCTCTGTACCACAAATTATGGATAAAGATCAAAGATAAATTTCTTATTCTATCACAGTGGTAGAGATGCAGAAAGATGGATGGATTTGAGAATTGGTATGACCCTTAGAACCTGATCTTTGACTGGCTATGGGAGTTAAAGAAGAAGTCAAGAATGTCCACCAGGCTTTTGTCAAAAGAATGGAGTAGACAATGGTGCTATCTAGCACACTATTAAGCTGAAAATCAATTTTACCTGAGAAGATTTGTTTGAGAAATTGAGTTTAAACTGAGGTTGAATTTGAATTGCCAATTCCAGGTATCCATAAAACAGTGGGACTTGTGGGTCTGGAACTCAATGGAGAGATAAGAAATGGCAATATGTACTTGGGAACTGTCAACAAGGTAATAGAAGCCTTGGAAATGGATAAAAGTTTAGGTGGAGAGTATACAGTAAGCAAAAGCAGGCCTGACTGAGACTGATCTTTGATGGATGCCATATGTGAGTGATAGGAACACAGAGCCTTCTATGGAGACCAGGGCATGACCATGGAAGTAAGAAAAGCAGAGCTCAAGGAAGGGAAAGGAAGAGGTTGCTTTAAAGAGCAGTCAATAGTGTCAAATCCTGCCATGGAAAGGTTAAGCTGGATAAGGATAAAAAGCGCTCAATGGATTTACTGACAAGGTGAGAATAATTTCAGTGAAGCAGCAAGAGCCATGGCTGCATTGCAGTGCTTGGTAAAGAAATGGGCAGTGAGTGCAGACAGCTGATTGGAGAAGCTGATTGAAAGTAAAGAGGGTGGTGACAAGAGGGGGATGTGCTGTCAAGGAGGAGTTTCTGTTAATATGGGAGAGATCTGAGCATGCTTATGTGACAGTTTTGAGCACCTGAAAGAATGATACCAAAATGTGGAAGGCCTGGAATTCCATGTAGAAGATTTTCTTGCAAGGCAGTGAGCCATTCAAGGCAAGAGAATGACATGTTCATGGTCCTGGGTAGGAAGAAATATCGTGGAGCTGGGTATTACTACTTCTGAGGAACATCCTACCCTAAAAAACTCGTCCTGCTTTATAAAGGAAGTATGTGCTTAGTTCTGGCTTCTGTCTGAGGGTCTCAGCAGAATCTTTCACCATGTTTTTTTTCTGGCAGTCTTTACAGCATTGCGTCAAAATTATTGTCTAATTATCTCAATTTT
Source organism: Homo sapiens (assembly GCF_000001405.40). Taxonomy (NCBI): domain Eukaryota; kingdom Metazoa; phylum Chordata; class Mammalia; order Primates; family Hominidae; genus Homo; species Homo sapiens. The sequence continues at coordinate 51,201,651 of NC_000018.10, read as the reverse complement.
CTTACTAGGACAAACATCTTGTTAAGCTTTGTTTACTCTGCAATTATTCCAACCTTAATATTACAATTGGATAGATTTTTAGTTCAGCAGCCAGCCTGCGATTTGATAAAGGGCAGGGCCAATGCTGTAGGTTTTTTGTCCTATGATCCTTAAAGCAACTCTTCTTCCTCACCACCCTCCATGTGTCAAACTCTGTCATAAACAACACCATAGGAATAAAAGGGAAACCCTCTTCAGGTGCAAATTAGTGCGTGGTGTGACTGAGGGAGATAGAAGGGACTGGGAAGTTTGATATATTAAAATGAAAGAATCCCAGTCATTATATTTAGAGAAAAAGCAAATCTCAAAGTTGCTTCATAAACAAGATTTAATACAAGACGATAAATTTAGACCCAAATGGGAAGGTCTGTGAGCTTTAATATCTCCTGCCTTATTCATAAATCGCAACATTGACCAAATATAAATTAATGCATGAATGTATATATTTGTGTACAGGAACTCATGAAACCTCATTTATTATGTGAGAATGAAGTAGAAAGCAATTTTATATTATAAACATCTACATTAAAGCATTTGGCATTTTTATTTTATTTTATTTTATTTTAAGACAGAGTCTCGATCTGTCACCCAGGCTGGAGTGCAGTGGCGCGATCTCAGCTCACTGCAACCTCCACTTCCCAGGTTCAAGCGATTCTCCTGCCTCAGCCTCCCGAGTAGCTGGGACTACAGGTGCGTGCCACCGTGCCTGGCTAGTCTTTGTATTTTTAGTAGAGACAGGGTTTTGCCATGTTGGCCAGACTGGTCTCAAATTCCTGACCTCGGATGATCCACCCGCCTCGGCCTCCCAAAGTGCTGGGATTACAGGCGTGAGCCCGGCCAAGCATTTAGCATCTTAAAAAATCCTAGCCAAGTGGATCTTTGTGAAACTTATGTACATGAATCTATTTCTTACATCTCCCCCTCTCAAAAGAAAAATGTGCGGTGAACTATCACTCCTGCTACAGCTTTTGCTTTGGGTTCTTGGGAAGAGAACTGGGAAGACTAAGGAGTGAGCATTATATGATAATTCATGAAAAGAGGTGGAGAGAAGGACTTTCAAGTTTCATTTGTATTTCCTTCCAATGACCAACATATCCTGGGGTGACTGCTGTATATTTTATTTGGCTTTCTCCCTTGATTGGATTTGATTTTTAGAAGTTCTTCCCTTCAAATAATATTGTTTAAACTTAAATATCAGACAGCAAACATTTTGCATATTCTATAAGTAAATGTCTAATTGTATAAGCTATTCATTGATACATTAAAAAAGATTTAGTACCTTTTATCAAAATATCATGAAATGTGTCCTTAAGGCATATCTCGAAAAGGGTGTCAATGTAGTAAATCAGTGAAAATTGTGCGTAATTGGGAAGGTAGGGAAGGAAAAGATCACTTTTCACTATGGGTAAGGGCAAGATTTCTTCTATAAACCCACCTCCTCCAGAGCTTACTGCTACAATTGTGTTGTTAGAGAAGCAAGACACAGGGTTCTAGGAGGGCTGGGGAAATCTAGGAGTAGTAACAGGAAAGGTTTAGTGTTAGCTAAAAGTCTCTAGGTCTTTGATCAGAGGGGTGAGGTAGGACTGTGCAAATGTCCTATGGGCACAAAATAGCAAATGCAAGTCACAGTTTAGCCTTCTCCGTCTTGGTAACAGCCTAGACAATTTAGAAAAGTATATGTTCAATTAAAGTTGACTCTTAAGAAACGAGTTTAAGGCAATTAGGTATAATAAATTAATCCAATATAGAAAGTGTCCCGTTATAATTTTAAAATCAAGAAATTTAGAGTACTTACTGAGTAGTACTTGAAATGCAGTTAGTGTGAAAAGAACTTCTGGAAGTGTAAAACACACCCTGGTTTCAAAGGCTTAATGCAAAAGAACTGTAAACATTATCAGTAATTTTATATGGCTTACATGTTGAAATACTATTTTGGACATATTGAACTAAGTGTATTTATTAAAACTATGTTTCTTCTTGCTTTAAAGGGGTCATTTAGAAATTTTAAAATTACATTGTTACATTGTATCTGTAGGTATAGGACCAAGCTGCTGGCTAAGATTAACCTGGCAGGACTTAGTACTAAAGGGATAGACGGGCTAGTCACAGCCTAAGACAGAGGAAAGTTAAGAAGCATAATTTTTAACAAGCCATTTAAAAATACCCCCTAGAGGCCAGGCGCGGTGGCTCACGCCTGTGATCCCAGCACTTTGAGAGGCCCAGGTGGAAGGATCGCTTGAGCCCAGGAGTTTGAGACCAGCCTGGGCAACAGGGTAAGAACCCAGTCTCTACAAAAGATAAACAAAATTAGCCACGTGTGGTGATGCGCGCCGGGCGTGGTGATGCACTGGGGAGGCTGAGGCGGGATGATCACTTGAGCCTAGGAGGTCAAGGCAGCAGTGAGCTGTGATCATGTCACTGCACTCCAGCCTAGGCGACAGAGTGAGACTCTTGTCTCAACAAAAACAGAAATAATAACCTCTAGAAAAGATAGCCACTGCGTGAGATCACCTGAGCAATACTGTGGGAAGAGTGTCTAGGGAGGAGGAAACGGGGATTCATTTTCTTAAAAAGCACCAAAGAGCTGGGCGAGGTGGCTCACGCCTGTAATGCCAGCACTTTGGGAGGGCGAGGCGGGCGTATCACTTGAGGTCAGGAGTTCGAGACCAGCCTGGCCAACATGGTGAAACCCCGTCTCTACTAAAAATACAAAAGTTAGCTGGGCGTGGTGGCACGTGCCTGTAATCCCAGCTACTCGGGAGGCTGAGACAGGAGAAACTCTTTTTTTTTTTTTTTTTTTTTTGAGACGCAGTTTCGCTCTGTCGCCCAGGCTGGAGTGCAGTGGCATGATCTTGGCTCACTGCAACCTCCACCTCCCGGGTTCAAGCGATTCTCCTGCCTCCGCCTCCCGAGTAGTTGGGATTACAGGCGTGCGCCACCATGCCCGGCTAATTTCTGTATTTTTAGTAGAGACGGGGTTTCACCATGTTGATCAGGCTGGTCTCGAACTCCTGACCTGACCTCGTGATCCGCCCGCCTGAGCCTCTCAAAGTGCTGGCATTACAGGCGTGAGCCACTGCAAGGGGAAGCTCTTGAGCCCGGGAGGCGGAGGTTGCAGTGAGCCAAGATCGCACCACTGCACTCCAGCCTGGGCGACAGAGCTGGACTCCGTTTAAAAAAAAAAAACAAAAAACCCCGAAGAGCTAAACTTCAGCACCTCCAGGCTGCTGATGTAACCATCCTGCCGGCAGAGAAGCCGGGCCAGCGGGGCGTGGGAGGAGCATTCCCGAGTCCGAGAGGGAAGGCCCGGGAGCCACGCGGCTCAGGAAACCGCCCCCGCGAGGGGATAGGAGGATACTGCGTGGCCCCTCCTTCCGTGACTCTTCTTAAGGCCCTTCCTCTGAAGGGGGCGATCTCTTCCTCAACCCAAGGAAACAATGCTCTCGAACCTATGCCTGCAGCTCTGCTCCAGGCCGCTCACACAGTGCCTTCCCTAAAAGAACTCAGCCACATGGGCTACAGGGATGAAGGGTTGGGGGGAAACAAATCCAGGTGTGCGCTTCGACCGCACGCGCCTGCGCCAAAACCCCGCTTGGCCCTTAGTTTCAGCCTCTGCTGCAGCGCCTTCGTCCGCCTCCTTTTTCCCGCCCCCGCCGGGGACGTCACAAAGAGTGACGTGTAAAGTGAACAATCACAGTCCCTCTCCGCGCGTGCCGGGAGGAATGAGAGGGAGGTGGGCGGGGAGAGGACGGAAGGAGTAGGCTTCGGGAACTGGCTGGTCCCGGTCACCCAATCAGAGAGCTCTGGGGAGGGGAGGGGCGGGGCCCGAAGGAGGGTGGGGGGTGGGGCTGGGGAAAGGAGTTGGAAGGCTGCGGGAGGAGAAGGCGGGCTCCCAGAGATTAAAAGCACCCAATCAGAGCGCGCCGGCTTCATTCGGAGAGCGGCGTGGGGCGTAGCCGCCGCCGCCGCGCGCGCCGGGGGCTGGTTAAGGCCATGAAACAAAAGAAACACTGAGAGGGGAGCCGCTGCCACCTCCACCAGCCCGCCCCGCCGCCGTCCCCACCCACCCACCTAGTTACCTACCTCTGCCTCCTTCCCCTGCCCCTCCACCCCGCCCTCTCCGGTCTCCGGGCGGCCCTGGCGCTCCTCGGCCCGGGTCCCCAGCCCCGCCGCCTCCCCAGAGGAAAGGTGTTTGCGAGCTGAGCAGGGCCCTGGCCCTGTCCGCCATGGGGCTCGCCGCCTGCCGCGCCTGACCCGGCCGCCGCCGCCGCCATTGACAGCGCGCCGCCGCGATGCCCAGCGGCAGCTCCGCGGCCCTGGCCCTGGCGGCGGCCCCGGCCCCCCTGCCGCAGCCGCCCCCGCCGCCGCCGCCGCCACCGCCGCCTCTGCCGCCGCCCTCGGGCGGCCCGGAGCTCGAGGGGGACGGGCTCCTGCTGAGGGAGCGCTTGGCCGCGCTAGGCCTCGACGACCCCAGCCCGGCGGAGCCCGGCGCCCCGGCGCTTCGGGCCCCGGCAGCGGCGGCGCAGGGCCAGGCCCGGCGGGCGGCGGAGCTGTCTCCAGAGGAGCGGGCTCCGCCCGGCCGGCCCGGGGCCCCGGAGGCGGCCGAGCTGGAGCTGGAAGAGGACGAGGAGGAGGGGGAGGAAGCGGAGCTGGACGGAGACCTGCTGGAGGAGGAGGAGCTGGAGGAAGCAGAGGAGGAGGACCGGTCGTCGCTGCTGCTGCTGTCGCCGCCCGCGGCCACCGCCTCTCAGACCCAGCAGATCCCGGGCGGGTCCCTGGGGTCTGTGCTGCTGCCAGCCGCCAGGTTCGATGCCCGGGAGGCGGCGGCCGCGGCGGCGGCGGCGGGGGTGCTGTACGGAGGGGACGATGCCCAGGGCATGATGGCGGCGATGCTGTCCCACGCCTACGGCCCCGGCGGTTGTGGGGCGGCGGCGGCCGCCCTGAACGGGGAGCAGGCGGCCCTGCTCCGGAGAAAGAGCGTCAACACCACCGAGTGCGTCCCGGTGCCCAGCTCCGAGCACGTCGCCGAGATCGTCGGCCGCCAGGGTGAGTGCAGGGGTGGGGAGGTCCAGCTGGGCATGGCCCCGGGCGTGGGTGGGGAGACGAGAGAAAGGAGCGTGGGACGGAAAAGGCGAACCCGGCGAGGCCCCCAAGTCCACCGCGAAGGGGTCTGGGAGGAGCCGAGGGTCGACCAGATGTGAAGATGGGTCACCTTGCGAAAACCCACGCTTTTCCGCCCGTCTTGCCTGGTAAAAAGTGTGAAGTTTCTCGGGCGACCCAGTCCGGTGGTGTTCACGTTACTTGGGCTGTATTCGTGGAACACCAGGCTGGCGTGGCACCAGAAACCTCAGTGAGGTGGTAAAAGGTCGGGCTCGAGGAGTTGTGGGTTCGCTGTTGGGTACGGAAAGCTTCGAGATTGCAAGTTTGCGCCGCCGAGTGTCTTCTAAAAGCGTTCAGCCTCCCTTACAAGAACTTGTTCAGATGGAGAAAAGAACAGAAATGGAGGCCTGTAGACAGAGCTCACTGGGGAGGGAAGGGGTGTTCAAATGGTCGGTATCACCGCCATCCCCTGCCCCTCCGCTGTTGAGAAACTTAGCTTTGGAAAAGCAGCCCAACTCACTGCCGCCTATCTTAACTGTATTTCTCTCGGTACGTTTCAACTCTCGGAAAGACACACTGACACACTGGCTGTCTTTTAAAACTGTTCAGTGTGCAGGATGAAGAAAAAATGGACACTAAGGTAATTAAGAAACTTCATCGGTTTATACAGTTTTCAGTTAATTCTCCTCTTCACTTGCCAGCACACCAGTACTGCAGACAGACTCCTCCCACATTGTTCAGACAAAGGACCTGTGTCTCAGATTCCAGGAGTAGATTTGTGAAGGTGGGGGAAGGGGATGCCTGGGGTACCTCTGTATCCGACATTTTTAGGGAAGGTCCTAAGTTCTTTATGGTAGCATTTCCCCTTTATGAAAGGGGCAGATGTTACCTGCTGCCACCGCATGACAATGTGGTTTAGCCTGGTTGTTGCATGCCTCTTTACTGTTAGGTTGAGAGCATTGTTGGGGTCAAATAAAGAGAGATGATGGCGCTGCCGCTTAAATGATCTCATCTTTCCCAGGTGGTCTAAAGTACACATAAATAAGAGCTCTGTCGAAATGGTGGTTTCACATATCAGACTTGGCTTATTTCTTTCCTATCTGTAGGATTTTAATAAAAACTCATCTGAAATCTGGATAAAGGAGATAGCTTAGTTCAGACTGCCTGATGATTGGCACTTACAGACACTGTTCAAAGCTGGACCTTTCAATTGAAAGGTAGCTTATGCTTGTCGTTCTTCTGGTTAATGAGTTTCAGATTCCTGGATTGTTTGGTTTTGGCGATACTTAGAGTAATAATCCAGGAGAAAACTTTTGTTTACATGGGATAAAATTACAACATCTCAATTTGGATCAGAATGAGTTGACCATTCATGTAAGAACACTGAGGAATCGCTATGTACCAAGCTTGTATTTTGCCAGGTTTTGAGTTTGTGGTATTGAGAATGTGAAGTTAATTCAGACTTTCTGCCCTTAAGAAGATAACAGTCTAATAAACAGTAGAATGGCACTAACTATAGTGTATTTAGTATGACAAAGTCTCAGGTAAGAGAACATCTATGGAGAGGGCCTTGGAAAATGGGTAGGAAGGAGTCTAACAAATGGAGATTGAAAAACTGTGGAGGAACAATGTGAGGAGGGGTGTGGAGGACTAGCCTAGGTATAATTGCCAAGTAGTGTTGTTTTGATACTTGAGGTCTGTAAAGGGGAGTGGTGGAAAAGGGGGAAGGCAGGCGTTCACACCAGAATGTGAAGAAGCCTGAATGCCATATGAAGATGCCACTTCTCAGGACAAGTTGCTTCCGTGTGCTTATGGTAACAGTCTAGGGTAACAAAGGAAGAAAACATTTACGTGCCAGTTTTACTGAAGGACAAGATAACATATTTTATAGATTTAGTTTAATACAAACTTTAGTCCTTCATTATAGTAGACACCCCTTAAAGCACTGCTAAATGGCCCTTACTTGTGTATGTTGTTAATCTTTATAGAAATCAGTTTTTTAAAAGTAAAGTGAATTCCAAGTTTTTATTTTGTACCAGCTATTACGTGATAGGAAATGAGATAAAGCCTTAGTTTTTCTTTTGAGGGCTGTGTTTATTTGGTTAATAAGGAAATGTTGAATTTAATTATGTCTTAGATCATGGAGACAAATTGCTGGCTCTTCCATTTAAACCTTGTATTTTCCCAGAGTTGACAATACTGTTAAAAGTATGTCATCATCCTCTATCTTAAAAGCAGAAAATCTGGTCCTTTTGCTGTTCTGAACCATACAACTTGTGGATCATTGACCCCTTTGCCACCCCCATGTCCCAGCAGCATAGTAATAAACCTGTAAAGTGTTTGCTCACTCGTATGGAGAACGAAGTGACTTCTAATGTTCACATTCTTTTACAGTATTATATTTCCCCACGGGAGAGAATCTGTCCTAAGTAAGTAAAACAGGGCAAATCATTTCATTTTCTTGTTTGCTTTGAAGGAGCTAAACTTTCATCCTTAAGATTAAATTATCCATTTCTGCCATTTTATGTATTACCTGAAGCCATAATTTTCTATTTGACATCTCTTAATTGATTTTGGAAATAATTATGTCACAGATGGAGACATTTATGACTTCAGCTCTGAAGCAAAGAGCAGGACAAATGGAATTCTGAGTCACATAGACTAGCAACTCATGTAGATGGCCTCTGAGTTCCAGTGTTTTTCTAAAACACAAACTACCGCTTTTGATACTGATGAAAGTTGGCAGAGTGTTTGACCTCGAATTTATACTCCCCAGTAGCATATGGTCATTTGTAAATGTTAAATTGGCCTTGTTTTTTAAAGCATTGCATCTGTTGTGAAACAACAATACTGTAAAATAAAGCCAGGAACTGAAGAGGCTTGTTGATATAATCAAAGAAGTTTTAGAATATGGACATCAAAAATAAACCTGACAACAGATTTTAAGACCTAATTTTATAAACTTAGAACGTCTCTGTTTTTAAGTATAGTACCTGCAAGACATATTAACAGTGATTAACAGGTCTAATTTTAGTCAGCAGGTTTTGTTCCAATTTGTACAGTCATTTATATCCATTTAGACTAAAAAGTGAATTAAAATAGAACTGTATACCCATTCTTAATACATTATAAATTAATACTAAATGTCATAAATTCAGTTGTTTAGAGACTTGTAACCCAAGATTTTGTATTACTATTAGGATAAATGTGTATCTTTCATTAGACTTTAATTAATGGTCTATGTGTGTTCTCTAGCCACATAGTCTAGAAAAGTCGTCTCTAGCTTCTTTTTATTGTACACCCTGTCCAAAAAAAATGTGCATACTCCCAATATCTGGATATTTATGTATGAATAGTAAGTGTGCTTAATATATTACACATTATAAAACAAAATTCTTTATTAACAATTAATACTTTACACTGTTTCAATTTGTCTTCCCAATTTCTTAGGGTGGAACCACCCTTCAAGCTCTAACACAACTGAAATAGGGTTTATACGTCTGTGACCAGGAGAAAAAGAGAAAGCTTGGTCTTGCTGTACATAAATTTTCTCTTCAAGGAGAAGTACATATTTCATGAGAATAAATAGTTTCAGAATGATGCTACAGCACAGTGTCTTTTTCTTTTATGGGGATGAGGGTGCATTGTTGGACTTCTCTTTGCTTAGTACTATGTTAGGTGCTTCACCAGTGCCGTTTAACCCTGCTAGGTGGTTACTGCCGTTTAGAGAGGTAGAAACAGAGGTTCTGAGAGCTAACTTGCTCAAATAGTTGAGATTGGATTTAGCATAGTTTGACATCAGAAATAAAATTCTTTGTACTCTACATTGCCACTTCAGTATTGAAGCATTCTGCTCTGGAAGGTTAGTATTTTGGATTAACTTGTGCCCTAATCGTAGGATACTGAATTTCTAATATGCATAATTTAAAATACCACTATCCAAATTAGTTTACTTGATAAAATTTTGGTGTCTGTACTACCCACAAGGCACAGTTTTAATTGTAATATAGTTCTAATGTGTCCAGCTAAAAATTTACTGTCATTTGTAGTACAGAAAGTTAATTTGCGTATATATATAGACACTAGCTTTAAAAATTAAATATTACAATTTTTCTAGGCTTTAAAATTTAAATTTCGTTAATAATGGTTTGTATTAGTTCTGGGACCCTTGAGAAGGGTTCAGTTACTGTAATTGTTTTTGCAAATGGGTGGGGAATCTACTGCCTTTCTTCCTGCCTTATTCAGCTAATGAACTATTCTGATTCACTAGGGAGGAAATGGGAAATGAAGTGGTAATTCAAGGGTGTATTTTGTACCCCTTGGTTACCAACAACCTGAAAATGATCCAGGGAACCAAGTATTTGTGTTAGTCTGTTAGAGATTTCTATCTAGAAAATTTTCAAACAATGTTTATAGGTTGGAATTCTAGGTGGTTCTTTACAGCGTAAGTTTTTAAGGAAAGGTAGCATTTAGTTATAAGGGAATGCTTAATATATTGCTGATTTGGTTTTGAATACTTTTGCCTTAAACATAAAAATGTTTTAGTATGTGTATTTTAATATCGTAGCTTATACAATATGTAAAAATACCTATTGTAGCTACACCAAACTGCCTGTGACAGTCTCTGTTCAGCTGTGGTATATTGGAAAGAACCAAATCAGAAATAGATATTCCTGTGCCAATAACTCACTGTGTAATCTTGAACAAGTCACTTAAACTCCCTAGGCTTCAGATTCCTCTTTTGCACCTGGGCATAATCATATCTACAATTCCTGTAGAGACTCTGGAAGATAAAGAAATCGACATATATGAAACTGTAAGTGCTAAGCACATTACTTTTGTTAAGGTAAATCTGAAATTAATTTGGAACCACCGTTTAATCATGTCCACCTTTTTTGGCTTTAGCAGATAGTTTGACTCATTATATTCTTCCAATGTAATAGAACTAGAACCAACGGATATCTGAATGCCTTTTAGATACTTGGCACTTCTGTCAAGATGGGCTTGTTATGCTGTGGTTAACAAAGAACTCTGACACCTCAGTGTTAAAACAACTATGGTTTATTTCTTGTTCATAGGGGCTCTGCTCATTTTAGTCATTCAGGGACACAGGCCAACAGCAGCCACCATCTCCAGTGTTACTGATCTTCTGTTGTGCCAGAAGATGAAAGACTACAGCATAGCACATACTGGTCTTAAAATGTTAGATCCGGAAGTAATGCTTATCACATCTGCTCATATTTCATTAAAGCAAATCATCTGGCCACACCTAACTTCAAAAGGCTGAGAAAGTATATGACAACTATGTGCCCACAAGGAGAGCCATGATGACTACTACAGTACTATTTTATAATTTATAGGATTGTTATAGAATTCTAAACAGTGTCATTCCTGCCATGTAGAATTTGTAACCAAACTCAAGATGAGAAAGTAGATAATGTTCATAAGATACTAAAGGAGTGTATTTGCACTTAAAAATAAAAAAAGCTTTTTAAGAAGCTCCAAGTAGATCATGGATAGTTATGTTTAAATCTCCATTGATATTCAGGTGATCCTTAAGTGATACCTTTTTTATTAAACTGCATTCTTAATGCTTCCCAAGTAGCTTATATGCCATAATTTGTGGATTTACTTTTAACATTTTCCCCATGCTACCATTAGTTACTATATAGAGACTTACAAAGATTAAATCTGATATTTAAGCCTTGAAAATAATTTTCTAATGTTAGGATTACCAAACCCAGATATACTAAATTGAATGTATGCATAGTCTAATACTGTTTGAGTAGTTCAAGTCTTTATTCTATAACTGACTTTGAGAATTTTAAGTTACACTAACTATAGGACCTCTTCCATGCCAGTGTTTGAGATGTAAGGACACTTCAAGTGTTTGTTGCCCTTGTCCGGTAAGTACGGACTACAATTCCTCATTGCATGCAGAGAAGCCTGGTTTGGTCACAAGTAAAGTCTATCATGGAATAATAAGACTAAGCCTTAAAATAATAAAAGAAAATCCTTTAATGAAAACTGCAGATGTAGTTGAAGGTAAGCATAAGTAATTTGGTCTTGAACATGATTGAAGGGGAAGTGGGGAGGGAATGGCTTCAAACAACTAGAAAAGATCTCCCAAAATGGTTACCAATGTAAAAGTATATATTTGCATTTGGGGCTGACCTTTTTATTATTATTTCCCTTCTCTGTGCCTCCCTTTCCCTTTGCCTTCTCTTCTGCCTTTCTACCAGTGCCATTTAGTATAATGCAGGAAAGGACATTGGACTTGGAGTTAGAAACCTTGTGTTTTGCACTTGCTGCCTGTGACCTTGGATAAATCACTTAACCTCTCTGAGCCTGTTTTCTCTTCTGGAAAAAACCTACTTCATCTACTTGTTCTTCCAGGTTTCTCTCTCCCCTCTCCCTCATTTGTTGTGAGGATCAAGTCTGAGAAGATAGCATTAGTAGAAATTGACAGTACAATTGAAAGTACAGAGATGATAAATTATATATCAGATAAGGTAAATTTTTACTGCTAAATTTCTTTTATACTCTGAACAAATGCTAGTTAAAGCCAAAAAATGTCATTTTAGTAAGTTTTTCGTAGGCTATACCAATAAATTATGTAAGTTATATTTTTTAAATTTATAATATGTCTTAAAATTTATTTAAAATCAGAGCTTTGGAAATGTATTTCCTGGCAAAGAACTAAGCAAGTCTGGAAGAGAATCATTTACAAATGAATCTAATTCCATTGTATGGTACCCAGACAGATAATTCTAAGGTTTCTGTTAACATTCTCCAAAGAGCATGAACATAATTTCAAGCTCCCCAGTTAGGAAAACTTCTGCCTTTCATCTCTAATTTACACCCTCTTCTGGTTTTTTCTTTCAGGTTTACTGAAAGGCCAAATAATAAAACTTTTCATTAAATATTTTTTATTGTCTTGTCTAAAATAAGTGAAAAAAGAGGGGTTTTAGATTTAATTTAACTTCTGTTTTTTAAAATACCTTGTACATGCAGGGAATTCTTCTCCACTCCTAAAAATACACTAGAAATATTCTTATTGGGATTTAGGAAAATAAGGCAGCTTGAGAGAACATTGGTTTAGGGGTCACTAGTTTATAACTGGACAATTTTAGGCTTCGGTTTTCCTCATGTCTAAAATGAGATTTAACTAGGTGGTCTGTCACATTTCTTATATTCTGATTTTTGTCCAAAGAGAGTCCCTAAAATGAGGTAAAAGTAAACCAGATTTCATATTACCAGTTAGATTGACTTTGCAAAATCTTCTCAATTTTGCAAAGTTTATGATATGTTTTATCTTTAGGAGTTTCTTTAAATGTTTTTAACTCCCTATAAAAATCAGTTCACTTGTCTTTTAATAACAACAAACTTGTGTCAGGCACTGTGCAAAAACTACATGTGTCATCTCATTTAATCCATTCTTAATTCCACCGAACAGATAAACAAGTCTATGGAGTTACAAACAACTTATCCAAGGTCTCAAGCCATTATTGTTTGAGACTTCAACGTGCCTATCTCAGTAAGTGGTAGAACAAGTAGACAAAAATCAGCAAGGATATTGTAGAAGATCTGACTACTGTCACCAACCAACAGTATAAGAAAAGAAAATAGGTCACTATGTGTACATGAACATGTATCACTAAATACTTTCAGTGCTTGAAGTTAATACAAGTCAGTGAAGGTAGAACTGAATCTTAGTCATCTTTGCATTATTAATATTGGTTAAAGTACCTAAAACAAAGTGGAATACTTCCTTTTTATTTTATTGAACTAAATTTTTTTCTTATAAACTTGCCATTTTATTGTTTATATCATTGTACTTTCCATATTGTTTTAATTGGGGTTTTCTTCCCTCTTGCCTTTATTCCCAGCATTTTTTTTAATTTTTTTTTTTTTTGAGACAGGGTCTCACTCTGTCGCCCAGGCTGGAGTGCAGTAGAGCAATCTCAGCTCATTGCAACCTCCGCCTCCCAGGCTCAAGTGATCCCCAGTAGCTGGGACGGTAAGTGCACACCACCACGCCTGGCTAGTTTTTTGTATTTTTGGTAGAGACGGGGTTTTACTATGTTGCCCAGGCTGGTCTTGAACTTCTGAGCTGAAGCTGAGCTCAAGCAGTCCACCCACCTCGGCCTCCCAAAGTGCTGGGATTACAGGCATAAGTCACCACAACTGGCCAAACAGCTTTTTATGTAAGGACCCAGTCAACCTCAAGTTGTTTGGCACTTTTGTTTGAAGTACAGTAGATGCTACTTGATTGAAGGCATTAAATGTTTATATGAATACTGATAATGAAACTAAAATCACATAAATGAAGGTGTTTGAAGTATTGTCATAGTAATCCCTAAAGTGAGACAAACAGTATTCTTGCCTTAAAATAGCTACAAGGAGGCCACTTGAACCCTAGAAAGGAAAGCTATTAGTTTTATATTATGCATTTAGGAATACATTGCATTCTTAAATTATTACTTAAAATGTTGAATTAATGTTGTGTACATGAAACATTCTTACTGGGATTTAGTTGATACTCATTAGTCTTTGAAGATAGAATACTAGAATTGATTAATAGAACTAATGGCAATTCCATATTTACTGTAACACCTTAATACAGTATTTTATGTGTTTCTATAAAATGAAAGGAGCTTTTGAATATTCTGTCTAGACTATTCCAAGGGGAAAGGGACCTTATTTTGTATAAAATTATTAATACAACCCCTTCATTCATTCTTATATATCATGAAACGTGAGATGATTTAGGGTTTTTGTTTGTTTTTGTTTTTGTTTTTTTTGAGACGGAGTTTCGCTCTTATTGCCCAGGCTGGAGTGCAGTAGTGTGATCTCTGCTGACCTCAACCTCCGCCTCCCGGGTTCGAGCGATTCTTCTGTCTCAGCCTCCCAAAATGATGTGTTTTTAGGGGAAAATAGTGTGATGAAAGGAGTGTGGACTTAAGACAACTTGGGCTAAGCACTTAATAACAGGCATTGTAGTAAGCATTTTTAATACATTATTTCATTTAATCTTTGCAAAAAACAAACGAAGGAAGTATCTTTAATCATAGTTTGCCCTAACGTTGAAACAGCAGGTTCCGAGTCCTGCAGATAGTCAGTTTTTTGCTGCTTATATTGTTTCCCTTGAACTGGACCTTAATGGATTCATACATGATAGCTATAATAATGAGTTGTGCCTATGTTTGTATTATTCTTAAGTTCGTGGAGCCTTTCACACATACAGTTTTATCTTTTCCAAATGGCCATGTTTGTTATTCAGATAACTCAGGGAGGAAAAGGAATACTAGGAGGGTTTTCCAGATTATGTAAGGAAATACCCGAGCAGAGATAGAAGAGGAACAAGACATGTTTGGGGGATGAAGTCTGGGAGAAGGTGGGTTGTGGCCACTTAATATGCAGAAGGGGTGGGGACTTAATTTCAGGCCAAAGAGTTTTATTTTTCTTGAAGGTAAGAAGAGCTACTCAAGATGTTTAACTCCCCTCTCTCTTTACCCTTCAAAACAAAACCTCTTGGGAAATTTTTGAAGAAAAACCCCAAGGACTGCCAAAAGTGAAAATATACACATAATGCAGTTGTGATGTTTGCTTGTAAGGGTTTGAGCTTTCTTTAGTCACCTTGTATTTGTAGCTAATGTATGAAATGAATGGAAAACATAATGCGTTTAGTTTCTAGAAAACAAGTTCCTTTTTGCAAAATCTACAACACAAGTACTTGATGTTCATAACAGTGGTCATACATAGCCCCAGCCTTGCATTCTGTCCTTTGTTCTCAGCATTTTTCTGTTCATTATTGTGATAGGCCTTGTGGTGAGTCCCCCGTCTTGTCTCTTTTGCATCTTTTATGCACCCACTAGTCTTAACATGCATATCTGTTTATGTTACTGTCTATCTCCAGTTTTTTCTACTACACGATAAAGTCGAAATTCCCTTGCCTGACATCAGAGACTTCTGTCTCCCCATCCAGCTTTATCCCTGCCATTCTATCCTCCAGTGACGTGAAGCTCTCACACTGCTGAACCCAGTTGTCTGACTGTGCCATCCTGTACTCTTGATTCCTTGCTTTTGCACTTGCAGTTCCCTCTGCTCTCCTTCCCATCTGGCAAAACCATTTTCTTTAAGCCTCAGTTCAGATGCCTTTAAAGCTTTCTTTTATTTACTGTAAGTAGTAAAGTCATCTCCTTTTGTATGTACCTACTGCTTTGTAGGTACCTTTAAACCGGTTACTGTATTCAGTGTTGCTTTACTTTTTTCCCTCTAGACTAAGCTTGAGAGCAGAAATGATGCTGGTTCATTTATACCACCTGGAAGTAGCACTAGCATCTTTATAGGGAATTTAACATGTGAATGGGTAAGTTCAGGTATTAGGCTGCACTTTATCTCACAATTGATAAAATGCTCTTAGAGTTCACCCAAGCAGTGATTTTGCTGGGAACGCCTAGGATAAGTGGAAGCCACTTTTACTGTGTATCACGTACCAAACCACTAATCTCCCAACATAAACATAATCTCCTAGTAAAAGTCATTGTAAACACTTGGCTTCTATATTTTCTCCCTATTTGATATTTTTATTTTAATATTATTTGTTTATTATAGAGAGGGGGGGGTCTCACTATGTTGCCCAGGCTGGTCTCGAACTTCTGGCCTCAAGCAATCCTCCCACCTCTGCCTCCCAAAGTGTTGGGATTACGGACATGAGCCACCACACTCAGCCCTTACTTGATTTTTAGATTTATCCCTTCACCTATTCCAATGCCCGTGATTCCTCAAACCTTTCCTGACCCTACCTTATGTCTATTCGCTGCCCTGGCCTTTGGGTTACTATTCCTGAATTGGGATTTAAAAGCTAGGTACTTGGAAGAAAAGGAAAATAATTGAAGGAAAGGAGAAAGGTAATGTCATAGGCAGAGTAATCCCACCCACCCAACAAGTCCATATCCGAATTCCCCAGGAACTCTGAATATGTCACCTCATTTGGCAAAAGGGATGTTGCAGGTGTTTATGCAGACGTGATTGAGGGTATGGACCTTGCTTTGGGGAGCTTGAGATCATCTGGATGATCATCTGGGTATAATCACATGAGACCCTAAAAGCAGAAAACCTTTCCCAGTTGGGTCTGAGATCTGAAAAAGAAGATGTGAAGCATGAGAAGGACTCAGCCTCCATTGCTCGCTCTGAAGATGAGTCACAAGCCAGGGAATGTAGGTGGCCTCTAGAAGCTGGGAATGACCCTCAGCTGACAGCCAGCAAGGACACTCAGTCCTTTCACTGCAAGCAATCAAATTCTGCCAACAACCTGCATGTGCAAGGAACTGGATCCCTCAAGCTTCTTGCAAGGAACATAGCCCTTGCAAACACCTTGATTTTAGCCCTGTTGAGACCCATATCAGATGTCTGACCCACCAAACTGTAAAATAACAAATATATGTAAAAACAATAAATTTTTGTCATTAAAGCCACTGTGGTAACTTGTTAAGGCAGCATTAGGAAACTAAAGCAGGTAATAGGGAATTAAAGGACAGAAATATTTTTGGACTTTAATTGAACTATTGGCAATTCCATATTTACTGTAACACCTTAATACAGTATTTTATGTTGAAAACTGCTTCTTAATTTTTTTTTTTCTTTTCTTTGGGTCAGGGTCTCACTCTGTTGCCCAGGCTTGAATGCAGTGGCACGATCTCGGATCTCTGCAGCCTTGACATCCTAGGCTTAGGTGATCCTCCCAACCTCAGCCTCCCAAGTAGCTAGGACCACAGGTGTGCACCACCACGCCCAGATAGTTTTTTATATTTTTTGTAGAGATGGGGTTTTGCCATGTTGCCTAGGCTGGTTTCAAACTCCTGAACTCAAGTGATCCTCCCACCTCAGCTCCCCAAAGCGTTGAGATTACAGGCTTGAGGCATCACACACAGCCAAAAGCTACTTCTTACAATAATTCTTGAGAGACTTCCAGAATGTCTTGTAGGGTATTGAATAAGAATGTAATATATCTAACATTTTAGTCTCTCCTCTCTTGGGGCAGTGATTGTGGAGTTTTTAAGGGCTCTGAGAATCTCTAGTAGTTTTTATTACTTTGTAACAGTTACTGCTAATTTAGCAGCTTACAACAACACAAATTTATTATCTCCATTTCTGTAGGTCAGAAGTCTAGGCATGGTGTGTCTGTTCAGGGTCTCACTGTGTTCAAATCAAGGTATTGGGCAGGACTGCAGTGCTTATCTGCGGCTCATGTCCTCACCCAAGCTTGCTGGTTTTTGATAAAATTCATTTTGAGTAGGGAGTGGGAGGTGGGTGTTGCAGGATGATGACCTCTACCTCCATTTTCCTTCTAGCTCACAGCTCCTAGAAGACACCTGAAGTTCCTTGCCTTGGGGTCACCATAGGCAATTTACAACATACATTGTTTGCTTTCTTCTTCCAGGTTAGCCAGAGCACATCTCTCTGACTTCTCTTCTGAGTCATGCTAGGAAAAAAAAAAATTTTTTTAAGAGACAGGGTCTCACTCTGTTGCCCAGGCTGGAGTGCATTGGTGTGATCATAACCCACTGCAGCCATGACCTCCTGGACACAAGCAATTCTTCACCTTATTAGCCTCCCATATAGCTAGGACTCCAGGGACACACCACCATACATGGCTAATTTTTTTTGTTGTTTTTATTTTTGTTTGTTTTTTTGTAGAAACAGCGTCCTGCTATGTTGCTCAGCCTGTCATTAACTCTTGGCTTCAAGCAGTCCTCTGGCCTCAGCCTCCAAAGTGCTAGGATTACAGGCATGAGCCACCACAATCAGCCAAAACCTCTGCTTTTAAAAAACTTATGATTAGGTCAGGCCCACCCAGATAATCTGGATAATTTTACTATTTTAAGCTGAACTGATTTGGATTGTAATTATATTTGCAAAGTCCCTTCACAGGGGCCACCTAGGTTAGTGTTTGTTTAACTGAAAGTATGTGTACATACTAGGCCCAGGAATCTTGAGGAGCCATCTTAGGATTCTGCCTATCATACTGTCTACTATAGCTTTTTAAAGGATTTAGTGGTGAATGATGAACAGCTCCATGGACTTTCATTTTCTGCTTAATTGTACACTACTGGTGACCTAAATATTAACTCAATTCTTTATCACATGGTGCTTTTTCTGTTGGGAAGTGGGAACAAATGGTATGGATAGGCCATGTGGTCTTTTTGCTGCCATCTAAATGAACCGTGGTTTAAAAACAAAAACAAAACTTGAAAAATCCTGCTCTGAGTATCCAAGATATGTTGCTGGTGGCTAGAAAATAAATAATGGGTTTTTAAAAATTTGGTGTTACAAATATGTCTGAGCTGTCTGGCCTCCACAAGCTACTTTAGGTGACCATAGAGCAGAACTATAGTATTACCATTTTCAACTGTATGGAAATTTCATCTGTAAAGTCAGATCTTAAACCCAGGTTTTCTCAATAATGCCACACTCCCTCCTTTTCACTATCACTGTACTGGTTCTTAGTTGTAAGTACATCATTTCACATGTGTTAATGGAACTAGAAAGTGGCCTTAAAGGTGATGTTGTCTAGTGGTTTTAAACTTTTCTGACAGGAAAAAGAACATTTTATTTTGCAGCCCATTATATATTTCACTGAAACATTTGGAACATATTGAGTTCTTTTTTTAAATGCTGACTGCACCTACTGAATTGATACTGCAACCCATGGTTTGAAAAACACTGAAGATTACCTTCATTTTAATTTCTTTTCTTTCAACCCCTTTCCCAGCGGCAGAGGACCTCCCCGTCTTAATTTCTAAGGCTAGGAAAAGCTCTCTTTATTTACCCTGGAGAAGCAAGGCAGAATCCTTTGCTGTATTAGGGAGTGAGAGGACCAGAGTTCTAGCTGCAGCTAAAGGGTTTTAAGGTGAAACATAGCCCCAGCAACAGTGATGTAGGAAAGGAAAATGGGTTCCTACACCAGTGAGGTTAAGTTGGAGACTCTTTTTTTAGGGAATTTACTTCCAAATCAAGATAAAATTAGTTCTTGACCTCTAAACAGTCTAGTCTAGACTTCTGCCCATTGATTACCTTGAATACAACTTGCCATATGTGGATTTTTATCTGTAGCTATAAGAAGTGTAGTCCTCACATTTTTAAATTTCAAAACTTTGTTCAACTTTGAGGCTACGAAATCATTTACCCTGCTGTTTGTACAGTAGTCCCCCCCTTATCCAACAGGGATGCCTTCCCAAGACCTTAAGTGGATGCTTGAAACCGCAGAGTACCAAACCCTATATATACATACTATGTTTTTTCCTATATGTACATACCTGTGATAACATTTGATTTATAAACAAGACAGAGTAAGAGATTAACAATAATAAAATAGAAGACTTATAACAATATACTGTAATAAAAGTTGGTGAACGTGGTCTTACTCACTCTCAAATATCTTTTTATTCTGTACTGTACCCACCTGCATTTGGACTATGGTTGACTGAAAGGAGCTGAAATGATAGAAAGTGAAACTGCAGATAAGGGAGGGGGGCTACTGTAATTTAAAATAATATCAGTAGCACTAACCAAACGTCTAATCAATATGCTAAGACTAGTAAAGTGTATCATTTCTGTATATTTAATTTGTTTTTCTTTTCTAACTTAATCATATTTATTTGAAAAAGTAATGTGTATGTATGACTCAAAATTTATTAAAAAAAATAAATAAGAATATACAGTGAAAACTGCCTCCCTCCTTCCCTGTCCCCCTAGGTCAACCACTTTTATGAGTGTATAGCATTCCATTATATAGCTGTACCAGCCTCATGCTAATTCAAACAATAATTATAAAATACAGAAGTTATTTTGCACTTGTGCACATATTTCTACAGGATCAATTGTACAAGAAGATTGTAGAAGCGTAAGAATATATGGGCTTATAACTGTGATAGCTCTTAGAGGGCAGTTTATACTCTCACAGCTAAATATGAGAGTTCTTTTCCCCACTCTTTACTAGCATTGTTGTAAGGTTTTTGTTATTTGACAATCTTATAGGTAGAAAATAATAGGTCAGTTCCCTTGAAAATGGGAATTTCCATCTTCAGAGCCATTTGTATATTTACTTTGATGTTAGCTGTTTCTTTCACCCTTTTATTGGGTTTTTGTTGTTTTGATTTGTAGGGGAGAGATGTGTGTGTGCATGCGTGTATGTGTGTGTTTGTGTGTGTGTAAGAAAGTGAGAAATTAGCCATTTCTAATAATGTTATAAATATTTTAGGTTTTTTTACTTTGTTTTTGGTGACTTGTGCCATGTAGCAACTTAAAAAATACAGGCTAATATATCATAATACGGCTTCTGAATTTTATTTCACTCTGAGATTATAAATTCTATTATTTTTAAAAATATCTTCGAGTTTTCAAATAAAAACTCAAAGTACTCAAAAAAGCTAATACCTTCGTCACCTGCAAAATTACAAAACAAGATTGTTTTTCTCCTTTAGTTTGTGTCACCTTTTAAAAAGTATCTATTCGAGTAGTCCCCAACATTAGAATGTATTTGTAGTTGAGAAATCATGTTAGTTGTTTGGAACTCAGAATATGTGTTCCTACAGAAACAGTGGTATGATTGGTGAGCTTCCCTATAATCCCTAATCTGAGTTTAGGATACTATAATCAAAAGATTTAGGGAAGTGAAGAAATAGTTTCCTCTGTCTTTATTGGCAGTGGCTTAAACTGGGTTGGTGGCCAGGCACGATGGCTCACGCCCGTAATCCCAGCACTTTGGGAGGCCAACGCGGGCAGATCACCTGAGTTCAGGAGTTTGAGACTAGCCTGGCCAACATGGTGAAAACCCGTCTCTACTAAGAATATATTTTAAAAATTACCCGGGTGTGGTGGTGGGCACCTGTAATCCCAGCTACTCGGGAGGCTGAGGCAGGAGAATTGCTTGAACCCAGGAGACGGAAGTTGCAGTGAGCCGATATGGTGCCACTGCACTCCAACCTGGGCGACAGAGACTCCATCTCAAAAAACAACAACAAAAAAAAACCAGGGTTGGCTTTGCTGTCTTCCTTTTACTTTTTTCCCTGATCTGCAAAACCTAATAAACACATGACCCTTTTGGGTGTAGACCAGGCCTGTCTTTCTCCCCTGTCTCAAGAGTGGCCCATGCTCAAACCATTTGTCTTCTCTGTACCCAATGAACCATACATTAAACACCTATTTATTAATACCAACCATAGGCTAGATAGTGTTCTGTGGACCCTCAAGCATATTTCCTCAGTTAATAATATACCTGTTAGGTATTTAACAGAAAATATTCTACTAAGGGTGTGACTGACAGTTGCTTATAGTATCAAAAGTATTTGATTAAGGGATTTTTACATAGTTTTCTTTTTTCTCTTTTATTTCTGTTTTCCTTTTTTTTCTTTTATTTATTTTCAGTTTTCTAATGGTCAATATTAGTAAGGGATGAAAGGGACCAACCCTAGACCCTTAGACTAATTCTCCCTTTGTCCTTAATGCAATTTGCCCAGTGTTTTTCTGCAGAATATTGTCTGTCTCTTGTTAGGAATGTAACTGTGGCTGACTGCCTTCTTGCCACCTTGTCAAGTTGTAGCCCACTGTGAACTTACATATCCAAATAGTAACTCCCCTGAGTATAGAATATGACCAGTTCTGTGTTTATACACCCCTTTCAGAATTTCTTAAGCATCAATAGAAAGTGATCTCAATTCTGCACACCAAACTGCACCTGCTGCACTAAATGAGGGAATCTCCTGGACATTTAGCCTGTATAAATGATACGTAGATGTGGAAGTTTCATTGTACTCTCTGTTCTTCTAACTGATTTTCTGTTGTAGAACAAAAGCACATACAGGCTGAACACTTCTAATCCGAAAATGTGAAATCCTAAATGCTCAAAAAGCCTCCGATTTTGTTTTAGAGCTCCAAAATCTGAGGCTTTTTGAGCACCAGCATAATGCTCAAAGAAAATACTCACTGGAGCATTTCAGATTTTCAGAGTAGGGATGCCCAACTGGCAGGTATGATGCAAATACTCCAAAATCTCAAACATTCCTGGTCCCATGTGTTTTTGGATAGGGGATAACTCAACCTGTGTAGTCAACACCTAGTGGCTTGGGAATGCTTTGGAAGGGCAAACAAACAAGTTCCACTTTGTGCAAAAAAGTGATCAGGTCATGTGCTTTATTAGAAAGCATCGGCCAGGTGCGGTGGCTCCCGCCTGTAATCCAGCACTTTGGGAGGCCGAGGCAGGCAGATTACTAGGTCAGGAGTTCAAGACCAGCCTGACCAACGTGGTGAAACCCCATCTCTACTAAAAATACAAAAAATTATCCAGGTGTGGTTGTGCATGCCTGTAGTCCCAGCTACTCGGGTGGCTGGGGCAGGAGAATCACTGGAACCCGGGAGGTGGAGGTTGCGGTCAGCCGAGAACACATCACTGCACTCCAGCCTGGGTGACAGAGCGAGACTCTGTCTCAAAAAGAAAAAAAGCATCATCTGACTAAAGTGATATAGGAATATTAATTTATTGAGGACAAAAAAGGAAGGGAGCATTTAAGAAAAAGACATGCTCAGATTGTGACACTTCAGTAGCACCTAGCTTCTTTTTTTGTTTGTTTGTTTGGTTTTTTTTTTTTTGAGATGGAGTTTCACTCTTGTTGCCCAGGCTGGAGTGCAGTGGGACAATCTCGGCTCACTGCAACCTCTGTCCCCCGGGTTCGAGCAATTCTTCTGCCTCAGCCTCTCAAGGAGCTGGGATTACAGGCATGCACCACCACGCCCAGCTAATTTTTGTGTATTTAGTAAAGACGGGGTTTCACCATGTTCACCATGTTAGTCAGCCTGGTCTTGAACTCCTGACCTCAGGTTATCCACCTGCCTCACCCTCCCAAAGTGCTGGGATTACAGCACCTAGCTTCTTTATTTTGACAAACTAAGAATAGTATGATATATTCATGAGAACACATCTATGCTGGCAAGCTCAAGTTAGGGTCTTTGAAAAGTATAACCCCAGAGTTTTATTCCTTGGTTGTGTACTTGACATTTTAAGTTACAGTTTGAAGCCCTCTAATCTTCACATAGTTGGCACTAGTAATCTGTGATTACTCAAAAAAAAAAAAAAAAGTTGGTTAAAGTGGAGAATTACGTAAAGTTATACATATGTGTCTTAGATGTTTTATTTTAACTTAAATATACTTAGGATTTGGGGTCATGGCCTTTTATTTGAAATTGTGTCTGTCAATCAGAGCAGTCCTTGAATAAAACCACACCCAGCACCCACATTCCATACAATCTGCAGTATCTGTTTCTTTTAAATGGAGCAGGACTTTACAATGATTACAAAATCATTCTATATTACTTTTTTTTTTATTCCAGCCCTTTACAGCTGTCTCACCTATTCATAATTCAGTAGCAGCTTTTTCTTTAAGATACTCATCTTTTTTGCATTCATGTTTCACTAGTTTATGCAGTAATTTAGATAATTTAGTTACTAGCGTGAGTACACCTACCACAAACAACATGGGAATAAACAAAACTGAATCATAGCAGGCCTAGAATTTAACTGGTGGGAGCAGAAGTGAGATGACCTACTAGCCATGAGCACGGTGTTTTTGTCATCAATTGAGTTTTACAGAGGAAAGAGTAATGTTAAGTTAAAGTGGTAAGATAATTAGGTGGAAGTCAGTTTAATAACTTCTGTCAGATAATTGTGAAAATCGAGGTTCTTGGACTAGCAAAAAGACCACAGATTTTAAGTCAAACTAGGTTTACTTCTGGCTCTGCCACTTCCTAGCTATGTGAAAAACTCTAAAACTTAACCCATAACCAGATATTTAGCTTAAAAGGTGCATTCTGTGATTTGTCTTTATATATATCATTGAAGTAGATGTTGATTCTTATGAAATGTTTTCTTTCTAACAGGTTGTAAAATTAAAGCACTGAGAGCCAAGACAAACACGTATATCAAGACTCCTGTTCGTGGTGAAGAGCCCATTTTTGTTGTCACTGGAAGGAAAGAAGATGTTGCCATGGCCAAAAGAGAGATCCTCTCAGCTGCAGAGCACTTCTCCATGATTCGTGCATCTCGAAACAAAAATGGGCCTGCCCTGGGAGGATTATCATGTAGTCCTAATCTGCCCGGTCAAACCACCGTCCAAGTCAGGGTCCCTTATCGTGTGGTAGGATTAGTGGTTGGACCCAAAGGAGCAACTATTAAAAGAATTCAGCAGCAGACCCACACCTACATAGTAACTCCGAGCAGAGATAAGGAACCTGTCTTTGAAGTG
The DNA here is from genome assembly GCF_000001405.40 of Homo sapiens. Taxonomy (NCBI): domain Eukaryota; kingdom Metazoa; phylum Chordata; class Mammalia; order Primates; family Hominidae; genus Homo; species Homo sapiens. The sequence goes on along the minus strand of NC_000018.10, from coordinate 51,177,211 downwards.
ACAGGGATGCCTGAAAATGTTGACCGAGCACGGGAAGAAATAGAAATGCATATTGCCATGCGTACAGGAAACTATATAGAGCTCAATGAAGAGAATGATTTCCATTACAATGGTACCGATGTAAGCTTTGAAGGTGGCACTCTTGGCTCTGCGTGGCTCTCCTCCAATCCTGTTCCTCCTAGCCGCGCAAGAATGATATCCAATTATCGAAATGATAGTTCCAGTTCTCTAGGAAGTGGCTCTACAGATTCCTACTTTGGAAGCAATAGGCTGGCTGACTTTAGTCCAACAAGCCCATTTAGCACAGGAAACTTCTGGTTTGGAGATACACTACCATCTGTAGGCTCAGAAGACCTAGCAGTTGACTCTCCTGCCTTTGACTCTTTACCAACATCTGCTCAAACTATCTGGACTCCATTTGAACCAGTTAACCCACTCTCTGGCTTTGGGAGTGATCCTTCTGGTAACATGAAGACTCAGCGCAGAGGAAGTCAGCCATCTACTCCTCGTCTGTCTCCTACATTTCCTGAGAGCATAGAACATCCACTTGCTCGGAGGGTTAGGAGCGACCCACCTAGTACAGGCAACCATGTTGGCCTTCCAATATATATCCCTGCTTTTTCTAATGGTACCAATAGTTACTCCTCTTCCAATGGTGGTTCCACCTCTAGCTCACCTCCAGAATCAAGACGAAAGCACGACTGTGTGATTTGCTTTGAGAATGAGGTTATTGCTGCCCTAGTTCCATGTGGCCACAACCTCTTCTGCATGGAATGTGCCAACAAGATCTGTGAAAAGAGAACGCCATCATGTCCAGTTTGCCAGACAGCTGTTACTCAGGCAATCCAAATTCACTCTTAACTATATATATATACATAAATACTATATCTCTATATGGACTCGTAAAGGCATGGGTATAATGGTACCCCCCAGTAAACTTCCTAATGATTTCTTATGACTGTTATCAGGCTTTATTGGGATTAGGCTAAAGTTGTTAGTAAACTTATAAAAGGCTGCTATGGTAACACTAAACCTAAGTGGTCTCTTGTCTATTAGTTTGGTTTGAATTATTAGTACTATCCTGTAGACCCAGAGACATAGTTTATATAAGAATTGCTAAAGCTGAAGTTCAACTTGGCTGAGTGAAGATAATCATAGGTTGTGTGAGCCTATGAAAAAGTGTATACGTCTAAGATTTCAAAACAATGGGTCCCAAAGCCTAACCACTTTAAGAGTTTATGGAGGGTACTTGGCATTACAGACGATTCATACACTTCCAGTGCTGCCTTCTTTACACTGCCAGTTTTGACAAAACAGGTTTGTTTTTTATTTTACAACAACATATGCCTAATTCTGCAGGATTGCAAGTAACTTTTTAATGCATTGTGATTACTTATTGGTAATGATAGGGCTGATGGCAGTTTACTAGATCACTGGTTATAATTTGGGACAAAAACTGCTACATCAACTTTCATCTCGCCCAGAGTGCTCAAGGCTGGTATGATCAGTGGATCAGGAATGCAATTGTGAATTCCTGCCCATTGCCTCTCTTGGTGAATGTGGAAATGGCCACCTGGGTTTTCCCATATCAGGAAGGGCTTTGGGATGGCACCTATATTGGCTGATAATTGAGGATGCAAACATTCCATTCATTAGTGTGATCGAGCTGTTAATTTTTAGACTATAGATCAAAATGTGAAACATTTTATGTTCAATCCATATTTGTCTTGCACATTATAAATATATTTTTATTTTTTAGTAATTTAGGGGAGGGAGGAGGGAGAAAGGGATAATGATGCCCTTGGCATAATTCACAAAAGCAGCTGTGACAACCTCCAATCAGTTTACTTCATTTCAAAACTATTTCCAATCACAAGGAAAGATTTATTTAAAATATACTCGTACATTTCACCTGTGGATGTCTATAACTTCATCCTCAGTATGTTCCCAAATCTGTGCTGGCATTGAAAGGACAAAACATTATACTAGTGGGTTTTTCTACTAATTATTTTTTGAAGCATTATTTTCCCAACACAAAAGAGCTTTTTTCTCGGTATAATGAAAATTGAAATCCTATGTGTATTCAATAGTAAATAGACAAATTTTATTTTTTATTTCCACTTGAAGAGTTACATTTCGTATAAAAGTTTACAAATAACGGTTTTTATTTTGATTTTTTCAGTATAAAAAAAGTTGCCTTGATGGCATATTATGATGTAATGCTAATTGCTTGTAGGATAGTAAATGGTCAGTATTGAAACCTAATCTCTAGCTGCCGTCTTGTAGATATGAACGAATGTTCACCAAGCATGTATTTTGTATTTTGTTGCATTGTACACTGCAACTAATAAGCCAAGGAATCGACATATATTAGGTGCGTGTACTGTTTCTAAAAACCACAAACTAAGAATGATAAATTATCAATATAGTTTAGTATTTGCTAATTTTACTACACTCTTTTGTTATGTATATGTAGGGAAGTCATAGGGATTATAAATTCAATTTGAGTAAAATTTAAAACCATATATTTTATGATAAAGGGCCTTTAACTTAAGATGGCCAAAGCACTGATATTATATATTTGCTGTAAAGAGAATTATAAGAGTTTTATTTTTCTGATATTAAAAGTTACTTAATAAAGACTTGTTTCCATTAACTTGAATGTATTCTCCTTGGTGTTTTTCATATAATCATCAGTTTATACTAGAAGATTAGTTAACAGAATCGAAAATTTTCTTTTATAGACTCCCTATTCCCCAACCAGCTATCTGTGCTCACTCTTGTAGTTATTTTGTGTGTGTGTGCTCTTGGTTTTGAATGTGTCGCTTATGTTCCTGTCCAAGTTTAGTTTTTTCTTTAAATGAGTGTTAAATTACAGTAAACTGGAAATTTGGCTGGTTGTAGATTTAGTTGCATATTTGTGTAGTTGACCACAAACCACTACTGATCTAATTGTAAATAGTTAATGACTTTTTTTATACATTATTACTTGAAATCCTGAATTCAACTTAAATTCTACTTGGTTTGCATCCTTTGTTTATGGATTTTTGTCTTTTTATCACCAAATCTGTAAAACAAGTTCTTTTCTAATACAAAAGCACCAGTTTACCTTTCAGTAAAAACTACCTTCTGAAAAATTGACAAAAATATTTCTCCATTTATGAAATTGATTTGATACAGATTGGAATAAATCATTGACTTTTTTTTTTGAAAGCGAGAATAAAGACATTTCTAAGAAAGATCATTTTAAAGAAACTGAAATTCTTCTTTTTTTTTTTTTTTCTTGAGATGGAGTCTCGTTCTGTCACCTGGCCTGAAGTGCAGTAGCTCGATCTCGGCTTACTGCAGCCTCTGCCCCTCAGGTTCAAATCAGCCTCCCGAGTAGCTGGGATTACAAGCACACGCCACCACACCCAACTAACAATTTTTGTATTTTTAGTAGAGACGGGGTTTCACCATGTTGACCAGGCTGGTCTCGAATTCCTGACCTTAAGTAATCCGCCCACCTTGGCCTCCCAAAGTGCTGGGATTAATAGGCGTGAGCCACTGTGCCCTGGCTCTATTTATTCTTAATACTTAGAGGTATCACATATCCATACCAAGGCTTCATTGTGGGTTTTGGACAAATTCTTAGGCTGTGGTAGCCTTGCAAACATAGATTCAATGATGGGCAAGATCATCGTTCTAGAATTGTTGGGCAGAATTACTTTGTCAACTTTAGGATTAGCCTCCGGAAGTATTAGTAGTCTAATTATTTGGATATGTTACAGTATTTGTACAATTCCTGTTTAGATTGGATGACTTGTGAATTAACTTTTACCTAATGCTTGGTCAAAATCTTTCAGGGGGCCTTGAAAATAATCTCTATTTTAGAAGCTTTCCTTGTCCCAGAGTAAGCCAAAACTTGTATGGAACCAATGTTAGCAAAACTGATAAGCACTTAACTTTGGTTCTAAGTCTGGATCTGCCTTTCCCTGTGTGCCTGTGTTGTTTTTCTTGTTTACTTAAGTACTGGGGAAGAGAGACCTCAGGAAATCTGTGGGCCTATGTTACACGAAGTAGCCATACCACACTGGATAATCTGCAATGTGAATAACCAAGAATTAGGCAAACCTATTGTGAGACCTTTACCTTATTCCATTTTCACAACCTGGAAAGGTGGATGCTAAACTGAAAACAGGTTTGGCTAGCTGCTCAGTTATTGTAGTGTTCTATAATTCTTCCTGTAAAAGACTTTATATCAAAGGAATCCCTTTGCAAAGTAGACTTAGCAAGAATGGAGGCTAGAATAATAAAAAACAGGTATAAAATAGGGGTAGTAAACGTGTTTTTACAGATTATTCAGTGAATCTGTTAGCCCAAAACCAGACACTCGTTCTCAGTCTGCTACCTGCCCCTTCTATCCCTTAAATTTCTACTTTTCTCATTCTAAAACTTTTTATAAATAATGGAGATTGGGGATGTTTGTTTATAATACACTGTGAACATCTTTTCCTTGTCAGTATACTTCTACAACGTAATTTAATGGTAGCAGTAATATTCTCTTTTCTGGCTATCTCGTAACTTAACCATTTGCTCTTAGTGACTAATCGAAGTAACTATGGGCAGTGGAGCCCTGATGAAATACAGGGAAGGACATTGAGATGCCTCAGGAGGAGATTCAATTTAGTAAAGATTTAAAATAGCTGTTCTCTTTAAAGTGGCATACCTTCCCCCTCGGGTATATCAGAGTAACTCTTCCTATTAAGTTTCTTCAGCTGATTGTATGGAATAATTGAAAATTGTGAAAGAAATGTTCCCGCCATTGAGATTTTCTACTGCCTCCATATTCATTTATCTGCATTTTAAAGGATAGCATTTGTACACCAGTCAGGAAAACTTCATAAGGAGGATAAGTGATTAGATATTTTAAATAGTAAATGGAGTTCACTGGTCAGAGATTGGAATTGGGAGGGAAAATGGCTGAAGAGAAACCACACATTTCTAAGCCCTTGGGGTGAGTTTAGATCCTCATTAGTCTCATGGAAAATGGGGATATTTGTAACTTGATTACTAAATGAGCTGTAAAAATAGACTTCCTGCTGCCTTTGAATGTGTTTTAAATGATAAATCTTCAATCTCTAAAAGCATGTGCGTAAGTACTTTCCTTTTGTAATGTGGAAGTTTTAAGAAGGAACTACAGTATTCAGCTGAGTTTAAAACAAAAACTGAAAAGAACTGGCTTAGTAAGAAGAGGCTTGCTAGTTTAAGAAGAGGCAGTAAATGAGAATCAAGATTATATAAATCTGCTCAATTCCTACCAGTAACATTTCAGTTTACCCAAAGCTGCTAGCAGTGTTATGCATAATTTACTGCATATATTAATATGGAGCATGAGGATGGGACAAATCAGTCACACCATCTTCAGGGCTGCACAAAACTTAAGGATACAAACATGACCTGTACCATAAAGTAAGTCAGATGGTGGTTCTTCTAAATTAGAATCTTCTTGGATAAGTCAGCAATAGTTTGCCTGTATTCAAAATGGAAAATCTGAGGGTTTCTGATTTAATCCTGAAACTGAGTGTAATTACTTAAAATTTGGAAATAAAATGTAGATATTCCCCTATATTAAAGCATTAAGGCTTTTATATCTGTTTCATGACATTTTCAAGATCAGAAACACTGAGTGGAACTTTTGACATGATCTGTTTCTGCAATTTCAGGGAAATTACCAAAGTATCACAAGGGACATGAATGGGTAGTGGTTTCAAGTCTACTTGAGTCAGATGTGAAGTGCTAGGCATTATACCTTAACGATAAAACTAGGGCTAGGTGCAGTGGCTGATTGATGCCTATAATCCCAGCACTTCGGAAGGCCGAGGCTGGAGGATCACTTCAGCCCAGGAGTTCAAGAGCAGCCTGGGTAACAGGGAGACCCTGTCTCTAGAAAGCTAAAATTTCAAAAAGGATTGAGGGAATACTTGATAATTTGTGGATTTGGCTAATGCCCAACATGTGTAAATTAGCCAGGTTTATTAGGTGACAGGAGAATGTGATCATAGAGTTAATAAATAGCAATACCTATTGAAAAATTATTAGTATTGTTGAAGTAAAATTTTCTGAAAGACCATTTAAAACAACAGAGAAATACTGGACAGATAGACTGTGTTGCCCAGGCTGGCCTCAAGCGATCCTCCAGCTTCGGCCTCCCAGAGTGCTAGGATTACAAACATGAGCCACTGTGCCCAGCCTACTTAGGATGTTTTTTAAAAAATCCTGGAAGCTCTAGTTATCTAGAGGCTAGGCAGATCTTTCTAAGTTTGTGTCATCAGTGGATGGGTGAAGGTTCTCAGAATTCATATTCTGAGAGCTGCCATCTCATTTGAATTTGAGAAAGCAAACTCCAAAATCTGCTTCTCTTGGACTGTTCCCAGTGGCTTTTCTTGAACCACACATAATCCAATGAAAAGATCTTATTCTCATGACTAGAAACTTGTGAGAACTCTTGAGTCAGTCGTCTTTTATGTTTTCCTAAGCAGGTGATTCCAAGTGCTTTTTCAAAAATGCATCCTTATGTTGAAGATTGTATTTGTGGTCAAGGATTTCAGAAATGGTCCCTTTTCTTTGCTAGTAGGCAAGCTTTTTTGATGTTCCTATTACTTTAGATGGTGCCCTTATCTTTTTAACTTTCCCCAGGAATAGCATCCTTCTGCCATCCCTTCCACCGTCACCACTACTTAGACACCCTTAGGTGCCACCCCTTCCCGAGAAAAGATAGAATCAGGACTCCACACCTCTCTCCCCCTGGGGTCTTAAAATCCAAGTAGACCAATGAAGGGAATTTAGTGTGTCACCTTTTAGAGTACATCTGATTTTTCAGTCATTTCCTATGCTTTCCAAATCCTGGTCATTACACCTAGAAACTGCTCCTGGGCTAGCCCTACAAAGGTGTCAAGGCATGGGAGTTGTAGAATTTCACTGTAGTCTCCAACTTGGGCTTCCATTTCAAGTTCCCTTATTTTCTGGCTTTGTCAGAGGGTACTTAATCCCATATTTTGCAGATTAATATTTTGCATCTCATTTTCCTTATCTGTAAAATGGAAATAATTGCCTCTGAGAACTGCCTGAAACCTAAGTATGAAACTAAGGCATAGAAATGCTTGCTGTGAAGTACATAATTTACTTTCATAGGTAGCATCCTCTTGTTCTGATTCTTTTAAAAATCCAGCATGACCCTGAAAATACTGTTGAAGTGCTCTGGAAGAGCAGTGTAAAGTAAAAGTGAAAAGCCTTTGGGGTTTGAAGCACTACCTTTAGTTGTGTGGCCCAGTTAGTACAAAGTGAACTCAGGTGCATAGTTTCACATAATCTTTACCATAGCCCTAGAGGTGGAAGTATTATCTCCATTTTTCAGAGAATAAAGCTGAGGCTTAAGAGTAAAAATTAATAAAGAGTAAAAAATAAGTAACAGGCTTAAGGTAAAAATTCCCAAGTCTAAAGGCATTTTCAGAAGATTCCATGGAAAATGCCTCAGTTGCTTGCAAATGTGAGCATTTTTTATTTAACTGGGCATGCCAATCAAAATATTTCAGTGGCCCTTTTTAATGATAGGATTAATTCATATCCTCAGACTGTCATGATCATGAAGAGCTTGAGCTAGTTAAGGCACAAATAATTGTTTCAGAATCGATTTGTTGATCCAGTGAGCACTTGCCTTGCCAAGCAAATGAAATGTCAAAATCAGTCAAAGCTTTGGTGGAGTCAGAATTTTTACTTTTAGTTTCATCTTTGATGCCATAGCATGAGCAGATAGTGGCCCAGCCAGATAACTTTGTTGACTTTTTGAAGGATTGGTCTTTTTCTAGAATAATGCAAATCCATTGACTTAAGTGTTTGTAGTTCTGAGTATGTAGTTTGCCTTGTCCTAGAGAGAAAAATCAAGAATGGGGGATGGACCTCATATTTTATTACTATGTGATGCTTTTTTTTTTTCTTCCTGGACCACATTTGTTTTTTTGTTTTTGCTTTTGCTTTTTTTTGAGACAAAGTCTCACTTGCTCTGTCACCCAGGCTAGAGTGCAGTGGTGTGATCTCGGCTCATGGCAACCTCTGCTTCCTGGATTCAAGTGATTCCCCTGCCTCAGCCTCCCGATTAGCTGGGATTACAGGCGGCCGCCACCACCCCTGGCTAATTTTTGTATTTTTATTAGAGAGAGACGGGGTTTCACTATGTTGGCCAGGCTGGTCTCAAACTCCTGACTTCAAGTGACCTGGACCACATTTCAACCCCTAGCTTCTTTTCTGTTCTGGCCCATTTTCTATTGCTTTTTCACATCTTTCCAAAAGGCTATTTAAATCAGTCCACTGACCTATGAGTCTTCATTCTGATCCCAGTGTCTCTAACATACCCTTGACTTATAGCTGCTAAAAGTGTACCAATTGAGAAGAGGGTTGGTTCTGCTTCCGGGGACGGCTGCAGGAGTTTAAAGTTGCTGCCAGATCCGACACTTGTAAGCCTGTTTCCTACCCACCTCCCCTTGTATGGGTGGGCTAACCTCAACTTCTCCCTTTAGCTCAGGGGTACTCAACCTTAGTACTATTGACATTTTGGGGTGAATAATTTGTTGGGGGGTAGGAGGCTGTCCTGTGCACTATGGGGTGTTTACCAGCATCCCTGGCCTCCACCCACTAGATGTCAGTAGTACACACACACACACACACACACACACACACACACAGTTGTGACCATCACAAATGCCTTCTGACATTGAAAGCCAAACCCTCATTAGCCAGTCCAAGGCTTAAGCAAGTTCTAGGTTGAGTACTTGAGTTAAGCATGCTCCTAAATGTTTCATATACAATGACACTTAATCCTTAAACTCTATGAGGGAAGTAGTACCCCCTCCTACAGATGAGAGCCCCATCTCAGAGATGAATGAACTTGCCCAGGGTTACACAATGAGACAAAGAATGGCATTCGGCCATTCTGATGTGCATGTTCTTCACCCCTGCTGGGTGCTGCTTCCTCACATTCCAATTGAAATGCCACAGTCGGGGTTCCTAAGCCCGAGGACCCCTTTACAAAGCTGTCTCTTGCACTTCCCAGGTTTTCTCTAGAGATCTTGCTGCCAGGCAGCCAGACCACTGTGTCCTGAGGGCCTGCTTTACAGTCACCCAGGCCCGGGCCTGCTGCACTTCCCACCTCAGACAGTGCCTATTACCAGCAGCCCCATCAAGTTGCCTCAGAATCTATTTGGTGAAAGATAGGTTGTGCATGGAACAAACAAGAATTAAGCTGCCTGAATCCATTTTCTTAGGCTTCAAGTAAGATTTTATTTGAAAACTTAGGATGCCTGCACTTTTCTTGGAAGTCTCATTTTTCTGTGGTTTTCCTATTTGACCCTTGTTCCAGGAAGGAACCAGAGGACTTCAGAACCATCACCTTCAGGCCTTAGAAAGGGTTGTGGGGATGCTGTCTCACGGGGCTTTGGAGACTCCTCTTGGCTAAGTCCTGAAAGGGCTTAGAGGGACATCCTTAGTTTACTCTTCCATTAACAACATAGAAAGACACCTAAGTATGAGTCCTTGGTCTTCTTTCCCAGATCTGGATCCACTTTCTAAGGGTGTTCTAAGGGCGCGCTAAGACCACTTGGAGCTAAACCCAGTGGACCTGTGTAGGGCTTTGATGTCACACTGGTTTGATCCAGCAAGCTCCACAATGGATTTGTCACTGTATCACTCAGATCTTGAAGAAGTCGCTTTATCTCATCTACAAAGGGACCAGAAACCAGTGCTGAGGGAGTGTGCTCCAGACCTGTCCACCTCCTACCTGGGTTTCAAGGGCAAACACAGCCTTGAGACGGTGCTGCTTAATCTCACCTGAACCTTAGAGTCACCTGGGAGCCTTTTAAAGGTGCACAAGAAGATGTTTATTACATGTATCACATAGCTCCTGGAGGTATTGCTTTAGTTTGAGGCAGGTAAGCACTTTAAGAACACAGCATTCTCTCACAGTCTACGAAGCTGTGAAGATGTGTCAGGAGAGGAAATTGTCCAGCTTCGCAATGGACCATTTTCCTTGGGCTTTTGGATACTGCTTTTTCATTTAAATCAGTGCCTGGGTGTGGGCTTAGATTTTTCAGGGGCTTCATAGGCTACATAGTTGCAGTTGCCTTTAGAGACATAAAGAGGAACAAAAAGCTCTGTGCTTGAATAACAGTCTGTTTTGACCAGGAAAAAAGGCACAGATGGAGGAAAACCCTGAAGGTACAGCAGGGATCCCAAGGCCCAAGGCAGGGAGAGAATCTTCTCCGCCTCCTTGAGTCCTCAGACCTGCAGGCTTCTGGTGCTCCCACTTAGATGCCTCGCTGTCTTTTTATTTCATTCCAGAAAGAATTCCATATATTATATTTGACCCTTCCGCCAATCCTATGAAGTCGGACAGCTACCTGATTTTACAGATGAGGGGAAGGGGGCTGAGCAGGGCTGCCAGAACTGGGAACCAGGAGGCCATGATGCCAGAGTAACAACTGGGGAGGCTGAGCCCACACGTGCCCATTTGGTTTGAACAACCTCCAGGTGCCAACCTGGAACCCACCTCTTCTCAGAATGCTTTCAGCATTTAAAGCTCTCTAAATTGGCTGGGTGCAGTGGCTCATGCCTATAATCCCAGCACTTTGGGAGGCCGAGGTGGGTAGATCACTTCAGGCCAGGAGTTCGAGACCAGCCTGGCCAACATGGTGAAACCCATCACTACTAAAAAATACAAAAAAATACAAAAAAAAAAAAAAAAAAAAAAAACAATTAGCCAGGTGTGGTGGTGCATGCCTGTAGTCCCAGCTACTAGGGAGGCTGAGGCATAAAAATCGCCTGAACCCAGAAGGCAGAGTTTGCAGTGAGTAAGATAGTGAGATCTTGCCACACTGCAGCCTGGGTGACAGAGCAAGACTCTGTCTCAAAAAAAAAAAAAAAAAAATGGCTGGGTGGTGGCTCACGCCTGTAATCCCAGCACTTTGGGAAGCCGAGGCAGGCAGATCACTTGAGGTCAGGATGTTTGAGACCAGCCTGGCCAACATGGTGAAACCCCATCTTTATTAAAAAACACAAAAATTAGCTGGGCATGGTAGCACAGGCCTGTAATCCCAGCTGAGTCAGGAGAATTGCTTGAACCCGGGAGGTGGAGATTGCAGTGAGCTGAGATCGTGCCACTGCATTCCAGCCTGGAAGACAGAGCAAGACTGTCTCAAAAAAAAAAAAAAATCCTAAATTCACAGTTTATATTAACAATGGTAAAACAAAGTCCTCTGGGTGTGAAATATTTCATTCATAAAAAAATACCTGCCTCTTCTGGGTTGTTCTTAGTAATCAGACTGCCCTGGCCACTCAAGTATTTGTTATTCTACATTACTGAGCACCTAGAACATGCAGGTGGCACTGTACTAGAGGCTTACCTATGACACCTATTATTTGAGGGGCCAGCCTTGCCCCTTAGCAGGTATAATACAGCATAGGACTTTTTTTTAGGATGGACTTGATCCCACACCAATGCTTCCATGAGATGCCCTGTGCCTTGACACCCTAGAGGCCTTGTGAGGGACTTCAAACCCTAACCTATCCCTGGGTCCTATAGGAGAACACTCCATTCTGACTAGCTGGCATGAGAAGGCACCTGAGGTATGGCACTGTGCAAAACTGGAAGGCAGGTTGGCAAATAACCCAGGGCGTGGGCTGGCCACATGGAGTTATCAGCATGCAGGGCATCCGGCCCAGCCCAGCCCAAACCCTGGGTGAGTTTAGAGTGGACAGAACCTCCATGCTGTTTCAGAAGAGGAGAGGGGACTAGCAGAGGAAAAATGTATTAATTCTGAGACTGACCAGGGAGAAACATCACAGAAAAAAGGTGACTATCAGCCCAGAAGTCCAGATACTTGACAGGAGGGTCCAATACAGAGAGCAGCTTGACCAGATAAGACTTATAGCCAAGGATGGAGTGCTGGCAAGGACAGGGTGATGACTTTCTGCCAGGGCCAACTGGACCTGGCCAAGCAGGCAGGCGGAGCTCTGGAGGTGGCGGCTGAAAACTCTGGGCCTGGATGGATCCTCAGGAAGTGCTTCCACCCCCTCCTCATCCCCAGGCCCTTCCCAGGCCTCTCATTGCCATCCAGCCACCCTCTTCCATTGTTCCCTCCCACTAACATTCATCAGTTGGGCCCAGCATTCTGCTTGGGGAAACAGACACATAAAAAGGACTCTGTCCTTAGCTAGCTGGGTCCTTCCCTCCCACTCAGCTCTCCCCTGGGGTTTAGGAAACAGGACTTCAATGCATTCTTCTGATGCTGATTGAATTCCTTCCTTCTGGGCAGCTTTGTGTGCCCTTGGCACAAAATGGGAAAGGGAGCAGGAAGGGTTTAAAATAGCATACAACTGGCCAATTTGCACACCAACATAGGCTAGCTATTACAAACCCCAAAATCCAGGTGATGCAATTTGTTCCAGCTGTCTTTGGCATGGGCTCTAGCGTGGGTTTGCATTTTTAAGAGCAACGGAAATAAACATACCAAGTGCAAATTCTGTTTCTGTTGCATGTGTTGGCGCCATTGCAAGGTGTGGTTGCAATTCAGATTGCAACTTGCTTTGGTGTCCGAATAAAATGTGGTTGTTATCCATTCTTGGCCACAGCTTCCCTCAGATGACTTGTGGTCATCAGGTGCTGTTGGAATCAGCAACTTCTAGGAACCAGAAACTGAGACTGCCATGAAAGGAAGCCACTTCTGGGCGCGGTATTTAAAGATATGTTAGACAGCTTCTAGAAATGGTCACCACAGGCCAGAGTCCCTGATTGCAAATAAATACTTTTAACGTAAAACACGTCACTCATGGAGAGTCCCTCCTTAGACATTTGAGAGGGCCAGCGTCATGAATACAGAGCGTTTATTTACAAAGGATGTTTTAAGTCACTTTATTAGTTACTATGTCTGTCATAACCAGGAAAGAACAGCCAGCCATCCTGGGATGTCGGTACTGGGCCATCCACTACATACACTAGGTTCACTTAGTAGCAGCTGAGTAACTCAGATTTGTGCCTAGGCAAAATAACAAATATATAGGTCGGGGACCTTCTGGGTGGCTTGGGAATGACTGTGTCTCAGTTGCACAAATGCCAAGGGCCTATAATAGACTTGTTGTCAAGCTAAGGGTTTTGAGGAGCATAGGGTCACTACACCTATAGATATTTTGTTTCCCTTCTTTGAAAGGAAGAAAGGCCGGGCGTGGTGGCCCACACCTGTGAGCCCAACAGTTTGGGAGGCTGAGGCAGACGGATGGCTTGAGCCCAGGTGTTTGAGACCAGCCTGGGCAACATGGCAAACCCCAACTCTACAAAAAATACAAAAATTAGCCAGACGTGGTGGCACATGCCTGTAGTCTCAGCTACTTGGAGGGCTGAGGCAAGAGGATCGCTTGAGCCTGGGAGGTAGAGGCTGGAGTAAGCTATGTTGGTGACACTGCACTTCAGCCTGGATGACAAAGCAAGACCCTATCTCAAAAAATTTAAAAAAAAAAAAGGGAAGAAATATCAGATATTTCAGATATCAAAAAAGGGAAGAAATATCAGATATCACCTTATCAGAATGTTCTAGAATTGCCTAATTTTTTTTTCCTCCTAATCTTTGATTTGAATGACTTTTTTTTAGGTCTCAAAGCATTTCACAGCTATTGTCTTCCTTTTTAAGGGCAGGAGAGGAGATCCTGGGTAAGGAAAGTGGCTGGGACATGAAAAGCCTTTTTGCTCAAAATCACATAATTATTCATCAGTTGAAAGTGGAATTAGAAACCAGGATTCCTACTGCCTAGTAAAATTTCTATTTTACATCCTGCTGCCTCTGTTACTTGGCTCTAATTTTCCTCCTACTTCCCCCTAGAAACGTCAACCTGTCACAGATACACACCTGAAATTCCACCATTAGAGCTTCATCTGTTTTGCTTAAGGGATGAATGTGAATTAAATTGCAACTCCTCCTAGAAGGAAGGTATCTTTAACTCAGGGATCAGCCAACCTTTTCTGCAAAGGACCAGATAATATTTTAGGTTTTGCAGACCATACAGTCTGTCGCAAGTATGCAACCTGCCTTTGTAGCACAAAAGCAGCCATAAACCATACAAGTGAACAAAACATTATTTATGGACACTGACATTTGAGTGTCATATGATTTCCACATATCACAAAATATTCTACTGAGTTTTTTTCAACCGTTTAAAAATGGAAAAATCATTCTTAGTTCATAGGCTGTACACAAACAGGCAGTGGGGCGCATTGGTGCAAAGGCTGTGTGGTTTACTAGTCCTTGCTCTAAGGTGTCCTTGGTCATTGGCTGTGCTTTGTGGGTAAAAGTTCTATTGAAAAGACTGGGTGAGAAAACTGAGTGAACAGGAAGCCACCAAGCACCCTAAGCAGGAGGTGGGGAGTGCAGACAGGTCACCACCATCTGCAGTGTGGCCACTGCTGTCTTGAAGCTGTACCTTGAGCCCATCTACAAGGCAGCAGCTGCCCACTGGACCGTCTGTGCAGCCACTGCATTTGGGGCACCCACTGGAGCCATTCAGACCCACTGTCCACCTAAGGGTAAGCCAGATGTTCCTACACGCTGCAGCTCAGCTGCTCCAATGTTCAGCTCCTTTCCTCCAACTCCCCCATCTGTCTGTTAGGATCCTTGCCTCGCCATAAAGAGGCTGAAAGGTCATTGTTCCATGTTGCTGTTAAATGCAAGAGACTTTGTTTCTGTTTTAAAATACAAAAACCATTCGAGGAGGAGGTTGTTGCTATAGACTGCCACATGGTAGACACTGGGCATAAGGTGCTATCATCTTGAAAGCACTTGCTCTTACTATCTCATTTGGTTCTCCTGGGCAGAGTAAATAAGAAGATGCAATTATCACCATTTTACACATGGAGAAACTAAGGCTCAGAAGTTAAAGTGACTTTCCTGAGGCGGAGCAGAGGAGGAGGGTCTGCATTTAGGTCTGACTCCAAAGCCCTGACTTCCAAAGCTTGCAGTGCACTGGGATGACTCCAGGAGGGCAGGTGTACAGAGAGTAGCTCCTGTAGAGCCCAGCCTCCTCCCACCCTCCCACCTGGATGAAGAGCTGGCTGAGCACTCATGGCCCAAAAAGGTGGCTGGCCACTCCCTGCAGCCTCAGACTCCCCCGGGTCTCACTGTGGGCCCTTCAGCCTGGCAGTTCCTCCATGGTCTTCTGCCACTTTGCCTGGGATGGAAAAGGGCTTCCATCCACTGGCAGTGCCCACTGCCTGCCCCATTCTCCCCTGCCCAGCAGCTCAGTCTCCAGGGAGCTCTGCCAGAGCCTCAAGGCCCTACTGGGTGAATAGCCCTCCCAGAAAAGCTTTTGTTCTTAGCTATTTACTAGCTTATTGTATGACATGCAGTCAGTACTCTGTATAAATTTGTTGCGTGGATACATGAATGAATTAACCTTCAGGTGCCCCAGAAATCCCACCATAAGATTCCCTGAGTTTAGCTCAGTGGCATAACCCACAGGGTTTTTTAGAATTTAGTCCAATTGGGCCAGGCGCGGTGGCTCATGCCTGTAATCCCAGCACTTTGGAAGGCCGAGGCGGGCGGATCACGAGGTCAGGAGATCCAGACCATCCTGGCTAACAAAATGAAACCCCGTCTCTACTAAAAATACAAAAAAATCAGCCGGGCATGGTGGCGGGCACCTGTAATCCCAGCTACTCGGGAGGCTGAGGCAGGAGAATGGCGTGAACCCGGGAGGCGGAGCTTGCAGTGAGCCAAGATCGCGCCACTGCACTCCAGCCTGGGCAACAGAGTGAGACTCCGTCTCAAAAAAAAAAAAAAAAGAATTTAGTCCAATTGGGTAAGCCTATTGTAAGGACACAGGGAGCATCCACTGGGCCTTGCTCTTCACACACATTCACTTCATCCTCATGGCTGTCTGCAGTCAGCACCCTCATCACCCTATTTTACAGAGCAAGGGACTGGGGCTCCGTAACATTGAGGAACTTGCTCAAGGTCACCCAGGTGGCCAGGGATGGGGTGAGGATTGGACCCTCTGAGGCCTGTTGTCTCCACACAGTTCTCACCGGCCTTTTATAGGCACTAACTCATGCAGGTAAAGGAGGCTCTAGAATTACATCAAAGGCAAATGGGTGCATGAGCCGTGCTGAAAAAGGAGGGAGCTCAGAGGCTCCCCCATGCCAGCCCCAACCAGTAGCACCAGGCACAGATAGGCTACGCTGGAACTTTGTGGAGCTGCATAGAGCTTGCTCCCTTTTCCCTGCAGGATGCATGCTGGAGGCTGGAATTCCAGTGCCAACACGGGCAGGTCCAGAAACCTGGTATCACAGCAGGCCTTTCTGCAGAAGCGAGTGGCCTGGATGTGCATGGATATGACTTGGCCCAATCTGAAGGACACTGACTCTCTCCTGGCCTGTGCTGTGCAGGAAATCCTGCCATAAAGTCACATGCCTTGGTGTGTCACTGCTTCTGGTTTTCAGGAATCCCTTATAAAAATGCATATTTAAAAAATAAAGAGGCCGGGTGTGGTGGCTCACACCTGTAATCCCAGCATTTTGGGAGGCCAAGGCAGGGGGATCACTTGAAGTCAGGAGTTCAAGACCAGCCTGGCCAACGTGGTGAAACCCCATCTCTACTAAAAATACAAAAATTAGTGAGGCATGGTGGCACATTCCTGTAATCCAAGCTATTCGGGAGGCTGAGGCAGAAGAATCATTTGAACCCAGAAGGTGGAGGTTGCAGTGAGCCAAGATCGCACCACTGCACTCCAGCCTGAGCAACAGAGCAAGACTCTATCTCAAAAATATAAAGAAAGAAAGAAAAATAGCTATGTGAGGTGAAAGGAGTCCTGGGGCAGAGGGGGACAGAAAAGGTCCTGATATCTAATTTACAACTTTGCCCTACCAGGCACGTGGCCTGCACCAGGCCTTCCTCACACCCACCAGGATGTGGACTCAGCCTCCCGGGACGTGCCCCATAGAGGATGATGGTGGCATGTGGGGCCAGAGGAACAGGGTGGGCTGCACCCCCCATAGCTCACAGCTTCCTTCTCATAGGTCTCCTCCGTGCTTTCTCACTGGCCACAGCTTCCTCCTTCTTCCTTTACGCAGCAGCCTCCCACTCCCCAGCTCCTGCTACCAGCTCCTCCATGCTTACATGCCCACAACCCGTGCTGAGCCCAGCAGACAAGAGCCTTCAGCTACCAAGACCCACCCTTCTTAGAAGGCAGGAAGAGAATTAGAAATAATAAGGTCTTTTTCTTGAGATTTGAAGTCAAAAGCTAGCTAGCGGCTGCATAGGGAATCCAGCTCAGCTCTCTCTGACATCAGAGCCTGAGGCTTCCAAGCCTGTGCCCTCGGCAGTGAGGCTGGTAGGTGGGATCACAAACCCCTCCTCCTCCCCGTCCCTGCCCTCTGCATCCCTGCTCGCCGCTCGCTAACACTGCTTCTAGTTTCTAGAGGCAGTTGCAGAGCCAAGTTTAAGGCTAAGGAGTCCAAAGGAGTCCGGCACTGAGGGTGAATTTCAGGCATGTGGCAGGCTGTGGGGAGAGATCATCAGTCTTCAGGTGACAGCCTTGTCTCCACCTGTGAGCAAGGTTGACAAGGGCAGAGGTAGCCTCACTGCCTTCAGCTTGTCTTCATTCAGGCTGTGGTCATTTCTATAGACTAGTGGTACCCAGACCATCAGCATGATCATCATCTAGGAACTTGTTAGAAATACGAATTTCTAACAGCAGAGCTATGGACAGTTTGCCTGGTCTGTTAGGGCCTCCGGCCTGGACTCACGCCACCATCATGTCCCACTACCTGCACACTCCTCCAAAACATGTCTCTGTCCATCAGGAACGTGGCCAATGACACCAGGTCTGCAGATAGACAGGATAAATTTGGTCATGATGGTCCTACAGGAAATGTTTATGTTCCACTTGATTTCCACACCCACCGTCCAAGAGGATTTGCTTGTGTTCAATTTGAGGATGTTTGTGATGCTGAAGATGCTTTGCATAATTTGGACAGGAAATAGATTTGTGGACATCAAGTTGAAATACAGTTTACACAGGGGGATCAGAAGACACCAAATCAGATGAAATCCAAGGAACAGAGGAATGTGTACAGCTCTTCACGCCATGATGGTTATGACAGATACAGAAGTTCTAGAAGCCAAAGTTATGAAAGGAGATCCAGAAGTCAGTCTTTTGATTACAATTATAGAAGATCTTACAGTCCTAGAAATCAACCAACTGGAAAACCACGGAGTAGCAGAAGCCATTCCGACAATGGTGGATTCAAACACCAAAATCCATCTTTTTCAAGATCTACATCTCATTCAAGGCAGCCCAAGGAAGAAGTGAAGGCTAAATCACATTCTAGGTCTGCATCTCACACCAGAACTAGAGGCACCTCTAAAACAGATTCCATGCTGGGTGCAGTGACTCACACCTTTAATCCCAGCAGTTTGAGAGGCTGAGGCTGGAAGATCACTTGAGCTCAGGAGTTTGAAACCAGCCTGGGCAATATGGCAAAATGCCATCTCTACAAAAAAAAAAAAAAAAAAAAAAAAAAAATTAGCCAGGCATGGTGGTGCATGCCTGTAGTCCCAGCTACTTGGGAGGCTGAGGTGGGAGGATTGCTTGAGACTGGGAGGTCAAGGCTGCAGTGAGCCTTGATTGTGCCACTACACTCCAGCCTGGGTGACAAAGCAAGACCCTGTCTCAAAAAGTAAGTAAAAATAAATAAATAAATAAGATTCCAAAGCATATTAAATAAGTCTGGCTCAAGATATGAAAAGGAATCAAAGAAAAAAAACTACTTATATCCAAATGTCAGTCAAGATCAAAGTCTAGTTCTAGATCAAAATCTACATCAAGGTATTGGACTGCTCCTAAATCCAATGGCCACTGATAATATAAACTATGGTTGTTTTTAGGCACATATCATTCATTTATTTATAGTTTGGTTTACTTAAATTATCAGGAATTGGCCAGGCATGGTGGCTCACCCTATAATCCTAGCACTTTGGGAGGCTGAGGTGGGCAGATCTCTTGAGCCCGGGAGTTTGGGACCAGCTTGGGCAACATGGTGAAACCCCTATCTCTACCAAAAATTAAAATATTAGCTGGGCATGGTGGTGTGCGCCTGTAGTACCAGATACTTGGGGCTGAAACAGGAGTATTGCTTGAGCCAAGGAGATCGAGGCTACAGTGAACCGAGATCACACCACTGCACTCCAGCCTGGGTGACAAAGTTAGACCCTGTCTCAAAAAAAAAAAAAAATCAGGAATACAATGTTGTAACAATACTTTAAAAACACTGTACCAGGCAATGGTAATAATTCAAATGATATGCTGTGGAGAAGCCACTTTTAAGAGTCAGTTTGTAACCCCGTCTCTACTAAACAAAATACAAAAATTAACCAG
The DNA here is from genome assembly GCF_000001405.40 of Homo sapiens. NCBI lineage: Eukaryota > Metazoa > Chordata > Mammalia > Primates > Hominidae > Homo > Homo sapiens. Next base: position 51,157,762 of record NC_000018.10, on the reverse strand, counting down.
GTGTGGTGGCGGGCGCCTGTAGTCCCAGCTACTTGGGAGGCTGAGGCAGGAGAATGGCATGAACCCGGGTGGTGGAGCTTGCAGTGAGCCAAGATCGCAGCACCGCACTCCAGACTGGGAGACAGAGTGAGACTCCATCTCAAAAAAAAAAAAGAAGAGTCCAGTTTGTTTAATGTTATAGGTAACCACCAATTTGTGGTGTCCCTGTATATTTTTGTAAAGATTCTTTTTTTTGTGTTTGAAGTTTGTGGCAAAAAGATGTTGGTTGACCATAATTTGCAACATTTTTTTTTAAAAAAAAACAGGCTGTCTTGCTTTGTCACCCAGGCTAGAGTGCAGTGATGCAATCAAAGGTCATTGCAACCTCTAATTCTTGGGCTCAAGTGATCCTCCCACCACAACATCTCAAGTAGTTTGACTACAGGTGCACGCCACCATTCTTGGCTCATTTTAAAATTTTTTGTAGAGATGGGGTCTCGCCATGTTGTCCAGGCTGGTCTCAAAATCCTGGGCTCAAGCAAATCACCTGCTATGGCTTTCCAAAGTGTTGGGATTGCAGGTGTGAGCCACTGTGCCCGGCCTCACATTGTCTTATTAAAAATAAACTTTCATATTCATATTTGGTAGAACTGTTAACTTAGAAATGTAGCTTGCTAATAAGATAGAATGATACAAAAGTGAAGTTGTAACCACAGTAAAGCACTACTGCTCAGACACATTTAGGTTCAGGCTGGGCCTGGTTGTCCTGACAAGATGTCTAGGCCTGTGATAATCATTTGTCTATCATGCAATGGGGAATAGTTCTTTTGTTAACCCCACTGTTTTAGGGAATGATGCCAGCTGGATTATGCAGTATTTTCAGGGAGATTGAGTTTTGACTGAAACGTGGAGTCTTCACTAGTTCTTTTGGTTTCTATGAAGATTTGGACATAGAAAACATGAGAAAAACTTACCTTAAAATTTGAGCAGGTCAGTGATGGCAGAAATAATTTTAAGGGGAACAGAATGTCCCTATGCAATTATTCTAAGATTTAAGGAGCACTGGTGACCATAGTATTTCTTTGTTTTCATACTGCTGTTAGAAGCAAGTAAATTGTTTCAAAGTAGGTTTTGCACGTGCATATGTAAAAGTACTGAATTTTAGGCTGGGTGCAGTGGCTCACAGCTGTAATCCCAGCACTTTGGGAGGCCAAGGAAGGCGGATCACCTGAGGTCAGGAGTTCAAGACCAGCGTGGCCAACATGGTGAAACCCCGTCTCTACTAAAAATACGAAAATTAGCCAGACGTGGTGGCACATGCCTGTAATCCCAGCTACTTGGGAGACTGAGGCAGAAGAATCACTTGAACTCGGAAGGCGGAGGTTGCAGTGAGCCGAGATCACGCCATTGCACTCCAGCCTGGGTGACAGAGTGAGACTTCATCTCAAAAAAGTAAAAAATAAAAGTACTAAATTTTGATGCTTGCAGTACATGGCGTGTGCGTTTGTAGACAAATTTGCCTACCTCTTTATGAGGGAGGCTTGCTCTTCACGCCTCAGTTTATTTAATGTGAGCTAAGATGAAAGACAGCACTTCATTCTAGATGATTCTGTTGTTCCATGAAATTCAAAGTAATTTTGGAAAAAGAATTAGTCAACTTTCAGCAAGTCACATCTCTGAGTTTTTGGTTATCAATGTAATGCCTGACTAAAAATGGAGTAATACGCTTCATTTATTATACCCTTCATTCAATATATCATTTATAATTTAAAGCATTTCTCTGAAAGATTGTTTTGGGGGCAAAAGTGACTTGACATGTCCAATCTCATTTCAGAATAGAAAGCTAGCATCTTTTAAAATCTGACATGCTTGCTTACATATTTAAGTACGAATTATCTTAGGGAAACAATTCCTTTGAAAGGATTACTTTTTTCCATTTTGGTTTTAGTAATCTAGGTTTTGCCTGTAAAGAACAAAAACATGGCTTTTAAATATTGTTTGTGGAATGTGTTTATAAAGGATTGATTCTAGAACCTTTGTATATTTGATAGTGTTTCTAACTTTCATTTCTTTACCATTTGCAGTTAATGTCCAAGTTCTGCTATGCATCATTTACGTGCACGTTTCTATAATTTTTTAAGATTGTCCTGGATGTCTGGTTAAACAACAAAAAGTCTATTTAAAACTGTAGCAATAGTTTGAACTTGTAGCAAAGAGGAAAATTGTGGGGTTAAACTTCGTATTTTCTTTCTTATAGAAGCTTCTAAAAAGGTACTTTTATGTATTCTTTTTAGGAAATATTGTGTACAGCTTTTAAAACATCAATGTTTGGATCAAAACAAGACCCAGCTTATTTTCTGCTTGCTGTAAAATAAGCAAACGTGCTATAATGAAAACAAAATGAAGGAAATAATGGTTAACTGGAAAGAAAGAAAAAAAAAAAAAAGAAAGGCAAATTCTCTGTTCCATTCCAGGCCCAATGGATCAGAAACTTTGTGGGTGGGCCTGAGATCCACTTGGCTGGATCAGGGGTCCCTGAGTTTTTGTATTGCCTGCCCTGACCACAGGACAAAAAGTTGTTCATGTACCCAAACATTCTGATTATTTAATTTTATAAATTACTTCTGCATACTTCCGTGTGACATTGCACTATCATGCTATTATTTTTTAACATCCAAAAAAGAAGAGTAAAAAGGATGAGATAAAGGTGAAATTAAAAATATTTTAAATGTCTTATTACCCTCTCTTGGCACAATACGCACTTCAGACAACATCCAACCAGAATGATTATGGATGTAAAGCCGTATTTCAAATAGTCTTCTGGATGATTGCAATTTCAGCCAACTCTTCAAGGTCTGAGGAAAGTGCTGCTGTTTTCATTTCATAACGTGGCTGGGGGCAGAGGAGGGAGGGTCAGCTCTGCCATGTGGGGGCTGCGTGGTATGATTTCATATTAGTGTTATCTTCAGTCCAAGATTTCTTTTCAACATTGTTTTAAAGCCACTTATCCTTTTTGGGAGCCTTAGTTGACTTAAAAATAGATAATAGAATATCTAAATTCCCTTTGGTGGGCACTATGTAAGTTGCAATTTGATGAAATCCCCGCTCTTCCTCCCACAAAGTACTCCTCCTACACAGCCGTCTAAGGCACGTGAGTCCCTCAACGTTCAAAATTACTAACATTGCACAGCTTTTTCTTTCATGTTGGAAGCAAAATGTTAATCTGAGTAGATGCACTATTATTTTTCTTTCCTTAAGCCCTCTGGGATGTATGTACTCCACTTTGGAGACCCCTGCTCCAGACTGAACACATCACCCCTCCACTTCCCTTGAAAGCCCTGTGGAGTCCCTCAAGAGATTTCATCAATCCAGAGGCTCAGCCAACAGCTGCACAGTTTGCCTAAGGAAGGCTCAGTCCAGGGGGCTCGCAGGAGACCACATATCCCCCTTTCCTCCGTGACTAGTCCACCCTGAGTTTCTGTTACCACTCAAGAGGCTCAGACACAGGAGTGTGGAGTCTCGCCCGCAGCCAGCATGGCAGGGGCAGCTGCTAGACAGCCCCAGGCAGGCGGCACTGGGCCCTGACCCCACATGCCAGGCCCTATCCAGCGGCTACCACAGGCAGTGGGCCAAGGGGCTTTCCCTGTGGGCAGCCCCAGCTGGCGGGCGAAGGCTGGGGGAATACGAGGTAGGGGCAGCTGCGACACCAGCTTCTTGTGGCATTTCTGAAATCTCATTTCCTGCCATAATTCTGAAGCAGGTGTTTCTGTTTTTTAGAGCGTCTTCAGTTGCTATTCTGGTCGTGTGAGTCGCTAGTTTTTTCCAAAGACTGAACTGCTATTTTTTCCTCTGGTGGAGGCATGGTGAGCAGCTGGTCCCCCCACCAGGATCAGTTGGGTAGCAGGCCAGCCCCCCTCGGCCAGCCCTGGCCTGGGGGCATGGGGACCCTTCACAGACTGAGTTGAGGAGCCACAGGGGAGCAGGGAGTACCGTCCGCTGAGCGGCCACCCAGCACTTTGTGTTTCAGTTCGCACTGAGCATGTAGTGTGCACCTGCCTTGCCCAGGAGAAGCAAAACAAAAACAAGCCAGGTCCCCAGCGCCTGTCTGGGGGACCTCAGCCCCACAGGGCATTGGGAGTGGCTGGAGTCAAACCCAGGCCTAGGGAGAGGCAGGTAAAGAGCTTCTTAAGTGAAATACCAGGGTCTCAAATCCAAGAATTTTAGATCTGGAGTTTCCAAACACCCTGAGACTCATACCAGACACATTCAGTAGGTCCTCTCTACAAGACTTTTAGTTTTCATTTGAATTAAAGTCTTAAAAATTAATGTAAACACATCTGACATCAGATGATCATCTCACAACTCTCACAACTAAGTATGTCTAGAGATCTCAGAGCCAAATAGTAGTAATTTTATAGGACGGAGCAGAGGATTTCATTTGTAAACGCCACAATAGTGTTCTGTATAGTGAAATGTTGCAATTTTTCCAATAGAGGCAAGATTTGGAAGAGCCCCATCATCAGACCACACAGCCTGGGTATCACTGAGTGCAGCATTCATGGTGTTTGAGTTCAGAAAAACAACATAGCAAGTCACATTAATGTGCTAACAAGTTCGGGTGGTTTTTCAGGAACTTTTGGTGTTTTCTTTGTACACTGATTTTGGTTTTAGAATTACTTAAGAGCCATTAAAATATATAGAAGTTAAATAATTTTATGGCTGGGTGCGGTGGCTCACACCTGTAATCCCAGCACTTTGGGAGGCCAAGGCGGGCGGATCACGAGGTCAGGAAATCGAGACCATCCTGGCTAATACGGTGAAACACCGTCTCTACTAAAAATATAAACAATTAGCCAGGCATTGGGGTGCATGCCTGTAATCCCAGCTACTGGGGAGGCTGAGGCAGGAGAATGGCGTGAACCCAGGAGGCGCAGTTTGCGGTGAGCCGAGATCGCGCCACTGCACTCCAGCCTGGGCGACAAAGCAAGACACCTTCTCAAAAAATAAAAATAAAAAATTATGTTCGTACTTATTTAAGTAATATGATAAACAAAATAATTTCAGTCATCCCTAGGGAATCATACGATTTCTGGTTTCCTTTGTGTAACAGAGGTTTGTACCTGACTCCGATGTAAAAACCATTACTCTCATGTTTGAATCAGATAGCTAGAATTATCTACAACAAAGGCTCATGCTGGAAGAATTAAAGCGAGGTCTTTCAGGGCTTAGGACTAGCAAAGATAGGGGGCCCTAGGGAAGCCTGTTGTCCCTAGCGTGTTTACTGGGAGCTGAGGTTAAGCAGACGCGGAAGAGGTAAAAAAAAAAAAAATAAAAAATAAGAGGCGAGGCTAACATCTAGGGAAGAAACAGCAAGCCTGTCTGCGGGGGCCACCAGAGGGCATGTTCACTACCAGCAACACACACACGCGCGCACACACACACCCACACACGCCCACACAGCCCCGGAGGCCACGGGAGACAGGTGAGGCCATCGCCCTGGGAGTGACAAAGTGACTCCTCACCTGCTCCACTGCCTTGGGGGCAGGGGAGTGTATGACACTTCAAGCGCTCACTGACTGTTCCTTGCCAGTGGATTGGGGGGTCCCAGTGATTAGGTCTGGGCTGTCATGGTCAGGAGGGCCACAGCTTTCCTCAGGTTGTTCCTCAGACATCTCAGAAACCACACTGACCACAGGAGCAAAACAAGAAGCACAGCTGTGCAAGAGGTATACAGCCAGAAGTGGCCAAATTTATGCCAGCCAATAAAGAAGCCCATAATGCGGCAAGGCTCTAGTCCTGCCACCCGCGGTGTGGGGACACGACGAAGGAGCAAGTCCAATCAACAGTCCTCCGCGTCCCTCCAGCAGTTGAGTCAGGAAGTCAGGTGCCAGGTCCTCTCGGGACAGAAACTCCAGAGATCTGGGTTTTCTGCCCTCTGAGACTGGACCTGCGAGAATCTTCTTATTTGGAAGGAGGTGGTTGGTAAAGGAAGACAAAATAAGGCTGGAAACAGACCCAGACACATTTAGAAACAAACGGAGCAAATGAAGCACTGGGGAGAGTCACTTTCTGAAAGCCAGACACCTCAGGACCATGTGGGTGGGGTGTTTCCAGGGAGGACGGAAACTTTCACCATCACCTTCCTGTCAACTGAGTGTCTGACCCCACCCCAAGTGTACTTGTGTGCTAGGACCGCCGTAATAAAATACCACACTGGGCAGTGTCAACAACAGACATTCATTTTCTCACAGTTCTAGAGGCTGGAAGTCCAAAATGGAGGTGTTGCAGGGCTGGTTTCTCTTGCTGCTCCTCTCCTCAGCTCGCAGCTGGCCGCCTTCTGCAGTGCCTTCACATGGTGCCCACCTTCTGCAGTGCCCAGCTTCTGCAGTGCCTGCCTTCTGCAGTGCCCACCTTCTCCAGTGCCCGCCTTCTGCAGTGCCTGCCTTCTCCAGTGCCTGCCTTCTCCAGTGCCTGCCATCAGCAGTGCTCACCTTCTGCAGTGCCTTCACATGGGCTTTGCTCTGTGACCGTGCATACGTGGCATCTCCTCCTCCTCTTATTGTAAGGACACTGTGCCACCATAGGAGGGGGGCCAGACCTTTATGACCTCACTTAACCTTAATTACCTCTTTAAAGGTCTGATTTCCAGGCCAGGCAATACCAGCACTTTGGGAGGCAGAGATGGGTTGATCAACTGAGGTCAGGGGTTTGGGACCAGCCTGGCCAACATGGCAAAAACCCGTCTCTACTAAAAATATAAAAATTAGCCAGCCATGGTGGCAGGCACCTATAATCCCAGCTACTGGGGAGGCTGAGGCAGGAGAATCAATTGAACATGGGAGGCGAAGGTTGCAGTGAGCCAAGAGCACACCACTGCATGCTAGCCTGGGCGACACAGTAAGACTGTGTCTCAAAATAAATAAATAAATAAATAAAGGTCTGATTTCCAAATACGGTTACATGCTGAGGTATTGGGGGTTAGGATTTCAATATAGGAATTTTGCGGGGAGACAATTCAGTCCATAACAACGATAAAATCGCATTGTGCAAGGTGTGGAGGTCCTGGGCTGGAGCTCTGTCCTTACTGAGCCCCTACCTGCAGTGGCAGCTTCATTCACCTTCATGAGAAGATGAAGCAGTAGCTCCAGGAGTGGCCCATCTCTCACCCTTCCTCAGCCCCTGGCAAGGATGAGGTAACACCGACCTTTGGCCCAGACTCCTGTCTTTGAACTACAGGGCACTGAACCCACACCGAGAGCTCACTGTGTCTATCATGGTGAAGGTGGAACAGAGACTATTTTCTAGGTAGACCTCCACGGCACTGGGCCCTGGGCACAGATCCAAAATCTCAGCACAGCATGGGCTGCCTCAGGTGCCCTTTTGGATGAAGAGACACCATTACTGGGACAGCTAAGCAATACATAGAGCTCCCAGGCCTGGCTAGAACACACCTCTGACTCCAGATGCAACATCACATGCTGGGCCATGAGTCACCTCTCTCAGACACTGCAGATTCCGAGGAGCTATGGGACTTAGACTGCTTTGCTGGCAGCTATACTCTATGCCTGCTCAATGGGTCTTCATCAAGTATAGTTAGTAGTATCGAGCTTCTACTTCCGCTAATGTCAGAATAGGTAAACCAGAACAATTGTCCCACCAAGAACAACTAGAAAAGCTGGACTAATATGAAAATTATTGAAGGCATCAAAGAGCCCAGATGAGAGTGAAAAATTACTGAGCCAAGATCTCTGGAGAGCAGAAACTCAAGCAGATAAGGCAGGTTTCTGGGGCCTAGATGCATTTACTGATTGTACAGACAGCTGATAAGACTGAGCATGGCTTTTGAAAGCTTCATAGGCTGCTGGGCGTGGCTGTGCAACAGCAGTAGCATATAAATCAGAAGTGGAGTGGATGGAATTAATGTCTTTCTGAGGCACTCATATTGTCTGAGAAGAGGTAAAGGTACTAATTCCTTCTGGAATTTGATAACTCAAGTATGTTGCAATATCTGTTTGACCAACAAAGATCTTATTTTTAAAAATATGTAACTACTGGCTGGGCGCGGTGGCACATGCCTGTAATCTCAGCACTTTGGGAGGCCGAGGCAGGTGGATCACCTGAGGTCAGGAGTTAAAGACCAGGCTGACCAACGTGGAAAAACACCGTCTCTTCTAAAATTACAAAATTAGATAGGCATGGTGGTGCATGCCTGTAATCCCAGCTACTTGGGAGGCTGAGGCAGGAGAATTGCTTGAACCCGGGAGGCAGAGGTGGCAGTGAGCCAAGATCATGCCATTGCACTCCAGCCTGGGCAACAAGACCGAAACTCCATCTCAAAAAAAAAAAAAAAAAGTAACTATCAAGTTAAGAGATGAGAAAATTGAATAATTTTTTAAAAGACAACAAAGAAAAGAGAACATAGACTAACTGGGGCAAAGAGAGAGTAAATAATAACATTTACACTCAAGTGAATCAGTAATTACATTAAATATAAATGGGCTAAATGCTCTAATTAAAATATAAAAATTGTCTGGCTTAATTAAAAAAAACAAAACCCAATTATAAGGTGCTTGCAGGAAGCATGCTTAAGAAACACAGAATGGTAAAATTAAAGTATGAAAAAAGATACAGCAATCAAAAACCTAAAGAAAGTTGGGGTAGCAATATTAATATCAGAAAAAAATAGATTTAAAAGCAAGAAACATTACTAGAGGTAAAGAGGTCTTTTATAATAATGATAGCTTTAATTTACCAGAAAGAGCTAGCAAATCTATATTTGCATGTATATAACAGCATTGACTCAAAAATGTAGAAAGTAACTAGAACTAAAAGAAAAAATAGACAAATCCAAAATTATAGTTAGGAAACCGTAATGCATTTTTTTCCCAAAACTTTGAGGAAAACAAACAAAAATTCTGAAAGGAATCTAAAGGACACACCATAACTGGAGAAACTGACCCCAAATAGCCAATACCAAGACATATTCTAGTAAAATATTAGACTTTAGAAAAAAAAGGAAAAAGTCTTTTGGATACATAGGCAAAAACACCAAGTAACTTACAGGAGAAAGAAAATGTGCTTGTCAAAAAACATTTCGATAGCAACATTTTATGTCAGAAGAAAATGAGTAAGCTATTTAAGATACTCAAGGAAAGAAGATAAAGGCCAAGATTTTTTGTTTATCTAGCCAAGTTAACTTCTTATTTGTTTGTTTGAGACGGAGTCTCTCTCTGTCGCCCAGGCTGGAGTGCAGTGGTGCAATCTCAGCTCACTGCAACCTCCGCCTCCCAGGTTCAAGCAATTCTCCTGCCTCAGCCTTTCAAGTAGCTGGGATTACAGGCGCCCGCCACCACGCCCAGCTAATTTTTTATATTTTTAGTAGAGACGGGGTTTCGCCATGTTGGACAGGCTGGTCTCAAACTCCTGACCTCAGGTGATCCACCCGCCTCGGCCTCCCAAAGTGCTGGGATTACAAGCATGAGCCACCGCGCCCGGCCAATTTTTTGTATTTTTTGTAGAGACAGGTTTTCACCATGTTAGCCAGGCTGGTCTCGAACTCCTGACCTCAAGTAATCCGCCTGCCTCAGCCTGCCAAAGTGCTGGGATTACAAGTGTGAGCCACCACACCCGGCCCAAATTAACTTTCAATATGAATATTGCAGAAGAATTACATGCAAAACATTAAAAAGGATATTAATTCTATAGCCTTTTCTTAGGAAACTGCTAAGGAATGGCATTTTGATGTGTGTGTGTGTAAAACTTGAGACTGCATGAAGGATATAAAAGAAAAAGTACACGTATGATACTAACTGTATGCTCCCTAGAAGAGGAAGAGCAAGAGCAGGGCGAAGTAGAATGGGGCGAGAATACACACACAAAATAATCTTTCCAACTGTTTTCAGTAACCAAATTTGGATAGTAGTATATCATTTTCCACTAAAAGAAACCACTGCTTCAGGGAAAAATGTCTGGGACAAGAATTGTACAAGATGAGCCTGGAGCATCTCGTTTTACCAGATGGAAAAGAAGCTTTCAGAAACACAGGAGCCAACTAGCACTCCAACTGCCCAAATATGGGACAATTTGAACATCCAGGGTAATTACTGCAATGGATGAAACACATCAAATGTGTTTAAATCCATTGGTTCATTAGAACACACACACACAAAAATTCAAATTGGTTACCCTTGGAGGATTGCTGAGAAACCAAGTCTCTATTTGGAAAACTGGTAGGGAAAGGGAAATAATTAAGCATTTATCTTGCCTTTTCTATTGAACTGTACAATTGGGAATTAAATAGTAGATGAGGTAAATTTTCTCTTTCTAGAAGTATTCTAGCAAATGAATGAAGGAGGAATGATAGAACTATAATATCACTATTTTGCAACCTTGAATGAATTGATGCACCTAGACATTGAACACCAATACCTTCTAAATCTCATAAAGAGGGAATTCCAGACATTTGGTGCCTCCTTATAGAAAAAAACAAAAACCAAGCAACTATTCATGAAGACTTGTCAAAAAACAACAACAAAACCAACATAATTCTGATTAGTCCTCTACCGTCAATTACTAATCTACAAGAAATACAGAGGATAGAGGAATATGTTAAATTATGCCATGGAAATGTAATCAGCAAAATTCAGAATATGGCCGGGTGTGGTGGCTCACGCCTATAATCCTAGCACCCTTGGAGGCTGAGGCAGGCAGATTGCTTCAGCCCAGGACTTCAAGACCAGCCTGGGCAACATGGTGAAGGCCTGTCTCCAAAATAAAACAAAAATCAGCTGGGCATGGTGGTGCGCCTGTAGTCCCAGCTACTCAGGAGGCAAAGGGGGATCACCTGAGCCCAGGAGGTTGAGGCTGCAGTGAGCCAAGATTGCACCACGGCATTCCAGCCTGAGTGACAGAGCCTGTCTCAAAAAAAAAAAAAAAAAAAATGAAAAAAGAAAAGTCCAGAATAAGAGAAACTCTACCAATGACCTGGTTTTTTAAAACAAATTATGAGAGAGACAGAAGAAGAGGAAAACTACAAATTAAGAGACATATAAAAACAGTTTTTAAAAAGTCAAAATTAAACTGTAGTGTTTAGGTATTTATACTTGGATGACAAAATCATGAAGACAAGAAGATAATTACCATAAAAGTCAGAATAGTAGATATTCGGGTGGGGTAAGATGATGGCTATGATTAGCAGAGGGCACTTGCTTGCAAGCTTCTATCTTCTTACATGAGTGGTGGTTGCAAAAATATTCACCTTATAAAAATTCATTAAGCAGTACATTGTTTTATGTGATTTTCTGAAGGTGTGTTATATTTAAAAATAAAAAGTTTTTTGAAAGTCAAAATCATAAAAACATGATTCACAAATTTGACCTGACATATATATAGAACACTGAACCCAACAACTACAGAACACATATTTGTTTTAAGGACACAGACAATTTACAAACATATATCAGGTTTGGGGCCATTAATTTGCAACAAATGCCAAAAAAAAATGAAGTCACAGAATATATTCTTTGACCACTGTAGAAATGAAATTTTAACCAATTAAAAGATCCTATAAAATCTCCATATGTTTGGAAATTCATAAACTTCTAAGTAACACTTAGATCAAAGACAGTATCAAAAAGTAACTTAGAACCAAATATTTATTTTCTTTCTTTTTTTTTTTTGACGTGGAGTTTCTCTCTTGTTGCCCAGGCTGGAGTGCAATGGCACGATCTCGGCTCACCGCAAGCTCTGCCTCCCAGGTTCAAGCAATTCTCCTGCCTCAGTCTCCCGAGTAGCTGGGATTATAGGCATGTGCCACCACGCCCAGATAATTTTGTATTTTTAGTAGAGACAGGGTTTCTCCATGTTGATCAGGCTGATCTCGAACTCCCGATCTCAGGTGATCCTCCTGTCTCAGCCTCCCAAAGTGCTGAGATTACAGGAGTGAGCCACCATGCCCGGCCAGAACCAAATATTTCTGAACCAAGTAATAATATGTAATATAAATCTCTAAACCTGTGGCATGCATCCAACACTATGCCTAGAGAGACATATATACCTTTAATTGCACAACTGAAAAGGAGAAATACTAAAAGTTGACGATCTAAGCATTCTTCTAAAAAAAACTTTTTTTTCAAAGAAGGCAAATTAACCCCCCAAAAAAGTAGAAGGTAAGAAATAGTAATGATAAAAACAAAACGAATAAAATACAAAACAAATAAAATAGAGAATTCAACAATGCTGAAAATTGGTTATTTGTTCAAAAAAACCAATCAATGGCCAGGCACAGTGGCTCACGCCTGTAATCCCAGTACTTTGGGAGGCCGAAGGGGGTGGATCACCTGAGGTTGGGAGTTTGAGTCCAGCCTGGCTAACATGGTGAAACCCCATCTCTACTAAAAATACAAAATTAGCTGGGTGTGGTGGCACGCACCTGTAATTCCAGCTACTCAGGAGGCTGAGGCAGGAGCATCACTTGAACCCAGGAGGTGGAGGCAGAGGTTGCAGTGAGCTGGGATCACGCCACTGCACTCCAGTCTGGGTGACAGAATGAGACTCCATTTCAAAAAAACAAGAAGAAGAAAGAAAGAAATCAATCAATAAGCTGCTGAGTAATTTAGAAAGGGTGAAATCCAAACAACCAACATGAGGAATGAAATAGAAGCCATCACTGCAGATACCACACATATTCAAAAGATAATAAGGGAGCTGGGCGTGGTGGCTCATGACTGTAATCCCAGCACTTTGGGAGGCCAAAGTGGGCGGATCACTTGAGGCCAGAAGTTCCAGACCAGCCTGGCCAACATGGTGAAACCTCATTTCTACTAAAAATACAAAAATTGGCCAGATGTGGTGGTGCACACCTGTAATCCCAGCTACTGGGGAGGCTGAGGCACAAGAATCACTTGAACCATGGAGGCAGAGATTGCAGTGAGCCAAGATCCTGCCACTGCACTCCAGCCTGAGTGACAGAGAGAGACTATCTCACAGAAAAAAGAAAAGACACTTTGGGAGGCCGAGGTAGGGGGATCACAAGGTCAAGAGATCGAGACCATCCTGGCCAACATGGTGAAACCCTGTCTCTATTAAAAATACAAAAATTAGCTGAGTGTGGTGGCTCGTGCCTGTAGTCCCAGCTAGGCAGGAGAATCGCTTGAACCTGGGAGGCGGAGGTTGCAGTGAGCCAAGATCATGCCACTGCACTCCAGCCTGGCAACAGAGCGAGACTCCATCTCAGAAAAAAAAAGAAAAAGAAAGAAAGAAAAGAAAAAAGATGATAAGGGGATATTATGACAACTTTGGGCATTACACTGGAAAATTGACAATGAACAACTTCTTAACAAAAATACCCCTTAATCAAAACTGACACAAGAATAGAAAATCTAAATAGTCCATATATATCAAGGAGATTAAATTTCTTATTAAATCCTTCCCCACAAAGAACACTTCACTTCCAGACAGCTTCAGTGGTAAGTTTTTACTTTTAGGGAAACCCTTTCACTACTGTTACACAACTTTTCCAGAGAATAGAAAAAGAGGAATAATTCCAAACTTATTTTTTATTTTTATCTATTTATTGAGATGGAATCTCGCTCTGTCTCCCAGGCTGGAATGCAGTGAGCAGCATGAGCTCTGCTCACTGCAACCTCTGCCTCCCGGGTTCAAGCGATTCTCGTGCCTCAGCCTCCTGAGTAGCTGGGATTACCAGCATTCGCCACCACGCCCAGCTAATTTTTGTACTTTTAGTAGAGATGGAGTTTTGCCAAGTTGGCCAGCCTGTTCTCGAACTCCTGACCTCAGGTGATCCTCCTACCTCAGCCTCCCAAAGTACTGGGATTATAGGCATGAGCCACTGTACGAAACTTATTTTTTTAAAACATAGCCTTGATACCAAACCTGACAGCAAAATTACAAAAAGGGAAAATGTTAAGTCCAGTGTCATTAATATCAATTTTTGAAATCCTTTAAAAAATTAGCAAACCAAATCCAATGATATATAATATAAAAAGGATAATGTATCATGGCTAAGTGGAGCTTATTTCCAGACTGCAAGAGTGACAGCTTTGGAAAATCAATCATTATAATCTACCACACTTTCATAATGAAAGTGAAAAATCATATTATCTCAATAAATGCAGAAAGGACCAGTATAGCAAGATTTTGAAATACAAGATCAGTATAAAAATCAGTTGCATCTCTAGGGTCCAGCAGTAGTTTGGAAATTAAATTTTAAAACAGCATCAAAAAAATTAAATACCTAGGAATAATTCTAACAAAAGATGTTCAAGATGCCTATGTTTAAAACTATAAAAACATTACTGAAAAAAAGATCTAACTAAATAAAGAATGATATCATGCTCAGAAATTGGAAGACTCAATATTGTAAAGATATAAATTCTTCCAAAACCAATCTACAGATTCAGTGCAAGTCCAATCAAAGTTCCCTTTTTGTGGTAACAGGCAAGGTGATTTTTTTTTTTTTTTTTTGAAATGGCGTCTCGCTCTTGTAGCCCAGGCTGGAGTGCAGTGGTGCGATCTCAGCTCACTGCAACCTCCACCTCCAAGGTTCAAGCGATTCTCCTGCCTCAGCCTCCCAAGTAGCTGGGATTACAGGCTCCTATCACCATGCCTGGCTAATTTTTGTATTTGTAGTACAGATGGGGTTTCACCATGTTGGCCAGGCTGGTCTCAAACTCCTGACCTCAGGCGATCTACCCACCGCTGCCTCCCAAAGTGCTGGGATTACAGGTGTGAGCCACCACACCAGGCCCAGATAAGGTGATTTTGCAATTCAAAAGGAGATCGGGTGCAGTGGCTCACGCCTGTAATCCCAACACTTTGGGAGGCTGAGGTGGGCTGATCACAAGGTCAGGAGATCAAGACCATACTGGCTAACATGGTGAAACCCCGTCTAATAAAAATACAAAAAATTAGCCAGGTGTGGTGGCACGTGCATGTAGCCTCAGCTACTCAGGAGCTGAGGCAGGAGAATCACTTGAACCCAGGAGGTGGAGGTTGCAGTGAGCCGAGATCGCGCCACTGCACTCCAGCCTGGGCAACAGAGTGAGACTCTGTCCCAAAAAACAAAAACAAAACAAAACAAAAAATTCATAAGGAACTGCAAAAGTTCAAGAGTAGCTAACATCATCTTGAAGAAGATCTCCTCTGTCAGGAAGCAAGATTCATTAGAAAGCTAAAATAAGACATTATACTGTTATACTGTATAACAAACATAGACAGACCAATTGATATGGTTTGGCTCCGTGTTCCCACCCAAATCTCACATCAAATTGTAATTCCCAATGTGGGGAGGGACCTGGTGGGAGGTGATTGGATCATGGGGGCAGATTTCCCCCTTGCTGTTCTTGTGATAGTAAGTGAGTTCTCACGAGATCTGGTTGTTGAAAAGTGTGTGGCATATCCCCCTTTGCTCTCTCTTTCCTGCTTTACTATGGTAAGATGTGCTTGCTTCCCCTTCACCTTCTGCCATGATTTTTTCTGAGGCCTCCCCAACCATGCTTCCTGTACAGCCTGTGGAGCTGAGTCAATTAAACTTCTTTTCTTTGTAAACTACTCAGTCTCGGGAAGTTTTTTATAGCAATGTGAGAACAGACTCATACACCAATGGGATAGAGATGGATCTATGGCACATGCACACTTATGGAAAAGGCAGTACTGCAGGACAGTGGGAAAAGGGTACTTATTTCTATTCAATAGCTCCATGGATATCCACATGAAAAAGGAAAAGAAATGTGACCCTACCACACAACATACACAAAAATCAATCTAGATGGTAGATCTAAAGATGAAAGGCAAAACAAGATTGCTTCCAGAAAATAATATAGGAAAATATCTTCATGCTGTCAGGGTAGGGAAACAAACAGAACACAAAAAGTACTGAACATAAAGGAAATGATTGCTAAGTTTGACTGCATTACATTTAGGAACTCCTGTTCATCAAAAGACACCACGAAGAGAATGAAAAGGCAAGCCGAGGAATTGGCGGTAATCGTTGCTGCACATACTAAAGGTCCCATCTCTAGGATGTAGAAAGCATTACCAAAAACTGACATCAAAAACCCAGTAGAAAAATAGACTAAAGTATTGAACATGTTTTCAGTTTTAGCACCAGAGGACAAACAGAAAAAAAAAATTAAATCGACAGGCACTTCAGAAAAGATTTCCAAATGGCCAATAAACATGAAAATGTGCTAAACCTCATTGGTAATCAGCAAAATGCAAATTACAACTACAATGAGACACTATTACTCACCCACCCAGCAGCTAAAATTAAGAAGTCTAACAAGAATTGCTGAGTGTTGATGAGGAAGAGGATCAATGGAAGCTTCCAAAGACTGTGGTGGGAGTATAAATTTATACAACCACTTTGGAAGACTGACATCATCTAGTAAAGTTAAATATGTACATACTCTATGACCAGAAATTCCTCTCTCAGATATTTTTCTCAATGGCAATGTGTAACACTATGAGACTTATACAAAAATGTTCATAATAGCCTCACTTGTAATATTAAAAAAAGAAAACTGTAAACAATGCAGCTGTCCAACAATGATAAAATAGTTAAATACATTATAATATATTCATACAATGGAATACTATATAGCACTGAAAACAATCTGTACTCACTGAAAATGAATGAACTATATGCAACAATATAGATTAATCTCCCAAGTTGCAGAAAAGTACTTAGAGTATATTTCCATTTATTGAAAATGTAAAAATGCAAAAATGCAAAATGAAACAAGCTCGTCCAGGCTGCAAACATATGTGGTAAAACTAAAAGAAAAGTAGACTGATCAATACAGAATTCAGGGACATGGTTACCTCTGAAGGCTAAGGGGCAGGGATGGCACTGGGGAGGGCTAACAGGGGACTTCAGAGGAAATAGTACTGTGTTCTATTTCTTTGCCCAGGTGGTGAGTATATGAGTGTCTATTGTATCATAACTCTTCATACCTTACTTACATTTTATTGATATTCTTTTATACATACTCAATATTTTATTTTGAAAATATTTTTTGAATAAGCTGTAAGCATTCACAAAAGGTGAAAATTGCCTATAATGACATTTTGGCCCTACCCCAGGATTAAACACTCTTCATGATCTGGCAGTTCTCCAAATTTTGTTCTCTGTGCTTGACTAACTCATATATGTGTGTGTGTGCGTGTCTGTGTGTGTATTGGGTAAACTATACATTCATTTTCGCACAGGCAAACAAATGAGCATTCCCCAGATTTGGAGAACTAATGATAAGCATGTCCCTATTAGGCACTTTTGGAAACAGAAACCCTACCCCAGAACCCTTGCTAGCTGTGCAGGGGAGAACGGGCATATTGGAAGATCAGGAGATTTATGGGGCAGTTCCTACTCGGGGACAAGATGCACATTTTTTTTTTTTTTAGTCTGCTTGCATTGTTCTTGTTTGTTTCATAATGTATTGAGTTGATTGAAAGGGCTCAGAGTCTGGTTGAGGAGATACGCATTTGTAAACAAACATCCAAGAATTCCTAGCAAATGAATGTACTCGTTCACCAATGAATCTTTTTTTTTTTTTTTTTTGAGACGGAGTCTTGCTCTGTCACCCAGGCTGGAGTGCAGTGGCACGATCTCAGCTCACTGCAGCTCCATCTCCCCGGGCTCATGCCATTCTCCTGCCTCAGTCTCCCGAGTAGCTGGGACTACAGGCACATGCCACCATGCCTGGATAATTTTTTGTATTTTTTAGTAGAGACGGGGTTTCACCGTGTTAGCCAGGATGGTCTCGATCTCCTGACCTCGTGATCCGCCCACCTCGGCCTCCCAAAGTGCTGGGATTATAGACGTATGCCACCACACCCGGCCTCACCAATGAATCTTAAAAGACAGCACAGGGCGGGTGCAATAGTTCATGCCTGTAATCCCAGCACTTCAGGAAGCCAAAGCAGGCAGATCACTTGAGGTCAGGAGTTCAAGACCAGCCTGACCAACATGGTGAAACCCAGTCTCTACTAAAGATACAAAAATTAGTTGGGCGTGGTGGCAGGTGCTTGTAATCCCAGACACTTGGGAGGCTGAAGCATGAGAATCACTTGAACCTGTGAGATATTGCACTTCAGCCTGGGTGACAGAGTAAGACTCTGTCTCAAAAAAAAAAAAAAAAAAAAAAGCACAGGCTTTAGGAGTGAAAGAGAGAGGTACCTGTGTGTCTTAGGGCTATAGTAGAATGACCTTGGGATTATAACAGAAAATCTGGATTTACCTCTTAGACCTGTGTGATCCTGGAAGAGTCAGATCCACCTTTCTTTTTTTTTTTTCTTTTTTTTTTTTTGAGATGGAGTCTCACTCTGTTGCCCAGGCTGGAGTGCAGTGGCGTGGTCTTGGCTCACTGCAACCTCCGCCTCCCAGGTTCAAGCAATTCCCCTGCCTCTGCCTCCATATAACTGGGATTACCGGTGTGCGCCACAACACCTGGCTAATTTTTGTATTTTTAGTAGAAATGGGGTTTCACCCATGTTTGCCAGGCTGGTCTCAAACTCCTGATCTCAAGTGACCACCCGCCTCGGCCTCCCAAAGTGCTGAGATTACAGATGTGAGCCACCGTGCCCAGCCCAGACTTATGCTTACTCAGGGGGAGTCCGGCTATAATGCAGCCCTCATTTTCCAAGGTGGGTGACCAGAAAGTATCTTGTTTACTCATCAGCAAGAAGGCCTGGGAGGAGCGGAGGGCAGGGGTCTGGGCACGACAAGAAAGGACAGAGGAACTGTGCTTGAGAGAAATCTACCCAAGAAATAGCCACTCACATCCTAAGAAACACAGGGTAGTTTCACTAAAACCTCATCAGTTTGGCATCTCTCTTCCCTTTCCATTTCTTCCTACTGGGTAGTCCAAACTAGAGTTTGTGCTTTGAGTCCTGGCTGAGCTGCCAAGCAATTTGCCTCCGGAAGCCTCTGCTTCCTCATCTCTGTAATGGGTCTGAATCGCCTATTGCCAAATTATGGACGGAGCAAAGCAAAATCAGGTAAGGAATAGCATTTTGTAAACTCGAAAGTGTTAGGCATTACTAGTTCCTTTTCTTCAGGGTAGCCTTTGCAGAACCACTGGAAAAAGAGTTTGCTAAGCAAATGAAGGGTGTCGCCACCTGGGCAGAGGGAAGGTTTTGCCTAGAAAACTATTCTCTGGCATTTCAAAATAAACATTTGACCGCCATCACAAATGATTCTTAAATCATTCTTCCAGGGCCGGGTGCAGTGGCTCACGCCTGTAATCCCAGCACTTTGGGAGGCCGAAGCGGGCAGACAGCTTGAGCCCAGGAGTCCGAGACCAGCCTGGACAACACGGTGAAATCCCCTCTCTACAAAAAAACACAAAAATTAGCTGGGTCTGGTGGCACGTGCCTGTAGTTCCAGCTACTCTGGAGGCTGAAGTGGGAGTTTGATCCCGGGAGGTTGAGGCTGCAGTGAGCCATGATTGAGCCACTGCACCCCAGCCTGGGCCACCAAGCAAGACCCTGTCTCAAAAAAAAAAAAATCATTCTTCCCCTAAGTCACCCAGGAACCCCTGCATGACAGGGCCTCATTTGACCACACCTGGATTGGAATGTCCCACACGTAGTTGGCTCTGAAGAAATGTAAGGCTGCAGGACTGCTCCAGGGCCTCAGCTGGGAACCCCGCCCATCCCTGCCTTGAATGGAACCTGTAATAAGCCTAGTTTCCTAAAGCTCCCGGGGAGGCAGGATCAGTGGTTGAGAGCCAGGCTTTTGTGGCTGCGTTGAGTACTAGTCACAACTCACCGGCTGTGTGCCCTTGGGCAAGTCACTTCATGGTAGCCTCTGCAAGCCTTCCGTTTCTCATCCATACAACAGGGACGGGGAAAGCCCCTCCTCACAGGGTTGCTGTGAGGATTACATGATTCCAAGCACTGAATAATGCCCAGCATTCAGGGAGTCTTCATAAAGTATTGGCTGTCACGCTCAGGGAAGAAAACCAAATCTAACTATGAAAAGCCAGTTTCCTCGGCGTAGCCTCATTGTGAGCTTTGGTGCCAGAGATGGACTCAACTGAATGGTGGCTTTTCTCCGTGAGCATCCTCTGGGCCTGAGAAAGGACAGCTAGAGGGGCCTTTGGCCTACGCCTCAGCGGACTCAGGTTTCGGCTGATACTCGGTGGCAAGTTCCTGAAGAAGAGCCAGTAAGGCTTGTCACAAAGGTCGATGGTAAGCGAGGCCACCCACCCACACCGCTGAAGCTGCCATGAGCTGTGACCCCAGCTGAGAGACCACAGGCGGACCAGCGAGGTTCCTGCGCATGCGCTATGCTGCTCACTTCCCGGCATTGAGGCGCTGCACCCAGCCTCCCCTCCTGGCGGGGACCCTCAGCCCCAGACACAGCCACTAGCCTAGGCATAATTCAGTGTTCCAGCTTACTTAGGAGAGCCCGGGAGTTCATTTCAAAATGTCAAATGATCCTTGGTGACTAATGGCCCCTGCTGTGCTGAATATCTTCACAGAGGCTGTCCTTCCGCACCCCCAGGGCTCTGCACTCCGGAAACATCTATCTTGGTGTCTGTGGCAAGGAGCTGCCATGTCGTCAGATCGCCCAAAAAAGCCAGGGAGCCACAGAACTGCCTAGATCCTGCTGGGGTGAGCACTGGGGAAGTCTTGGCCAGAAGGCATTCTCTAGGAATGGAGGATGGGAACACATAAATTCAACCACCCAGAAAAAATAAGCAGAACGCTGGACAAGTGGATCTCACAGGGTGTACTCAGAAAACAATTGGATTATTTTATCATTTCCCCCTATAGTTTGCCCATTGAAACCTGCTCTGTGAAGATAGCTCTGATCCCACACATGCGTGAATTTCCAGCAGGTTCTATACCTCTCCTGCTCACTCCCAATTTTAAAAAGTCCTGTAGCCACTGTTTAAAATTTTTCATTGTGGAAATTTTCACACATCACCAGAAAAAAGACAATGGTACGGTGGATTGCCGTGTAACCAATCACAGCCATGTTGTTGTTATATGAATTCCCACCTCACCCCAACACATTTTTTTTTCTGGAATTTTTTTTTTTTTTTAATTGAGATGGAGTCTTGCTCTGTCACCAGGCTGGAGTGCAGTGGCGTGATCTCGGCTCACTGCAACCTCTGCCTCCCGGGTTCAAACGATTCCCCTGCTTCAGCCTCCTGAGTAGCTGGGACTACAGGCGCGCACCACCATGCCTGGCTAATTTTTGGTATTTTAGTAGAGGCAGGGTTTTACCATGTTGGCCAGGATGGTCTTGATCTCCTGACCTCGTGATCCGCCCACCTCGGCCTCCCGAAGTGTCAGGATTACAGGCGTGAGCCACCACGCCCAGCCTCTGGAATGTTTTAAAGCAAACCCTCTGATTAATTTTAGAAACACAAACTGCCTTAGTTCAGTAATGAGTAAATCCACACCAGCAGAATGATCCAGGACTCTCAAAACTTCACTTTCAGCTAAAGCTTATGCTGCAGCCTGGGAGCCTGCCTTTCAGCAGGGGGCCTGGGTGGGTGTTGCCTGTGTTCCCCACCTCAAGTTTCTCTTCCTTGCCCTCACAGCTGCCTATGGCTACTTCAGGGTCAAGAGCAGTGGGATAGTGAAGAGGGGCGATGTTCCCACTGGCCCTGACCGGCTAGAGGCAGTGTCAGCTACGAGTCCCAGAGCGGGCTCTTACTCTGTGCTCCCTGGGTCTTGCCTACTCAGAGCTGGCACAGAGCTGACTGCTGGACTGGACAACAGTGCATGAGCTGAGTAAACTGAGCCCGGGATTAAGAGGGGAGTCTGATCGCTGATGGTGGAAACAGATACTGGAGTCCCTCCTTACCTGCAGGGGATATGTTCCAAGCCCCCTAGTGGATGCTTGAAACCACAGGTAGTATGGAACCCTACCATCCTATATAGGGTAGGGTTACTACCCTACTATCCTATAAGGTTTGTTTTTTCCTACACATACATACCTATGGTGAATGTTAATTTATAAATTAGCCACAGTAAGAGATTAACAATAACAATAATAAAATAGAACATTTATAACAATATGCCAATATCACTACTCTTGCACTTTTGGGAGCATTATTAAGGCAAAGAAGAGTTACTGGGACACAAACACTGTGATTCTGTGACAGTGGATCTGATAACTGAGGCGTCTCTAAGTGACTAACTTGGTGGGGAGTGTCGGCAGCATGGACATGCTGGAAAAGGGATGATTCACATCCCGGGCAGGACAGAGCAGGACAGCACAGTATTTCATCATGCTCATCACGCTACTCAGAACAGCCACGATTTAAAACTTACGAATTGTTTATTAGCAGAATTTCCATTTGGTGTTTTTGGACCGAGGCTGACCTCGGGTAACTGAAACTGTGCGTGGATAAGGGGGACTACTGTACTATCTGATTGCTGGGCTGGACAGCAGTGTGTGCCAGGTAAGCTGAGTATGCTGTGGTCGTCTTTCACTATGAAGTTTTTTTTTTTTTTTTTTTTTTTTTGAGACAGAGTCTCTCGCTTTATCACCCACGCTGGAGTGCAGTGGCACGATCTCGGCTCACTGCAACCTCTGCCTCCTGGGTTCAAGTGACTCTTATGCCTCAGCTCCCAAGTAGCTAGGACTACAGGCGTACGCCACCATGCCAGGCTAATTTTTGTATTTCTAGTAGAGATGGGGTCTCAAATTCCTGACCTCAAGTGATCCACCTTGGCTTCCCAAAGTGTTGGGATTACAGGTGTGAGCCACCACATGTGGCCGATGAAGACATTTTCTCAGTGGAAAGAAAAATGTGGCCGAGGGAAGGCAGGGAGAATATGAACTGCTTTACCTACTGGGGGAGATGCAGGATTCTCTTCCTGCTTAGGTAATCTAGCAACTCTCTTGGGAATGTGGCAGTTGCTGGCACTTCTTGCCTTGGAACTGCGCTTTCCGATTTGGTAGCCACTAGCCACAGGTGGCCATGGAGTGCCTGAAATGTGCTGTGAGTGTAAGACACAGACTGGAGTTCCAAAACTTGGGGTGAAAAAGTAATGTAAGATATCCCATTAATATGTTTATATTGATCACATATTGAACTGATATGTTTATATGTTGCATTAAATGAAATGCATTATTAACATTAACTTTACCTATTTATTTTTAATTTTTATTTTTTTAAAATTTTTAATATATTTTTGAGACAGGGTCTGTCTCTGTCACCCAGGCTGGCGTACAGTGGCGTGATCTAACTCACTGCCACCTCTGCCTGCCAGCCTCAAGCAATCCTCCCACCTCAGCCTCCTGAGTAGCTGGGACTACAGGCACCCACCACCACACCCAGCTAATTTTTAATTTTTTTAATGTGACTACTAGAGATTTAAAATTACCTCTGCAGTGCACTCTTAGAGACTCAGCTAAAACCATGAGTGAAGTTATTACCTTTAGAAAAACTCCTTCCCCACCCCCCAAACTTGGTCTTGGAGCCAGTGAAGGTTTGAGCTGGATGAGTGTCTAGTTGGACCCCTTCACATTACAGATGATAGAACTGAGGACTAGAGACGAATGACCTGCTCAGCTTGCAGTCAACCATGTGCACTTAAGCTATGTCAAGCTGTTGCTGAAAAACGGTGGAAAAGGTGGGTGACAAACTTGCAGAAAATGCTTAGTACATTTATATTTCAAAATGAAATCTTTCAGTGTCTCTCACAGAATGACAGCTGAGGGGCGGGAGGGCTGGACTGCGGACCTTCCCCACGGCCTGTGGAAACAGCAGGCCGAGTGCCAGCCGGCACGTGGCTCCAAAGAGGTCTGGGTCTGAGGTCAGTGAACTGGCAGCCTGAGGCTGAAATCTGGCCCTCAGACCTGTTTTGATTGGCCCAAAGTGTTTGAAACTTTCTTGAATCATTTGCCAGCATTTAAACATTGAGAAATGTAAAAATAAATAAATAAATACAGGTTTCTGACTTGTCTTGAAAAGTTTGCCCTGGCGGCGAAAGGCTTGCTTTCCTGCCTGGCCATGGCCTGCTGCTGCCCCCTGGAAGTGGTATCGCCCCCTCCGTCCCCACGGCCCCACTCTGCCCAACCCCTGCCCCCACAGAGGCCTGAAGCAGTTGGCAGCTACAGTCAACTGGGTGTCTAGTCTTCCTTAGAGCCGGATTGAGAAGGCAAGTGGTGTTTTTCATACCTATGTCTCTACCAAAAGGCTAGGAAATCTAAGCTAAGCCAAAAGAGCTTCAGGTTTCAAGGAAAGAAATCTAGGAGTTCAAGACTAGCCTGGCCAACATGGTGAAACTCATCTCTACTAAAAATAGAAAAAAATTAGCCAGGCAGGCGGCGCGCACCTGTAATCTCAGCTACTCTGGAGGCTGACAGGAGAATCACTTGAACCCGGGAGGCAGAGGTTGCAGTGAGCCAAGATCGTGCCACTGCACTCCAGCCTGGGCGACAGAGCAAGACTCCGCCTCAGAAAAAAAAAAAAAGAAAAAGAAAAGAAATCTATTCTCTTTTTAACCCAGCTGCTTTCCCCATTTGCTCATTGGAGGCACCTGAGTTTGCCATCCTGATCTGACTTTTTTTGTTGCATCCTATGATGAAAGGGAAGGTGGTTCTTGTACCCAGCTCCCATGGGGAAACTGAGGCACTGAGAAGTTGCCATCCACCAAATACAAGGACCTGGCTCTAGTGCGATACCGAGGGTGAGGGTGTCCTGAGATCTGGGGCTTCTTCCCAGCTTTCTAATATTTCAGGGCCAAGTAACCAGGGTCTGCCCGGCCTGGGGGGCAGAATCCAGTTCAGTCAGCCACACCATGGCTGTTCCCAGGAGCCACAACCAGGCCCAGAAAAGAAAGGGATACAGTTTAAGCTAAACCAATGACAGGAGACATTCGAGAGAGCAGTGGCCTCTAACAAATGTTCACCTGCTCCTTTTCCCGCTGCTGGGACATCCTCTGTCCCTAATGGCACCCTACCTTTGGGGTCCTGGAGTACAGTCCTGTTTCCCAGGGTGTCTGGGGCCAGCCACACCCAGATGCTGCCAGCTTTCAGAACAGGCAAGGCAGGGTGCCAAGCAAGGGTGGGACCCAGACTGGAACTGGGCAGCCTCCACAGCCAGGGGCGTCTCTCAGCTTTCCACTGAAGGCCTTGGAAGCTCTTAATTGCCCCAAGAGACTTCGGGATTTTATCTTATTTGCAAATGGACAGGCAGTACAGGGCAGGCTGGACAGGGCAGGCTCCCTCTGCAGGGGAGGGAATTCGGCTTTAGTTATAACTAAGGCTGCCTATATTGTTAAAAAATTAGTCCACTTCAAGAAATGTGGTTACAAGAGTGTGGGAAGGGTAAAAGGGAGGGGAGGGTGGAGAGAGGTTGGTTAATGAATACAAAGTTGCAGTGACATAAGAGCAAGTTCTAATGTTCTATAGCACTGCAGGATGACTAGAATTAACAATAATTTATGTTTTCAAATAGCTAGAAAAGAGGATTTTGAACGTTTCCAACACAAAGAAATAATGGGTGTTGAGGTGATGGATGTGCTAATTACCCTCATTTGTTCATTACACATTTTAGACATGTATGGAAGTATCACTCAGTACCTCATAAACATGTGCAATTATTACATGTCAACTACAAATTTTAAAGCAACAAGAAAAGAACAGTTAGTCTACTTTATTGGGAGGAAATGGGACAAGAGCAGAGCAGGAGATGCCCCTAGCTGCTAACAGAAACCCATTGAGATCTGTTCCCAAAACTGATTAACCAACATGAAACAGATACTTGCCTACTAGCCTGGACTGCAGAGCAATGCTTGGTAAGTGGCAAGGGAGGTGAGTCCTTCGTTTTACTAGGAAGTGAGTGGGAAGACAGATTTAGGGTGAGGGAGGTGGCTGGACCAGGTGAGCCTCTGCCTGCAGGATTCTCATTTGCCTGTTGTTTGGCAATCACAGTATTCGCACATCTATTTGCTTGTTTGTTTGGGATTTTTCCCTTTGTTTGTTTGTTTTTTTAAAGTATTATGTACCGATACAGAAAGAAAAAGTAATAAAAAGGGGGGGATGGGCAAAAACTGCCTTTGGTATGCTGAGTTTATGTTCGAATGAGGGGAAATAATATGGTTCAGGGGCCGGGTGCAGTGGCTCATATCTGTATTCCCAGCACTTCGAGTGGCTGAAAGGGGAGGATTGCTTGATCCCAGGAGTTTGAGACCAGCCTGGGAAATACAGTGAGACCCCCCGTATCTACTTTAAAAAAAAACTTAGCCAAGTGTGGTTGCACATGCCTGTAGTCCCAGCTACTCTGGAGGCTGAGGCAAAACGATCACTTGAGCCTGGGAGATTGAGGATGCATGGAGCCATGGTAGCACCACTGTACTCCAGACTGGGTAACAAAGTGAGACCTTGTCTCAAAAAATATATATATATATACATATATACATGTATGTATATATGTATATATACACATGTATGTATATATGTATATATACACATGTATGTATGTATACACATGTATGTATGTATGTATACACATGTATGTATGTATACACATGTATGTATGTATATACACATGTATGTATATATACATGTATGTATATATATGTATGTATATACATGTATGTATGTATATATATGTATGTATATACATGTATGTATATACATGTATGTATGTGTGTATATACATGTATGTATGTATGTGTGTATATACATGTATGTATGTGTGTATATACATGTATGTATGTATGTGTGTATATACATGTATGTATGTGTGTATATACATGTATGTATATGTGTGCGTATACATGTATGTATATGTGTGCGTATACATGTATGTATGTGTGTGCGTATACATGTATGTATGTGTGTGCGTATACATGTATGTATGTGTGTGCGTATACATGTATGTATGTGTGTGCGTATACATGTATGTATATGTGTGCGTATACATGTATGTATATATGTGTGCGTATACATGTATGTATATATGTGTGCGTATACATGTATGTGTATATGTGTGCGTATACATGTATGTGTATGTGTGTGCGTATACATGTATGTGTATGTGTGTGCGTATACATGTATGTATATGTGTGCGTATACATGTATGTATATGTGTGCGTATACATGTATGTATGTGTGTATACATGTATGTATGTGTGTATATACATGTATGTATGTATGTGTATATATGTATGTATATATGTGTATATATGTATGTATATATGTGTATATATGTATGTATATATGTATGTATATATGTGTGTATATATGTATGTGTATATATATGTATGTGTATGTGTGTGTGTATATATATATATAGTTCAGAGTTGCTTATATTTGCATCAAGAAAATGCGGAAGGATGGCCAGGCATGGTGGCTCATGCCTGTAATCCCAGCACTTTGGGAGGCTGAAGTGGGTGGATCGCCTGAAGTCAGGAGTTTGAGACCAGCCTGGCCAACAAGGTGAAACTCCGTCTCTACAAAAAATACAAAAATTAGCCACATGTGGTGGCAGGCGCCTGTAATCCCAGCTACTTGGGAGGCTGAGGCAGGAGAATTGCTTGAACCCAGGAGGCGGAGCTTGCAGTGAGCCGAGATCACGCCACTGCACTCCAGCCTGGGCGACAGAGCGAGACTCAGTATCAAAAAAAAAAGGAAAGAAAAGTGTGGTTGTTGGGAACCAGGAGATGGGGACAGTTTACAAAGAATGTCATCTCAAGTTATACATTTAAAAACTAAAAAAAAAGTACCACAAGCAACTTCATGAAGAGTTTGAAGAGCAAAAGACGAAAACTCACCCTTAATCCTACGGTCATAAAAGCATGATACGGTGTGTTCATTTTGACATATTCTGTTCCTGTTTTTATCCAGATATTCGTATTTTATATATAGGTACAGACATGGAGCACATAAAACTGTCTCCTAATTGTTTCACTGACCATCCGAAGTATTTCCTATGTTGTTATGTTGGATTCATTTTGGCTGGCTGAATAAAATTCCACCAACTTTTTTTTTTTTTTTTTTTCGAGTCAGGTCTCCCTCTGTTGCCTAGGCTGGAACGCAGTGGCACAATCATAGCTCACTGCAGCCTCGAACTCCTGGCCTCAAGCAATCCTTTGCCTCAGCCTCCTGAGTAGCTAGGACTATAGGCGTGAGCCACTTGCCGGGTGAACTTTCTCATTTCAAAAGGCCAATGGTGCCTTTAAGACTCCTCCCCTACGCAAGGGATTACGCATGCACCTGGAGGTGGGACTATGGGCCTCTCTTTCCACCCTGAGCTCAGAGTGAGGGGCGAGACCCAGATGGATGAGTCTGAAGCTTATCACTTAGCACAGTTATGGCTGCAACTGGGATTGATGGGAGAACAGAACAGACCCTCTTCTCTCAGTGCACAGGCAGAAATAGAGGCAGCTGTCCCACCCTTCCCCAAGGGCAACTGGGATTTGTTCATTCACCTAGCACTGCCTGAGTCCCCACAGAATGGTATAATTTCCCCCCACGGCTAAGTGTTCTCCAGTATTTGTTTACTTTTTAGTTTGAAATAAATATAGATTGCAAGTTACAAAAATAGTATAGCGAGGTTCCATGTAACCTTCACCCCCTCTATGCCCAGTGGTTACTTCTTACACAAGTACAGTACAACAGCATCCCAGGAAATTGACATTGATACAATGTGTGTATAGTGCTGTGCTATTTCTTCAGTGTGCAGCTTCCTGTACCCACCACCCATCAAGATAACTATTCCAGCCCACAAAGATCTCCCGCGTGCTACCCTACCCACCCCCACCATCCCTAACTAGCAATTCGTAATCTCTTCTCCCCCCTTTAATTTTCTCATTTCAAGAATGTTATATAAATGGAATCATACAATAGGTGACGTTTTGAGATTGGCTTTTTGGGGACTATTACAAATGAAACTATTATGAACATTTATGTATAGGTTTTTATGTGGATGTAAGCTTCCATTTCTCTGAGATAAATACCCAGGAATGGCATTGTTGAGTCATACGGGAAGTGTCTGCTTAATTTTTTAAGAAACTGCCAAACTGTTTTCCTGAGTGTCAGTACCATTTTATATTCCCACCAATAACGGATGAGCGATCCAGCCTCTCCACATCCTTGCCAGCATTTGATATTGAGCATATGACACACATGAGCCAATCAGATCCTCCCCTGGACTTTTTTTTTTTTTTTTTTTTGAGACAGGATCTCACTCTATCACCCAGGCTGGAGTGCAGCGGCATGACTGTAACTCATTGCAGCCTCAAATTCCTGGGCTTAGCAATCCTCCTGCCTCAGCCTTCCAAACAGCTAGGACTACAGGGATGCACCACCATGCCGGGCTAATTTTTACAAATATACTATTTTATTCTAAGGGAATATTTCTGTGGTTTCTGCAAGGGGAAAACCTAAAAGTGGTTAAAAACCAAAAAATAAAAGAAAGGATGATTTAGATGTTTCTCTTTTTGTTTGTTTGATGTTTTTTTCTCCCCTGAGGGAAAAATATTTAATTTTACACAATTTTTGTGAAATTAAAAAAGCAATAATCAGACACACACATCAACAGCTACACTTACAAGGAATGACCAATAATTATCAATATTTTCTCTTGTGAATAAATGTAGGGTTCTGGGCAACTCTGTGGACTAACATGCAAATGAAATCCTGATACAGTCATTTATCTGGGTATTGCTTGTTCTCAGTTAAAAGATATACTTTTTTTTCTTTCTGGTATTTCATAACAATTTATCTACCATGCTAACAATATTTGTTTTTTCATACCACTACAGAAGGGGAAAATGTTAGTGTTTATACAAAACATAAGATTCGTATAGTGGGGACTATTACATCTGCTGTTTCTGGATAGTTTATTAGCAGACTTATCAGACAATCCAATTATTTGTCCTCCATATCAAACAAGGTATGGAAGTAAGTTTTCCGGGCAGAAAGGACAAACACAGATGGAATTAATCATACAGAATCGGGGCAGATTTACTTCTTTCATACAGTTCTTGGTAACAAAAATGAGATTTGTTACAGACACAGGGACAGAACCAGCAAGTACAGAATGTCAAAAGGCCTACTTTTTCATTTGAATTTGACCTAAATGCCTTTTATTTGTTAAAAAAAGAAATACATCTGTCACCCCTACCTAAAAAATGAGATATCCTGAAATGTCTTTCAAGATTAAAACTTCTAAGAGGCTTTTTGACATCTCTCAATTTTATCATAGCATCAAATTAACCTTAGCTAAAGAAGTTCTGCAATTGGCAAACGTCATATAAAAGCTTTGATTCAAAATTTTGTGGGGAAGAAACTGCCAATGGAGATGAGGGAGATGGACTGATATGCCACACACACCTATGATTTGCAATCCTCATAGAACTACTGAAACAGCTAGAGTTCGGAATAATGCTCTAAGACCTGCTTATGGATATGCAAGACAATGTCTTTGTATCCTCACCCCAGAATCCCTATTTTCAAGTTTCATTGGGCAACAAGGTCATCTTCCAAATGCTTTGTATAGGAACCTACTAGGACCTTTTCTGCCATAATTCAGATAGCTAAGTAATACCGTACATTTGTGGAATCACTCACAGGTTTGCCAGGAAAGAGACTCTTCTTTTTGAAATAACAAGGGTCTCCAGAAACTGGTGCAAAAGACAAAATAAGAGGAATTGTTTGGGAAGTAGGAAGGTAAAACAATGGGAGAAAAGCTGCCATTGGGGAAAAAATGAAAATAAAGGGAGAACCCCCATTTCTGTGTACTACAGCTCAGGCTGTGAGACAGCAGCAATAAAGGCCCACACCCAGAGACGCGGGCATTTTAGTGGGTTTCTACAAACATTTCAAGACACCTTGGGGTCTGATAGGCTCCACGATTTTCTGTGTGCATAGTTTGTGGAATATCATCCCCTTTACCTTAGTTTACCCACATCCGGACCCACCGCTGAGAAGGCTTGACCCAGAAAATGAAAGGGACACATTACTGTTAACAGCAGTGAAGGTCATTTTCCCTGATGTGAGGGGCCCATGGCAAAAGCTTCTGTCCTTCACATGATTGGCTTGGTGGTGAAAATCAAAATCAATGAAGACCACTTCACTATCTTTTTTAAAAAGTTGAGTATTGTTATTGGGTTTTCAAATCTGGCTCCCACAGTCCTCATTTGATGTCACTCTTCGCTCTGTACTGAGCTCTCCTCTGACTTTTATGGAGGGCTTGCCTAAGTAGCCTATTGCAGACATCAGGCTAATTTTTTTAAAAAACTTTTTGTAGACACAAGGGATCTCCTTGCTATGTTGCCCAGGCTGATCTCGGACTCCTGGCATCAAGCAATCCTCCTCCCTCAGCCTCCCAAAGTGCTGGGATTATAGGCGTGAGCCACTATCCCCAGCCAAGAGAGTCAAATTCTTAACTGAGGTGGCTAATTGTGAAGTGTGTTAAGTATGACTTCTTGTTTTCTATATTTTTGATACTTTGACATCTGGAGCCTTGCTGACCTTGAAGAGACTGCCCTCCCAGGGATAGCTAATTCCTAGAAATAGCAAAAGATTCTCCTGCTGGTGTGCCTTTCACATGCACATGAACCAGTCCAGACCCTGTACTCCCCAGCAGCCTCCTTTATTGGGCTCTCACACTTGGGGCACTACTGACCTGCCCTGCTCACCCAGGCCCAGAAGATACAGACAGGAGACAGGGAAATACTGGGTAGAAGAGGGCAGTCCCCCAGCAAAGGCCCCACCCTGAAGCCTGGATACCTGTGGCCCTAAATGGAAACAGGCATTCCTGTTTTCACGCCCAAAAATTTGTCTTTGTGGCCCGCCATACCCCACTATCCTGTACCCATATAAACCCCAGATCCTAGGCTCCAAAAGGAGATGAGAAGACGAACAGAAGAACAGAAGAACGGCAGAAGGGTGTGACAGAGAGGAGAAAAGGAGCGTCTGAACGCCAAGAGGAGTTCAGTTGGGGGCGGTTAGAGAGGAGTTTGGCTGCTGGATGACCAAAATCCAGGAGATCATTTTCCCACTCCATTCTCTTTCTAGCTCCCCATTCATCCTGCTGAGAGCCACCTCCACCATCCAATAAAACCCCTGCATTCACCACCCTTCAAGTTCATGTGTGACCTGATTCTTCCAGGACAATGGACAAGAGCTTGGGATATAGAAACCTGTGACACTGGCCCTCTGCCCTTGTGAAAAGCAGAGGGTCCACTGAACTGGTTAACACTTAAGCCATCCATGGAGGCCAAAGCTAAAAGAGCACACTGTAACACATGCTCCTGAGCCTGCCTGTCTGCGTGCTCCCCCTCCCATAGGGGTTTCAGCGTACTGTGACCAAACACACAAGCCACACCGCTGTCACACATCCTCAAGAGGGGTCAGGGAACTCTCCCATTTCACAGACATCAGACAATTAGGGCAGCCCCTACATCCCAGAACCTGCTGAAATTATTCAAGCTGGCCAATCCTACACCTGCTAAACCTGCTTACCTACCTTGCCCCTTCCTTCCCATGAAAATCACAATGACGGCTCTTGCCCACATTTTCCCCTTACATCCTCTGCCTCCTGGCCAACTCCTGCTTCCCCAGGTGGCCCTCTGTGGTGCAGTGTGACCCCTCCTCTTGGGAACTGTGGGTAACAATCTCTTCAACGGCAGCTGTCTCCTGACCTGTTGGCCTCACCATACCTGATACTAATAATAAAACCTGCATTTTATTTTATTTTTTTATTTATATTTATTTATTTGTTTATTTTTGAGATGGAGTCTCCTTCTGTCTCCAGGCTGGAAGTGCAGTGGCGCGACCTCAACACTCCAAGCTCTGCGGAGCTCCACCAAACCCTGCAAGCCCTGCCTGTCAGGTTCAAGTGATTTTCCTGCCTCAGCCTCCTGAGTAGCTGGGACTACAGGCTACAGGCATGCGCCACCATGCCCAGCTAATTTTTGTATTTTCAGTAGTGACGGGGTTTCACCATGTTGGCCAGGATGGTCTCCATCTCTTGACCTTGTGATCCACCATCCTCAGCCTCCCAAAGTGCTGGGATTACAGGCGTGAGCCACGGTGCCCAGCCAGAAAACCTGCATTTTAAAACACGAGGACCATGTGAGCCTGTAGTTGCTGGTGGCCACCTTACCCCACATGAAGAGAATGAACCCAAAGAATGCTGAGAATGAACCCAAAGAAACCTAGAGGATCTCAGCACTTTGGGAGGCTGAGGTGGGAGGATCCCTTGAGCCCAGGAGTTCAAGACCAGCCTGGACAACATGGTGAGACCCCCATCTCTACAAAAAAATAAAATAAATTTAGCCAGGTGTGGTGTACATGCCTGTGGTCCCAGCTACTCAGGAGGGTGAGGTGGGAGTGACACTGAAATGCTGGAAAGGGAAGAGCGTGGCCCCTTTAAATGATATGGAAAAGGGGAAAGGAAGTGCTGGGTAGAGGAGAGTTGTGGTCCCTGGCTAGGGCTCCACCCCCACGGACCTAGGTGAGGACAGGCATTTTTCTGCCCAAATGTTGCATTCCCCAAGACTACCCTGGCCTGCCACGCCCACATCTTGGGCCTATAAAAACCCATGACCCCCTAGAGGGCAGACACAGAAGCAGCTGGAAGTCGGGAGGAATACATTGGAGGAAAAAGACAAGCAGCTGGTCTTTGAGACCCGAGAGCCCACCACCCGGCAGGAAGGCAGGCAGACCGGCCATGAATCAGCGAAATGATGCGGAGTTTGGATGGGGCCGTTGGAAGGGAGCTGGGGCCACTGAGCAGCCAAACTCCAGGGGAAAACCATCTCCCTTCTGGCTCCCCCATTGGCTGAAAGCTACTTCTACTCAGTAAAACTTTGCACTTATTCTCCAAGCTCACCTGTGATCTGAATCTTCCAGTACACCAAGGCAAGAACCCGGGATACAGAAAACCCTCTATCCTTGGGACAAGGTAGAGGGTCTAATTGAGCTGTTTAACACAAACCGCCTATAGAGGGCAAACTAAAAGACCCTGTAACACACGTCCACTGGGACTTCAGGAGCTGTAAACATTCACCCCTAGACACTGCAGTGGGGTTGGAGCCCCACAGCCTGCCCGTCTGTATGCTCCCCTAAAGATTTGAGCAGCGAGGCACTGGAGAACCGAGCCACTCCACATGTCGCACACCCTGCGAGGGGGACAGGAGAACCTTTCCCGTTTCAGGAGGATCGCTTGAGCCCAGGACTTCAAGGCTGCAGTGAGCCATGATTGTGCCACTGCACTCTAGCCTGGGTGACAGAGTGAGACCCCGTCAAGAAAGAAAAGAGAGGGGAGGGAGGGAGGGAGAGATGGAGGGAAAGGAAGGAAAAGGAATGAAGGGAAGGAAAGAACACAGAAGAGACAGTGTCCTAATGGAGTCATTTCAGGTTCTACCAATCCCAGACGCCTTAGCTACATGAATAAGTACATTTTTTGGGCGGGGGAGTAGGCTTAAACTATTTTGAGTTGGATTGTCTATCCCTAGCACCCTGACTGGGGTGCAGACGGTCTGTGTGGACTACCCAGGTGCTGCGCTGTGGTCAGACTCAGCCCCCAGGAGTGCTGTGGGACCATCCTGACTGTGCCTCACCGGCAAAGAAAGGACTGGGCTGTTGGGGGCAGGAGGCCCTGGTGGGAGCGTCCACTCAGGTGCCGGTTGGGAGAGTAGCTCTCTGCGCTGTCTCCTCACCTTAAAGGGAAGCAGTCAGGCTGGATGTTCCCATGGGCTCTCCCCTGTTCTTTTCCCCAATTTTCTGCAAGTTTTTGTTTCAAAGTAAAAATAATACTAAAATAGAGCACTTACTACAAGTCGGGCACTGTGCTGAGATTCATACACAGGGATTCCTTGGAGCCTCATAACAACTCTGTGAGGGGTGATGGCCGTCCGGTTGCACAGATAGGGAGCCAGAGGCACCCATGGATGGAGGCCCAGCCTGCCTGGTGATCCTGCCGATGGGCGCTGCAGAGCTGCTCGGCGTCCCTCTCCAGCGCTTCCATCTGCGGGAAATTCACCTGTAGTCTCATCCAAATCCTCATTTTCCTTCTTCCAGTCCTTCCTTCAGTCTTAACTCTCCCAGGCTTAATCATTAAAGAAAGCCTTTTTAGACTGTCCTCGAGAGTGTTAGCTTGTTATTTAAAACAGTTTCTTCTAAGTTCCCTCCCACATTCCCCCTCATGGAATTCCAAACTGGGCATATGGTAGGGGAGGTTCATGCTGGGGAACAGGTCAGGCAGAGGACCGCGGCAAGGGCGAGCAGTGGCACCTTACAGTGTTCCCAAAGGCCAGGCAGCAGGGCCTTGGGACAAGACAGCACCAGGAGGGCGGGGCTAGACTCTGGAATGATGCTGGGGCAGAACGACTTGAAGACCCAGGTGTCGGGGTTGCATCTGTCTCCCATTTGTGAATAGTCCTGTGATGGGTGTTCTTTTCATCCTCCCCTCAATCGCATATAGTTTTCCTTCCCCACCATCAAGACCACCAGCAGGCCGAGGCGGGAGGCTTGCACCAGACCAGGAGGTTGAGGCTGCAGTGAGCTGTGATCGCACCACTGCACTCCAGTTCATTAGATGCCATTTTTCTAACGTTCTTGTCCCCCAGCATGTCCAAAAATACATTCTCCTGGCAAGCCCCCTGCACTTTGACTCTCACCATGAAATTCCTTCCCATTTCCATAATGATGTATCCTTAACATGTTGAGGGGTGGAGAGCCTCCCTCCTGAGTCACAGGTCCTCTGATCCCATTCACATGCAGACTTCTAGGGCACTTCCCTTTCAAAACCGTTGAATTTTTAGGAAACTGAAACCCAGAGAGACTTAAGATCCGTGTACCTCACTTTTCTCAGTTGTAAAACAGTGATAATATCCCCCCAAAGACTCTGAGAATTAAATGAGTAATGACATGTAAAGTACTTAGAATAGTGCCTGGCACAGGTTAGTGCTAGGTGTGAGCTGTTGTTGCCTTTAATTATTTTTGTTCCTCCTGGGCCTGGCTCTAGAATTTCCCCTTTGGCTCCTGATGCTGGGGGCTCCCCCAGCCTTTCAGTAACAGGGGCTGTTGGGGAGCTGAGCCTGGGTGCGGGGTGAGGACTGAGGAACAACTTTCCCAGCGATTCTCTGGGAGGTGCTCCCTGAGCACCAGGGGCTGCTGTCCCCTAGGCCCCTGAAGGGGACGGGGTCCAGGAGGCCTGAGGCCCGCAGGGTCAGGTGGGGCCTCTGTCCTGGGGAGGCGGACTCCCCCACCTGCGGATTCTGGGTGGGTGAGGTCCTGGCGTGGTCCCTCTGCAAGACCGAGGCTCTTGAGGCCATAAATCGACAGCGGTCACAGTGAGAGGTGACAGCGTGCTGGCAGCCCTCGCAGCCCTCGCTCACACTTGGTGCCTCCTCTGCCTGGGCGCCCACTCTGGTGGCACTTGAGGAGCCCTTCAGCCTGCCGCTCCACTGTGGGAACCCCTTCCTGGGCTGGCTGAGGCCAGAGCCGGCTCCCTCAGCTTGCAGGGAGGTGTGGCCGGAAAGGCACGGGTGGGAACCGGGGCTGCCCGCAGCGCTTGCAGGCCAGCGTGAGTTCCGGGTGGGGGTGGGCTCAGCGGGCCCCGCACTCCAAGCGGCCTGCGGGCCCTTCTGGCCTGGGCAGTGAGGGGCTTAGCACCTGGGCCAGCAGCTGCTGTGCTCAATTTCTTACCAGGCCT
The DNA here is from genome assembly GCF_000001405.40 of Homo sapiens. Classification (NCBI taxonomy): domain Eukaryota; kingdom Metazoa; phylum Chordata; class Mammalia; order Primates; family Hominidae; genus Homo; species Homo sapiens. Next base: position 51,121,121 of record NC_000018.10, on the reverse strand, counting down.
TACCTGCCTCCCCACAGGGCAGGGCTCGGGACCTGCAGGCCACCATACCTGAGCCTTCCCCCACCCCGCACCTTGGGCTCCTGCGTGGCCCGAGCCTCCCCTACGAGTGCCGCCCCCTGCTCCAAGGCGCCGGGTCCCATCAACTGTGGAATGCAGGCATACGGCACAGGACTGGCAGGCAGCTCCACCTGTGGCCCAGTGCGGGATCTACTGTGTGAAGCCAGCTGGGCTCCTGAGTCTGGTAGGGACTTAGAGAACCTTTATGTCTAGCTAGGAGATTGTAAATACACCAATCAGCACTCTGTATCTAGCTCAAGGTTTGTAAACACACCAATCAGCACCCTGTGTCTAGCTCAGGGTTTGTGAATGCACCAATCAGCACTCTGTATCTAGATAATCTGATGGGGACTTGGAGAACCTTTATGTCTAGTTAAGGGATTGTGAATGCACCAATCGGCACTCTGTATCTAGCTCACGGTTTGTAAATGCACCAATCAGCACTCTGTGTCTAGCTCAGGGTTTATAAATACACCAATCGACACTCTGTATCTAGCTAATCTAGTGGGGACATGGAGAATTTTTGTGTCTAGCTCAGGGATTGTAAACGCACCAATCAGCACCTTGTCAAAACGGACCAATCAGCTCTCTGTAAAACAGACCAATTGGCTCTCTGTAAAATGGACCAATCAGCAGGATGTGGGTGGGGCCAGATAAGAGAATAAAAGCAGGTTGCCTAAGCCAACAGTGGCAACCCACTTGGGTCCCCTTCCACACTGTGGAGGCTTTGTTCTTCCGCTCTTTGCAATAAGCAGCTTCACTCCTGAGCCAGCAAGACCATGAACCCACCAGAAGGAAGAAACTCCGAACACATCTGAACATCAGAAGGAACTAACTCCGGACACACCGCCTTTAAGAACTGTAACACTCACTGCGAGGGTCCGCGGCTTCATTCTTAAAGTCAGTGAGACCAAGAACCCACCAATTCCAGACACATTTTGGCGACCACAAAGGGACTATCGCCTATCGCCAAGCGGTGAGACTATCGCCGAGTGGTGAGACCATCGCCTATCGCTGAGCAGCAAGACTATCACCTATCGCCAAGCAGTGAGTACCATCAGACCCCTTTTGCTTGCTATTCTGTCCTATTTTTCCTTAGAATGCGGGGGCTAAATACTGGGCACCTGTTGGCCAGTTAAAAGTGACTAGCGCAGCTGCCAGACTAAAGACACAGGTGTCAGGCTTTCTGGGAAAGGGCTAACAACCCCCAACTCTTCGGAGTTGGGACCATTGGTTTGCCTAGAAGCAGCTTCCGCTTTTCCTGTACTTCCAGGCTGAGCCAAGCGTCGACAGAGAGGAAAGCCATGCAGCTCCGGGGTCCCAACAACAAATTGGTTGACCCTGCGGCCATGAGCGGAACTCTCAAAGGCATGTTGCCCAAGCGAGATTCGCCCATCTGTCCTATCTATCCTGACCCTTGCCCCTTGGGTCCTAATGCTTGCCAGACAAACTTCCTCTTGCCTCTCTTCTCTGAGGTTATTCCGGCTTCTAAAAATTGCTGCCTGTCTCTGGCGCTTTTCTAGTTTCTCCCATAAGAATGATTTCTAGTATAAACTCCAGGACTGTTACCCTCTTTAGGCACCCAGGCTCACCAATCAGAAAGACACAATTTTTGCCCAAAGCCCCATCATAGTGGGGACTACCTGGAATTTTAGGATCCCTCCTCAGACTAACAGGCCTAACAAAAGCTATTCCTTAAGCTAAGATATGGGGAGCCTCAGAAATTGTATCCTTCCTATTCATATAAGTGAAGACAAAAGGTGTCACTCTTCCAACCCTGGAGATCCCTTCCCTCCCTCAGGGTATGGCCCTCCACTTAATTTTTGGGGCATAACATCTTTATAGGACGGGGTAAGTTCCCAATACTAATAGGAGAATGCTTAAGACTCTTAACAGATTTTCGAGAATGCATCGGTAAGGGCCACTAAATCCGATTTTTCTCGGTCGGTCCTCCTTGTGGTCTAGGAGGACAGGCAAGGGTGCAGGTTTTCGAGAATGCGTCAGTAAGGGCCACTAAATCTGACCTTCCTCAGTTCTCCATGTGGTCTGGGAGGAAAACTAGTGTTTCTGCTGCTGCATTGGTGAGTGCAACTATTCCGACCAGCAGGGTCCAGGGACCGTTGCGGGTTCTTGGGCAGGGGCTGTTTCTGCTAATGCATCGGTGAGCACAAGTACTGCAATCAGCAGGGTCCAGGGACCATTGCGGGTTCTTGGGCAGGGGGAGAAACAAAACAAACCAAAACCGTGGGCAGTTTTGTCTTTCAGATGGGAAACACTCAGGCATCAACAGGCTCACCCTTGAAATGCATCCTAAGCCACTGGGACCAATTTGACCCACAAACCCTGAAAAAGAGGTGGCTCATTTTTTTTTTTTCTGCACTAGGGCTTGGCCCCAATATTCTCTCTCTGATGGGGAAAAATGGCCACCTGAGGGAAGTACAAATTACAATACTATCCTGCAGCTTGACCTTTTCTGTAAGAGGGAAGGCAAATGGAGTGAAATACCTTATATCCAAGCTTTCTTTTCATTGAAGGAGAATACACAACTATGCAAAGCTTACAATTTACATCCCACAGGAGGACCTCTCAGCTTACCCCCACATCCTAGCCTCCCTATAGCTCCCCTTCCTATTAATGATAGTCCTCCTCTAATCTCCCCTGCCCAGAAGGAAATAAGCAAAGAAATCTCCAAAGGACCACAAAAACCCCCGGGCTATCCATTATGTCCCCTTCAAACTGTAGGGAGAGGGGAATTTGGCCCAACCCGGGTACATGTCCCCTTCTCCCTCTCTGATTTAAAGCAGATCAAGGCAGACCTGGGGAAGTTTTCAGATGATCCCGATAGGTACATAGATGTCCTACAGGGTCTAGGGCAAACCTTCGACCTTGCTTGGAGAGATGTCATGCTACTGTTAGATCAAACCCTGGCCTTTAATGAAAAGAATGTGGCTGCTCTCCCTCTCCCTCTCCCTCTCCCTGTCCCTGTCCTCTCTGCATGGTCTCCCTCTGATGCCGAGCCGAGGCTGGACTGTACTGCTGCCATCTCGACTCACTGCAACCTCCCTGCCTGATTCTCCTGCCTCAGCCTGCCGAGTGCCTGGGATTGCAGGCGCACACCACCATGCCTGACTGGTTTTCGTATTTTTTGGTGGAGACGGGGTTTTGCCATGTTGGCCAGGCTGGTCTACAGCTCCTGACCGAGAGTGATCTGCCAGCCTCGGCCTCCCAAGGTGCTGGGATTGCAGACGGAGTCTCGCTCACTCAGTGCTCAATGTTGCCCAGGCTGGAGTGCAGTGGCGTGATCTCGGCTCGCTACAACCTCCACCTCCCAGCCGCCTGCCTTGGCCTCCCAAAGTGCTGAGATTGCAGCCTCTGCCCGGCTGCCACCCCGTCTAGGAAGTGAGGAGCATCTCTGCCTGGCCGACCATTGTCTGGGATGTGAGGAGCCCCTCTGCCCGGTCACCCAGTCTGGGAAGTGAGGAGCGCCTCTTCCCGGCCGTTATCCCATCTAAGAAGTGAGGAGCGTCTCTGCCTGGCCGCCCATTGTCTGCGATGTGGGGAGCGCCTCTGCCCCACCGCCCCGTCTGAGATGTGAAGAGCACCTCTGCCCGGCCATGACGCCGTCTGGGAACTGAGGAGTGTCTCTGCCCCACCACCACCCCGTCTGGGAGGTGAGGAGCGTCTCTGACCGGCCGCCCCATCTGAGAAGTGAGGAGTCCCTCCGCCCAGCAGCCGCCCCGTCTGGGAAGTGAGGAGCGTCTCTGCCCAGCAGCTGCCCTGTCCGGGAGGTGGGGGGCAGCCCCCACCCAGCCAGCCGCCCCGTCCGGGAGGTGGGGGGCAGCCCCCACCCGGCCAGCCACCCCGTCCGGGAGGTGGGGGGCGAACCCCGCCCGGCCGCCACCCCGTCTGGGAGGTGGGGGGCACCTCTGCCCGGCCGCCCCATCTGGGAAGTGAGGAACCCCTCTGCCCAGCCGCCACCCTGTCTGGGAGGTGTACCCAACAGCTCATTGAGAACGGGCCATGATGACGATGGCGGTTTTGTCAAATAGAAAAGGGGGAAATGTGGGGAAAAGAAAGAGAGATCAGATTGTTACTGTGTCTGTGTAGAAAGAAGTAGACATAGGAGACTCCATTTTGTTCTGTACTAAGAAAAATTCTTCTGCCTTGGGATGCTGTTAATCTATAACCTTACCCCCAACCCCGTGCTCTCTGAAACATGTGCTGTGTCCACTAAGGGTTAAATGGATTAAGGGCAGTGCAAGATGTGCTTTGTTAAACAGATGCTTGAAGGCAGCATACTCGTTAAGAGTCATCACCACTCCCTAATCTCAAATACCCAGGGACACAAACACTGCGGAAGGTGGCAGGGCCCTCTGCCTAGGAAAACCAGAGACCTCTGTTCACATGTTTATCTGCTGACCTTCCCTCCACTATTGTCCTATGACCCTGCCAAATCCCCCTCTCTGAGAAACACCCAAGAATGATCAATAAATACTAAAAAAAATTAAAAAAAAATACAAGTAAGTAACCAGAAAAAAAAAAAAAGAAAAGACAAGTAAAATTTTTTGTTTTTTTTTAAAAAAAAAGAAAAGAATGCGGCTTTAGCTGCAGCCCGAGAGTTTGGAGATACCTGGTATCTTAGTCAAGTAAATGATAGAATGACAGCTGAAGAAAGGGACAAATTCCCTACCGGTCAGCAAGCCAACCCCAGTATGGATCCCCACTGGGACCTTGACTCAGATCATGGGGACTGGAGTCGTAAACATCTGTTGACCTGTGTTCTAGAAGGACTAAGGAGAATTAGAAAAAAGCCCATGAATTATTCAATGATGTCCACCATAACTCAGGGAAAGGAAGAAAATGCTTCTGCCTTCCTCGAGCAGCTAAGGCAGGCCTTAAGAAAATATACTCCCCTGTCACCCAAATCACTCGAGGGTCAATTGATTCTAAAAGATAAGTTTATTACCCAATCAGCCACAGATATCAGAAGAAAGCTCCAAAAGCAAGCCCTGGGCCCTGAACAAAATCTAGAGGCATTATTAAACCTGGCAATCTCAGTGTTCTATAATAGGAACCAAGAGGCACAGGCCCAAAAGGAAAAGCGAGATCAGAGAAAGGCCGCAGCCTTAGTCATGGCCCTCAGACAATCAAACCTTGGAGGTTCAGAGAGGACAGAAAATGGAGCAGGCCAATCACCTGGTAGGGCTTGTTATCAGTGTGGTTTACTAGGACACTTTTAAAAAGATTGTCCAATGAGAAACAAGCTGCCCCCTCATCCATGTCCACTATGCCAAGGCAATCACTGCCCCAGAGGATGAAGTTTCCCTGGGTCAGAAGCCCCCAACCAGATGATCCAACAACAGGACTGAGGGTGCCTGAGGCAAGCGCCAGCTCATGTCATCACCCTCACTGAGCCCCGGGTATGTTTAACTATTGAGGGCCAGGAAATTGACTTCCTCCTGGACACTGGCATGGCCTTCTTAGTGTTAATCTCCTGTCCTGGACGACTGTCCTCAAGGTCCGTTACCATCCGAGGAATCCTGGGACAGCCTGTAACCAGGTATTTCTCCTACCTCCTCAGTTGTAAATGGGAGACTTTGCTCTTTTCACATGCCTTTCTTGTTATGCCTGAAAGTCCCACACCCCTATTAGGGAAGGATATATTAGCCAAGGCTGGAGCTATTATCTACATGAATATGGGGAACAAGTTACCCATTTGTTGTCCCCTACTTGAGGAAGGAATCAACCCTGAAGTCTGGGCATTGGAAGGACAATTTGGAAAGGCAAAAATTGCCTGCCCAGTCCAAATCAAGTTAAAAGATCCCACCATTTTTCCTTATCAAAGGCAATATCCCTTAAGGCCTGAAGCTCATAAAGGATTACAGAATATTGTTAAACATTTGAAAGCTCAAGGCTTAGTAAGGAAATGCAGCAGTCCCTGCAACACCCCAATTCTAGGAGTACAAAAACCGAACGGTCAGTGGAGACTAGTGCAAGATCTTAGAATCATTAATGAGGCAGTAATTCCTCTATATCCAGTTGTACCAAACCCCTATACCCTGCTCTCTCAAATACCAGAGGAAGCAGAATTGTTCATGGTTCTGGACCTCAAGGATGCCTTCTTCTGTATTCCCCTGCACTCTGACTCCCAGTTCCTCTTTGCTTTTGAGGATCCCACAGACCACACATCCCAACTTACGTGGACGGTCTTGCCCCAAGGGTTTACGGATAGCCCTCATCTGTTTGGTCAGGCACTGGCCCAAGATCTAGGCCACTTCTCAAGTCCAGGCACTCTGGTCCTTCAATATATGGATGATTTACTTTTGGCTACCAGTTCGGAAGCCTCGTGCCAGCAGGCTACTCTAGATCTCTTGAACTTTCTAGCTAATCAAGGGTACAAGATGTCTAGGTCGAAGGCCCAGCTTTGCCTACAGCAGGTCAAATATCTGGGCCTAATCTTAGCCAGAGGGACCAGCGCCCTCAGCAAGGAATGAATACAGCCTATACTTGCTTATCCTTGCCCTAAGACATTAAAACAGTTGTGGGGGTTCCTTGGAATTACCGGCTTTTGTCAACTATGGATCCCCAGATACAGCGAGATAGCCAGGCCCCTCTATACTCTAATCAAGGAAACCCAGAAGGCAAATACTCATTTAGTAGAATGGTAACCAGAGGCAGAAACAGCCTTCAAAACCTTAAAGCAGGCCCTAGTACAAGCTCCAGCTTTAAGCCTTCCCACAGGACAAAACTTCTCATTATACATCACAGAGAGAGCCGGGATAGCTCTAGGAGTCCTTACTCAGACTCGTGGGACAACCCCACAACCAGTGGCATACCTATGTAAGGAAATTGATGTAGTAGCAAAAGCCTGGCCTCACTGTTTAAGGGTAGTTGTAGCAGTGGCCATCTTAGTGTCAGAGGCTATCAAAATAATACAAGGAAAGGATCACACTGTCTGGACTACTCATGATGTAAATGGCATACTAGGTGCCAAAGGAAGTTTATGGCTATCAGACAACCGCCTACTTAGATACCAGGCACTACTCCTTGAGGGACTGGTGGTTCAAATAGGCACCTGCGTGGCCCTCAACCCTGCCACTTTTCTCCTAGAGGATGGGGAACCAATCGAGCATGACTGCCAACAAATTGTAGTCCAGACTTATGCCACCCGAGATGATCTCTTAGAAGTCCCCTTAACTAATCATGACCTTAACCTATATACCAATGGAAGTTCATTTGTGGAGAATGGGATATGAAGGGCAGGTTACGCCATAGTGATGTAACCATACTTGAAAGTAAGCCTCTTCCCCCAGGGACCAGTGCCCAGTTAGCGGAACTAGTGGCACTTACCCGAGCCTTAGAACTGGAAAAGGGAAAAAGAATAAATGTGTATACAGACAGCAAGTATGCTTATTTAATCCTACATGCCCATGCTGCAATATGGAAAAAATGGGAGCTCCTAAGCTCTGGGGGGACCCCAATTAAATACCACAAGGAAATTATAGAGTTATTGCACGCACTGCAAAAACACAAGGAGGTGGCACTCTTACACTGCCAAAGCCATCAAAATGGGAAGAAGAGGGGAGAACAGCAGCTAAGCAGCTGGCAGACCAGCAAGAAGGAAAGAGAGAAAAAGAAAGTCAGAGAAAGAGGAAGAAATAGAGACAAAGAGAAGGAGTCAAAGGAAAGAGAGAAAGAGACAGGAAGTCAGAGAAAGAGACAAAGAAGAAGTCAAAGAGATAGAAAGAGAGATGGAAGTAGTAAAGAGAAAAACAGTGTACCCTATTCCTTTAAAAGCCAGGGTAAAGTTCTGTTTACCCAGCCAAGGCATATTTTTCTATGTGGAAGATCGACCTATATCTGCCTCCCCACTAACTGGACAGGCACCTGCACCTTAGTCTTTCTAAGTCCCAACATTAACATTGCCCCAGGAAATCAGACCTTATCAGTACCCCTCAAAGCTCAAGTCCGTCAGTGCAGAGCCATACAACTAATACCCCTACTTATAGGGTTAGGAATGGCTACTGCTACAGGAAGGGGAATAGCCGGTTTATCTACTTCATTATCCTACTACCACACACTCTCAAAGGATTTCTCAGACAGTTTGCAAGAAATAACAAAATCTATTCTTACTTTACAATCCCAAATAGACTCTTTGGCAGCAGTGACTCTCCAAAACCGCTGAGGCCTAGACTTCTTCACTGCTGAAAAAGGAGGACTCTGCACCTTCTTAGGGGAAGAGTGTTGTTTTTACACTAACCAGTCAGGGATAGTACGATTTGCCGCCCGGCGTTTACAAGAAAAGGCTTCTGAAATCAGACGCCTTTCAAACTCTTATACCAACCTTTGGGCAACATGGCTTCTCCCCTTTCTAGGTCCCGTGGCAGCCATCTTGCTGTTACTCGCCTTCAGGCCTTGTATTTTTAACCTTCTTGTCAAATTTGTTTCCTCTAGAATTGAGGCCATCAAGCTACAGATGGTCTTACAAATGGAACTCCAAATGAGTTCAACTAACAACTTCTACCAAGGACCCATGGACCAACCCACTGGCACTTCCACTGGCCTAGAGAGTTCCCCTCTGGAGGACACTACAACTGCAGGGCCCCTTCTTTGCCCCTATCCAGCAGGAAGTAGCTAGAGCGGTCATCGGCCAAATTCCCAACAGCAGTTGGGGTGTCCTGTTTAGAGGGGGGATTGAGAGGTGACAGCATGCTGGCAGCCCTCGCAGACCTCGCTCGCTCTCGGAGCCTCCTCTGCCTGGGCACCCACTCTGGTGGCACTTGAGGAGCCCTTCAACCCACTGCTGCACTGTGGGAGCCCCTTCCTGGGCTGGCCGAGGCCAGAGCCAGCTCCCTCAGCTTGCGGGGAGGTGTGGATGGAGAGGCACGGGTGGGAACCAGGGCTGTGCACAGTGCTTGCAGGCCAGCGCAAGTTCCGGGTGGGTGTGGGCTTGGGGGGCCCATGCTCGGAGCGGCCAGCCAGCCCTGCTGGCCCTGGGCAGTGAGGGGCTTAGCACCTGGGCCAGCAGCTGCTGTGCTCGATTTCTCACCAGGCCTTAGCTGCCTCCCTGCGGGGCAGGGTTCAGAACCTGCAGCCTGCCATACCTGAGCCTTCCCCCGCCCCGCCACCGTGGGCTCCTGCATGGCCCAAGCCTCCCAGACGAGTGCTGCCCCCTGCTCCACGGCCCCTGGTCCCATTGACCGCCCAAGGGCTGAGGAGTGCAGGCGCATGGCGCAGGACTGGCAGGCAGCTCCACCTGCGGCCCCGGTGCGGGATCCACTGGGTGAAGCCAGCTGGGCTCCTGAGTCTGGTAGGGACTTAGAGAACCTTTATGTCTAGCTAGGGGATTCTAAATACACCAATCAGCACTCTGTATCTAGCTCAAGGTTTGTAAACACACCAATCAGCACCCTGTGTCTAGCTCAGGGTTTGTGAAGGCACCAGTTGGCACTCTGTATCTAGTTAATCTGGTGGGGACTTGGAGAACCTTTATGTCTAGCTAAGGGATTGTGAATGCACCAATCGGCACTCTGTATCTAGCTCACAGTTTGTAAATGCACCAATCAGCACTCTGTGTCTAGCTCAGGGTTTGTAAACACACCAGTTGACACTCTGTATCTAGCTAATCTAGTGGAGACACCGAGAACTTTTGTGTCTAGCCCAGGGATTGTAAACGCGCCAATCAGCACCCTGTCAAAACGGACCAATCAGCTCTCTGTAAAACAAACCAATCAGCTCTCTGTAAAATGGACCAATCAGCAGGATGTGGGTAGGGCCAGATAAGAGAATAAAAGCAGGCTGCCTGAGCCAGCAGTGGCAACCCACTTGGGTCCCCTTCCACACTGTGGAAGCTTTGTTCTTTCGCTCTTTGCAATAAATATTGCTACTGCTCACTCTTTGGGTCCACACTGCCTTTAAGAGCTGTAACACTCACCACGAATGTCTGCAGCTTCACTCCTGAAGCCAGTGAGACCACGAACCCACTGGGAGGAACGAACAACTCCAGCGGGAGGAACGAACAACTCCAGATGCGCCATCTTAAGAGCTGTAACACCCACTGCGAAGGTCTGCACCTTCATTCCTGAGCCAGCGAGACCACGAACCCACCAGAAGGAAGAAACTCCGAACACATCCGAACATCAGAAGGAACAAACTCCGGACACACCGCCTTTAAGAACTGTAACACTCACCACGAGGGTCCGCGGCTTCATTCTTGAAGTCAGTGAGACCAAGAACCCACCAATTCTGGACACAACAGGATGTCTCCTGGAGGGCCCGGCAGCCTCACAGTGAAGATCCAGACTCCGCAGAATCCAGGTGCTGGGAGCGTCCGGGCAAGGCTGGGCCTGGCGGGCTCTCTGAAGGCAGCGGTCCAAGCCCACCCAGCCTCGGGCTCTGCACAGGGCCAGCCCCTCAGGGACTGCGGTTGACGACTCCGGGCTTGGTCCACTACGCCCACCTGGGTCCCGGGACATTGTCTATCTAGCCCGGAGGAGCTGGGAGGACAGAGGCGCCTCGGGAAACGCGCGCCTGCTCCCTTCGCGGGGCAAGGGCGACACCCAGTGGTGGCCGTGGGAACTCGGCTGCGTGGTATCCCCAGCCCGGGGCAGGCGCTGGGGCCCTCTGACCCCACTGCCCTCTTCCCTCTCCTCCCTCCTGCCCTGCTCCCAGCCCGCCCTGCAGACCCTGGCCCAGTTCCCAGGCTACCGTCAGCGCTGCTTGCCCCAGCTCCCTCCGCCCCACAAGGGGCAAACCCTGGCCAGGGCGGGGGCACCCCGGCTCTTTCCCAGGGTCCACCGTCCAGGGTGTCTTAGGTGGCCTTGAATACCAGGGACTGCCGCCCACCTTTAACTCCAGTCTCGCCCTGGGGTGCATGGCCCCGTTACCTGTGGGCCTTCACAATAAACGCAGCTCCTGCTAGCCCCTTCTCGCTGGGAAAATCCGCCTCCCCAGTGCATTGAGGGGACCTCGCGCTGTCACCTCGCAAAGGGCTCGCTCCACACCTAGAATCTGGAGCTCCCTTCACCTGCAGAGCCAGGACCACACCTGCCGCGGTGGTGAGCCTTGGAGGAGGCCACCATTCCCCAAACAGGACACTGAACAGTCCCTCTAGGCCAAGTTTATGACCGGCGTGTCCACTTCAAAGGCCACGGACATCTCCCAGACTTAACACTTTTCCATTATGCGTCCCTTTCACTTTCGGTAGCGAGGTCTCAGGAATGCCTTTCCAGGCTCCAGTCATATCGTTAAGATCGTTACGTACACTTTTCTCACTTTATGCTCACGCCAAACCTAAGAAGTTAGGTATTTCCGTCAGTGTTTTACAGATGAAGATACAGCGTCTTTCAAAGTTAAAAACGTTGTGAAGTTCCAACACACAGTAACAGAGCTAAGATTTGACCTCGGGAGGGACAGATGCCATAATCTCTTAATCTGACACCTGAACGTTCAGTTACTGATTCCTGTAAACCTGTAGGAAGACGTATTATTGTGGTAGTGTGGTCACCCACGGTGGAATATTTCGCACCTTTACTCTCCCTCCTGTCTGAGTAGTCCTTTGGTTGGTTTTCAGTGTACCAAGGACAGGTACTTCCAGCTCACCAGAGGTGACAGCTAAGTCCTCCTGCCCCAGTTCCGCCCTGGGTGTTCCTCCGACTTGCTCTGATCCCACCGCATGTGCCCCTCAGCCTTGGCCTCTGCAGGCCAAGGATCTGCATTCCCAGCGGGTTCCCTTAAGGACACTGCAATGTGGCCTGGCTTGGCCCAATACTATAATAATTTCTCCTTAAAGAAAGCAGCCTGCCAGGGCATTAAGTCAGCTACCATTTTGCTCAGCAGAGAGTCCACCTGCAGCCCCCAGCACAAAGCCTGGTTCACAGTGGGCACACGCTGCACACTTGAAGAATGAATGACCCCAGGCTGGATGGCTCACGCCTATAATCCTAGTACTTTGGGAGGCCAAGGGGAGTGGATCACTTGAGACCAGGAGTTTGAAACCAGCCTGGCCAATATAGTGAAACCTGTCTCTACTGAAAATACAAAAAATTAGCCAGGCATAGTGGCAGGCACCTATAATCCCAGCTACTTGAAAGGCTGAGGCACGAGAATCACTTGAACCCAAGGAGGTGAGGGTTGCAGTGAGCTGAGGTCGCGCCACTGCACTCCAGCCTGGCCGACAGAGAAAAAAAATATATTCCCATGGTGCTCTCCCTGGTGTCAATCTGTATCTTTTCTTTTTCTAAGGACACCAGTCATAGTGAACTGAGGCCCACCCTAATGACCTCATCTTAACTTGATTACTTCTGCAAAGACCCTGTTTCCAAATAATGTGACATTCACAGGTACTAAGGGTTAGAATAACATCTCTTTTAGGGGGACACCATTCAACCCGTAACAGCAGTGAAGGGCAATGTACCTGTGGTCTCACTGTCAATTAAAACCAAAGCTCTCAGGGCTTGGTTTGTCACAGGAAAGGTCAGCGGCGTTTATGAGGTTGGGTTGCTTTACACACTGCAGAGATGTACTGGTTTCCCCCATGACTCCTTTCGCTTTTTATTGGTCCATCAGTAATGTTTTTGTGGTCACTGTAATGACTGTGTTTACTCCAGGCTTAAGTGCTTGTGTTTCTCTCTCTCTCTTTCGTGTTAGGTGTTAAAATGGACTATTAACTTGGAATACAGCCTCTCCCTCTTGGGAAGTGACAAGAATATTCTAATGTCAAGATAAGTCAAGCTGACCTTGCATTGTTACTGAAGCCGACGCTCCTCTGCCTAGTCCTTACCCTTCATCCCGGTCCAGCCCCAACCCTTTCCTGCTGCTGATCCTCCATTCTCAGCTCTACACACTGGCTGCTTGCCCTTCCTGAAATGCTCCTCGGGCTTCCACACTTGGCTGTGTCTTTCCTGGAAGCCCCTTTCCACATCCAGCTCATCCTGTTGGAATTCTCCCCAGTCTTCAAGGCCAGGTTTAAAGGCCATCTCCTCAGGAAGCCTTCCCTGATCCTCCAGCTTCCTCCTCAGAAAGTTGACCTTCAGTGCAAACACCAATCATGTGCTGCTTTAATCTGAAGTAAAGGTGTGTCTCTCACCCTTCTCCCTTCTCCTACGCAGCAGTAATGGAGAGCTTCTGGAGACCTCGCATAGAAGAAATCGCTGGGGCTGCTGGGAGTGTTTCATTGAAAAAGAGAACACTTCCTGGAGTCATGAGTCATGTGCCCTAAGCTTCCTTCAACTGTTAATCATCTATCAGACTTTGAGCTCCTCATGGAAACTCTACCTGGGCTTCTTTGGAGGTCCTTTACACACACACACACACGTGCATGCATGCATGCACACACACACAAATGCATACACACACACACGCACACATGCACACACACGCATGCACACATGCACACACACACACCCCTGTTCCTAGCACAAGCAGTGCCCACATACAACTTCCTGTCTGATGTGAAAGGTCTCTCTTTTGCACCCTCTTTGGTGGTATGGTGGGCAGAATTCTAAGATGGCTTCCAAAGCTTCCTGTTCCCTGAGTGCCTGTACCCTGACCTGAAGGATCCCTGAGACTGTGAATATCACAGATTTTACTCCTGTGATTCAGTTATGTCAGATGGTAAAGTTGATCTTAAAATAGGGAGATGATCTGGGTGGCCCTGACCTAATCACGTGAGCCTTTTGAAAGCAGACCGTTTTCTTCCATGGGTCATAGAAGGGGAAGTCTGAGAGCTTCAAAGCATGAGAGGGACTTGACGGTGGGTGGGTCCCGTGGCTGAGCTGGAGGAAGTCACGTGGCAAGCCCTGAGAGTGGCCTCTAGGATTTGAGAACAGTTCCCAGCCAACAGCCAGCAAGACAAAGGGACCTCAGTCCTCCAACTGTAAGAAAGTGAATTCTGCCAACAGCCCGAGGAAGTCTGGAAGTGGATCAAGCCTCCAGATGAGGACACACCTGGCCAGCACCTTGGTTTCAGCCTTACAAGATGCTGAAAGGAGGACCCAGCTACAATGTACTGGCCTCCTGCTGGATGTGGAAGTTCACCCTTGTGATCACAACTACTTGGGAGGCTGAGGCAGGAGGACTGCTTGAGCCCAGGAGTTCTAGGCTGTAGTACACTATGCCCATCAGGTGTCTGGACTAAGTCTGGCATCAATAAGGTGACCTCCTGGGAGTGAGGACCACAGGATTGCTCAAGGAGGGTGAATTGGCCCAAGTCCGAAACCGCAAGTAAAAATTCTCATGCTGATCAGTAGTGGGACTGCACCTGTGAGTAGCCACTGCACTCCAGCCTGGGCAACATGGCGAGACCTCATCTCTATTAAAACAAAACAAAACAAAAAAGGCTGCACTCCTGACCCATGGAACAGTGAGCCAGTAAGTTGGTGGGGAGGAGTATTTTCATCTGCTCTGCATGTTAAAATCATCTTACCTTAATACTAGTCAGGAAAATGCAAAGTAAAATGACATTATAGCATCGCTCTTAACCCAATGTGATTGTCACAAATTCCTAAATATATAATATCCAACGTGGGCAAGGGCAATGGAATATATAAACACTTGAATACACATTTGGTGGGACTGCAAAATGATAAGGGCTTCTGGGAGACAATTAAAATTTTTAAATGGGCATACCCTTCAATCCAACAACTCCCCTTCTCAATATCTGTCCTAGAGAAATATACTCAGAGGCATGTGAGATATATTTATTGTACCATTTGGTACTATTTAGAAACAAGTTAGAGACCTATTAATAGAACAGTGGTTAGAGGAGTTGTGGTAGAACCATACTGGGAATACTGTAGGTTTCATACAGTGTTTTAAAACAAGGTAGCAGCTCTAAATGGGCTAACGTGAAAAGATCTTGTGCATATATCAGTAGATGAGAAAAGGAATTGCAGGACAATATTTATAGGCCACATTTTAGCAACTGATTCGGAGACACACACTAATTACTTTTCAACAGCTCAGAAGGCACCTTACAATCGAGGGTGGCCCAGTGCCAGTCAAACTGCATATCCTGAACATACGTGAACCCTTGAAATTTCAGTTAACAAATCACCTTAGGACCATTTGAGGAAGGAACAAGGAGTTCTGTCTGTTTCTGAAAGCTTTCTATGAGATCAAGAAAGTATCAGCATCAAAAATTTTAGGCCAGGCCAGGAACGGTGGCTCACACCTGTAGTAATCCCAGCACTTCAGGAGGCCAAGGAGGGTGGATCACCTGAGGTCAGGAGTTCGAGACCAGCCTGGCCAACATGGCAAAACCCTATCTCTACTAAAAATACAAAAATTAGCCAGGCACGGTGGCATACGCCTGTAGTCCCAGCTACTTGGGAGGCTGAGGCAGGAGAATTGCTTGAACCAGGGAGGCAGAGGTTGCAGTGAGCCAAGTTCAAGCCACTGCACTCCAGCCTGTGTGACAGAGTGAGACTCCGTCTCAAAAAAAAAAAAAAAAAAAAAAAAAAAAAAAAACATTGTAGGCCAGGTGCAGTGGCTCATGCCTGTAATCCCAGCATTTTGGAATGCCAAAGTGGGAGGATCAATTGAGCTTAGAAGTTCAGGGCCAGCCTGGGCAACATAATAAGACCCTGTCTCTACAAAAAATAAAAAATTAGGTCAGGCGCAGTGGCTCACGCCTGCAATCCCAGCACTCTGGGAGGCCGAGGCAGGCAGGTCACCTGAGGTCAGGAGTTCAAGATCAGCCTGCCCAACATGGCAAAACTCCCTCTCGACTAAAAATACAAAAAATTAGCTGGGCATGGTGGTGGGCGTCTGTAATCCCAGCTACTCAGGAGGCTGAGGCTGGAGAATCTCTTGAATCCGGGAGGCAGAGGTTGCAGTGAGCTGAGATCGTGCCACTGCACTCCAGCCTGGGCAACAAGAGAGAAACTCCGGCTCAAAAAAACAAAACAAAAAAAATTAGGCCAAGCACAGTGGCTCACGACTGTGATCCCAGCACTGTGGGAGGCCAAGGCGGGCAGATAGCTTGAACTCAGGAGTTTGAGACCACCTGGGCAACATGGCAAAACCCTGTCTCTACAAAAAATACAAAGGTTAGCTGGGTGCAGTGGCATGCGCCTGTAGTCCCAGCTACTTGGGAGGCTGAGGTGGAGGATCATCTGAGCCCAGTAGGCGCACGTTGCAGTGAGCCAAGATGGTGCACACCACTGCACTCCAGCCAAAGCAACAGAACAAGATCCTGTCTCAATAAATAAATAAATAAACAAATAAATAAATAAATAGCTGGGCATGGTGGTGCATACCCACAGTCCCAGCTACTTGGGAGGCTGAGGCAGGGGGATTGCTTGAATCCATAAGGTTGAGGCTGTAGTGAGCTATCATCATGCCACTGCACTCCAGCCCGGGTGACAGATCAAGACCCTGTTTCAAAAAACAAAAAACAAATTGCAGAATGAGTGTTGGCAGCCAGGAAGACAATCCCTGAGATAGTAGTGAAGCAGTCTTTTCTTCTTTTTGTTGCCCAGGCTGGTTTTGAACTCCTAGGCTCAAGCAATTCTCCAATCTCGGCCTCCCAAAGTCCTGGGATTACAAGTGTGAGCCACTGCGCCTAGCCACTTTTTAATATTTTAAAAGATAATTGCCTGTTTAAACAAAAACAGTAACAATGTAATGTGGGGTCTATAACATATATAGAAATAAAATGTACAACCGCAGTAACACAAAGAATAGAAGAAGGGAAATGAAAATAAGGCTCACATATCATAAGTAAAGAAACAGAACTCTATATAAAGGTAGACTATGTTAAAAGTATATATTGTAAACCTTAAAAAAGCCACTGAAAATACAACAAAGAGGTAGTGCTAATAAGCCAGTAGAGAAAATAAAATGGAATCATACAAAATTCTACATCACTCCAAAAGAAATCAGGAATAGAGGGGAAAAGAACAAAGAAAATGTAGAATAAATAGCAAACAAATAGCAAGATGTGAGTTTTAAAACCAACTATATCAATAGTTATATGAACTATAAATGGTCTAAATACTCCACATAGAGAGATTTTTTTAAAGCAAGCTGGTCATGCTGGATGAAAAAAACAAGACCCAACTATAAGTAGAAGGATGGGGAAAAGATATACCATGCATATGAATCAAAAGAAATGGAGTTGTTACAATAGCATCTGACAAAATACAATCAGAGCAAAGAATATGATCAGGGGCCAGGCGTGGTGGCTCACACTTGTAATCCCAGCACTTTGGGAGGCCAAGGTAGGCCGATTGCTTGAGCTCAGGAGTTTGAGACTAGCCTGAGTAACACACAGAAACCCTATCTCTACAAAAAATAGAAAAATTAGTTGGGTGTGGTAGCATGTGCCTGTGTTCCCAGCTTCTTAGGAGGCTGAGGTGTGAGGATCACTTGAGCCTGGGAGGTTGAGGTTGCAGTGAGCCATGTTCGTGCCACTGCACTCCAGCCTATGTGACAAAGCGAGACCTTGTTTCAAAAAAAAAACAAGCAAGAAGAAATTATCAGGATAAAGAGAGACATTTCACTATTTAATTGCTAACTCGTTAAGAGGATGCCCAAATCCTACATGTAACCACAATCAACAACAGAGCTTCAAAACACATGTGGTCAATTGGTTTTTTGTTTGATTTTGTTAAACTTGTTATTTTATAAAGTTTTAGATTTACAGAAAATTTGTGAAGATAATTCAAAAAGATTCCATATAGTTTGCATGCAGTTTCTCCTATTATTAACATCTTCCACTGAAATGGTACATTTGGCATAATTAATGAAACAATCTTGATACATTACTATTAACCAGGGTCCATAATTTATTCAGATTTCCTTCATTTTTACCTAATGTCCTTCTTCTGTTCCTGGACATTAGGTCTGTATCCATAATACCACATTCCACTTAATTCTCATGTATCCTTAGGTTCTTCTTGGCTGTGACAGTTTCTCAGACTTTCCTTATTCTGAATGACCTTGGCAGTTTTTAGGAGTACTGGTATTTTATGAAATGCCCTTCACTTGGAATTTGTCTGACATTTTTCTTATGATTAGACTGGAAAAAAGACCAAAGAGGTAAAGTCACATTTTTATCACATCATATCAAGGGCACAGAGTAACAACATAGCTGTTGATGTGAACCTTGACTGCCTTGGCTGAGGCAGTGTTTGTCAGGTTTCTCCAGTGTGAAGTTACTTGGGCAATTACTTTTTCACAAAGGCGCTAAGGTGATTTAATGGAGGTGACAGAAAGACTTTTCAATAAATGAAGCTTGAACAACTGGATATACTTATGGGAGAAAATGAACCTTGACACTTACTTCATAGCACACGTAAAAATTAACTTGAAATGTATCATAGACCTAAACATGAAAGCCAAAAGTATAAAACTTCTAGAAGGAAATCTTTGTGATCCTGAGGTAGGCAGATTTCTTAGAACACAAACAGCACAAAAAATAAATTTTAAAATTCATAAAGTTGACTTCATCAAAATTTTAAAACAACTCTTTGAAAGTCACTAAGAACATGAAAAGACAAACTACAGATTGGGAGAAAATATATCTTTCTCCTTGATACAGGTCTTTATCCAGAATAATTTTTTTAACTCTTACAATTCATTAACAAGGCAAAAAATCTAATTTTTAAGTGGCAAAAATTTGAACAAATACTTCACCAAAAAAGATATGCAAATGGCCGAAAAACACATGAAAAGATGCTCAATATCATTAGTCGTCAAGGAAATGCAACTAAAACCACAATGAGATCCTGTTACATACTCATTCGCATGGGTAAAGTTAAAAAGACTCACAATATCGAGTGTTGGTGAGAATGTAGAGTAATGAAAAGTTTCATTTTTCTCTGGTGGAAAAGTAAAATGAAGCAGTGGATGCAGTGGCTCATACCTGTAATCCCAGAACTTTGGGAGGCCAAGGCGGGAGGACTATTTGAGGCCAGGAGTTCCATACCAGCCTGGGCAACATAGTGAGACTCTGTCTCTACAAAAAATAAAACAAATTAGCTGGGTGTAGTGGTATGCGCCTGTAGTCCCAGCTACTCAGGAGGCCGAGGCATGAGGATTTCTTGAGCCCAAGATTTCAAGGCTGCAGTGAGCTATGACTGTGCCACTGCACTCCAGCCTGGGTGACAGAGTGAGACTTTGTCTCAACAAAGAAAAAAAAAGTAAAATGATGAAACCACTTTGGAAAAGAGCTTGAAAAATGTTAAACATACATTTACTCTACAACCAATCAATATTACTCATGGGGTTTACCCAAGAAAAATAAAAACCAATGTCATCTAAAGACTTGCACATAAATGTGCATACCAACTTTATGCATAATAGCGAAAAACTGAAAACAACTCAAGTGTCTCTTAACAGGTGAATGAACAAATTATGATACATTCATACAATGGAATAGCACACAGCACAAAATGATATGAACTTCCAATACATACAACAGTTTGGATGAGTCTCAAAAGCATTATGCTGAGAAAGACGCACCAAACACGAGAGTGTACAGACTGTATGATTCCATTTCTAGAAAAGGTCACCGTATATGGACAGGAAGCAATGGTGCCCCAGGGCCGAGGGAGTTGATGTACAAGAGGGAACACTTTGGGGTGATAGAAATGTTCTTTATCTCCATGTTGGTGGTGCTTCCATTTGTCAAAACTCATTGAACGGTAAACTTTAAATTGACGTGCTTTATTGTCTTCCTTGATTAAGCTGATACAATGCAGCATCAGAAGTCAAGAAGCTCTGCTCCCGGGAGTTGACGGCAGTCCAGAGTTTTCTGTGACCCTTGGCTCTGCCCCAGGAGGTATTCTTTTTCCATTATCATTCTCTTTGGCTGAATCCGAAGAGAACATTTGAAAATATGACCTCTTAGGGGCTCAGCAGAAGACAAGGGCCTCCACTGTTGTTTTAGGTCTGGCGCAGTCAGTCTCTGGTGGCAACAGGACTCTCAAAACATTCAGCCAAAGGCATCTTTTATTTCCGTTGGAGTTGCAGCAGTGGGTGTGATTACCACACCCTTGATTTGGTATTTGCCACCTCGAAGAGCTTTAACCAGCCTTTGTTCCTCAGGACACTTCTTCCTTCTTCTGTTTTATCTTCTTGAGAGTGACATATTACTTCTGCTGCATTTCAAAGGTCAGAGCAGGTCACATGGTATCAACTTGGGGGAAAGACAGTATAATCTTCCTGAAACAGGAGAGTTCCCTGATTCCCCTTGCAGGACTTGTGACAGGGGTGTGGCTCGCCTATTTGGTCACCCTGCAGCTCAAACCCCTAGGGGGAGTGTGCAGATGGGCAGGTGCAGAGGCTGGGGTGAGTGCTTTGGGCTCTCGGCCCTGCAGTAGTGTCTAGGGGTGGGTTCCTGCAACCCCAGTGTTACCAAGCTCTTCCAGCTTTGTGGTCTGCAGATGGCTTGTGTGTTAGTCAGTTCAATAGACCCTCTGCCTTATCGCAAGGGCAGAGGTCCAGTGTGACAGCCTTCTGCATCCCAAGCTCTTGTCCAGCGTCCTGAAAGAATCGGGGCATATGCAGGCTCAAAGAAAGAGTGCAAGGTTTTATTGGTGGTGGAGTGGGCTATCAGCAAGATGGAGGGGGAGCCAGAAGGGAGGATGGAGTGGGAAGGTGGTCTTCCCCTGGAGTCGGGCCACCCAGCAGCTGGACTCTTCTCCAGCTGCCCTCAGCCAAACTCCCCTTGGTGTCCAAACATCCCTCCTCTTTTCTTTCTCTGCTGTGTTGTTCTACCATCAATGATCTGCTGGTCTTGACATTCAGCCACTTGTGTGTGTGCCCGCTGAGCTCTTGGGTTTATATGGGCACAGGAAGGGGGGTGTGGCAGGTCAGAGTGGTCTTGGAAAATGCAACATTTGGGCACAAAAACAGGAGTGGCTGTTCTCACTCAGGTCCATGGGCACAGTCCCGAGGGTGGAGCCCTCACTAAGGACCCTGCCCTTCTATACCCAGCACTTCCCTGTCCCCCTCCCATATCATTCCCACAATGGATGGGTAGTGGATTTTTTTAAACAACAATAAAATCAACCACATTCACCAAATCCTAAAATAGGAGTGTACCCAAGATTCTGTTTATTATTTGCAGTGAGGTAAGTTTGTTTTGGATAAATAAAATGAAGATGACATCAGCCAAATATAGAGTTTGAACAAATCTTATAAATAGATCACCTAGTTCAGGGTTCTGTAACCAGGCTGTGCAACATAATCCCCCAAGGAACTTCAAATAATACATATTATTAGGCCCTAGAGAGTCTGATTTAGTAAGTCTGTTGGGATACCAGGAAATCTGCAGTTGTATAAAGCTCCCTGAACTCCTGGGACATTCGAGTGCCACCAGCCCTGCTGCCAACCCCCACATCCACTGTCTGGAAACCATTACAAACTCTGATCCAGTTCACACCCAGCCCCTCTCATCCAGTGCAGGATGCTACTACCTTAAACGGGGGTATCAATGAAAAATAGAAGTGAAGTCAAATAAGACCTGGACCACAAATCTATAAATCTCAAATGGCAGCATAATGGGAAGCAGTGATGAAAACCTGAGGACTAGGAAAGGGTCTTTAGTCCTGAGATTATGGCAGCCCTCCCATTGGCATTGTGTGGGCACCAGAGCCCTAGACTGCTCAACACAGATCCAGAGAGCCAAGTAACTTTTATAAAACCAAGTAAGGAAAAAAATCCTGAGTTAGTATCCTAGCTGCAAAAAAGGCTGGCAAATGTCATCTTTTAACTGGATCTTTTTCTACCCAGAATAAGATTGGAGTTCTGTTGCAATGGAAAAAGGTGAGAAGACATATGGAGTAGGGAAACTCCATAACATTGGTTGAATAAATGAGTTACAAAGAAATGAATAAAATAGATTGATATATTTCATTGGGATAGACATTTTACTGAAATATTAGGTTTCTGACATTCTTAATTGTGTCCAGGTAGGCTGGTTCAGTAAGAACCAATTAAGTTGGCTGGGTGAGGTGGCTTACGCCCGTAATCCCAGCACTTTGGGAAGCCAAGGTGGGTGGATCACCTGAGGTCAGGAGTTCAAGACCAGCCTGGCCAACATAGTGAAACCCCATCTCTACTAAAAATACAAAAATGCTGGGTGTGGTGATGCATGCCTGTAATCCCAGCTACTCGGGAGGCTGAGACAGGAGAATCACTTGAACCTGGGAGTGTAGTTGCAGTGAGCCAAGACCATGGCACTACACTCCAGCCTGGGCAACAAGAGCAAAACTCGGTCTCAAAAAAAAAAAAAGAACAAATTAAGTTGAAAACTAGAAATAGTGATGAATACATGGACATCTGTTATTTTGTGGATCCTTAATCAGCAAGATTTTAGCTGAGTCATGCCCCAGTCACAAATTGGAAACAACCTGCTTATTACCTATGCTAAGTATTGTTCAGGCACTACAGAAAATACAGAGTATTCCTGCTGTAGCCTAAGTTCCCTCTTATGGAATCCCTACCTTCCTAAGCAGAGCCCAGCTCCTGCTACAGAACCCAAAGATGCCAAATCTCTGCTTTCCCAGCCTCTCTTGAGGCCAAGACAGGGACACATGATCTATGCTCTCCACCCACGTTTACCTGACGCACTTTGCTTTGTAGTCAACAGAAAGAAGTGGGGACTGTAAAGAATCTGGGCCTTTGGCAGGGCAGTTGCCTCCAGGCTCCAGAGGCAGCAAGGACAGTGATCTAGCAATAGCATCCAGGCCCCAGTGTTGGCGGTGCAGGAAAAGCTCACTGTGAGTCTCAGTTCAAGCCCGAGCCCAGCAACGGTAGTGAGAACTCCGCCAGACCAAATCTGCAATGGGATGTGGGGCAGTTCCTTCCTGACTCTGTGGACGCTAAGCCTGGGTGTCCTACTCTAGTGGAGATTCTGATTACTAAGCTGTATCCTTGACATAAATTTCTTATCTGCTTAAATTAGCTAAAGTTGGTTTCTTTGCTTACTAGATAAATCATGTCCTTAAGGAATTCATATTCTAGACAAGAAGCATAACACAGACTCCCTGAAACAAAAGGAAACAAAAAAGAGTAATTACACAAGTAAACTGGGTAGAACAAACCGGAAGCAAGAGGGATCATGAGGTGATCCAGGGATTTTGAGAAAGGCTTAGTGTGGATGAGCCATTATCCAAGTAGGAAGTGAGCCGGGCTCCTTCCCATGGCCACAGGGCTGTGAGACCTGCAGGCCCAAGGACCACCCTTTCCCTGAGGGTCCAGAAGAACAATACCAGAGCATCCATTGCTCTTCAGAGCCAGAGCTTCCTCAGCAGTGCTGGGATGAGCTGGGGTTCACTCCAGGCAGCTTCTTAGGGCTCACTCACTGAGCAGTGCTACTGTGATCTGGAGAACCTACTAATTTCATCATTCGAGGGAGCACAGCCCCCTACCCAGAGCAAGTTCTTCTCAGATGTGTCTGTTTCCTAGAGATCAGCCTGATATGAAAGCAGCACAGCACTGAGAGGGACACAACCTCCTCGAAGAGAAAGTTTCCAGTCCACCCATCAACACATCTCTTGGAGTACGTACAACAAGCAAGCACGTGCTAGATTTCATGTGTGGAATATTTATTTCTAAATAATTAGAAATAGATATTAGATCTTCCTTTCCAGCTCCTGGTCAGAGTTTCTAAAACCCTTATAATTTTCTAAGTGCTGAAAGTGGAAGAAGCATCTTTTGCTATATTTGGTTTTGTCTCCAGTTCCTGAAATAGCTCCAGGGTGATAAAAGTGAGAAGAGTGTCTTGTTATTTTCAACCACAGCTGAGTTTACATTAATGAAATGATCTTTGGGAAGCCCCTAAGGGTGGGGGAGCTGATTTTCAGGGGAACCAACCACATGATTAGAGGATTGGATTTAGTTTCCCCCTCCACCTCCAGGGCTGGAGATTTACTTAATTACCCATGGTCAATGATTTCATCAATCATGTCTTTGTAACGAAGCCTTGGTAAAAACCCTGAAGAACAGGGTTTGGTGCCAGGAGAGTTGTGTGAGTACGTAAAGATAAAGTTTTTTTTAAATTTTAGCCTATAATCCCAGCACTTTGGAAGGGAAAGGCAGGAGGAGGGAGGATTGCTTGTGCTCAGGAACTCAAGACCAGCCTCCAGCTGGGTGCAGTGGCTAATGCCTGTAATCCCAGCACTTTGGGAGGCCAAGGAGGGTGGATCACTTGAGGTCAGGAGTTTGAGACCAGCCTGGCCAACATGGTGAAACCCTGTCTCTACCAAAATATACAAAAATTAGCCAGGCATCATTACATAATGGTAAAGAGATCAATGCAACAAGAAGAGCTATCCTAAATATATATGCACCCAATACAGGAGCACCCAGATTCATAAAGCAAGTTCTTAGAGACCTACAAAGAGACTTAGACTCCCACACAATAATAGTGGGAGACTTTAACATCCCACTGTCAATATTAGACAGATCAATTGAGACAGAAAATTAACAAGGATATTTGGGACTTGAACTCAGCTCTGGACCAAGCGGACCTAAGAGACATCTACAGAACTCTCCACCCCAAATCAACAGAATATATGTTCTTCTCAGCACCACATCGCACTTATTCTAAAACTGACCACATAATTGGAAGTAAAACATTTCCTTAGCAAATGCAAAAGAACGGAAATCATAACAAACAGTCTCTCAGACCACAATGCAATCAAATTAGAACTTAGGATTAAGAAACTCACTCAAAACCACACAACTACATGGAAACTGAACAACCTGCTCCTGAATGACTACTGGGTAAATAACAAAATTAAGGCAGAAATAAATAAGTTCTTTGAAACCAATGAGAACAAAGACACAACGTACCAGAATCTCTGGGACACAGTTAAGCAATGTTTACAGGGAAATTTATAGTACTA
The DNA here is from genome assembly GCF_000001405.40 of Homo sapiens. Lineage (NCBI taxonomy): Eukaryota > Metazoa > Chordata > Mammalia > Primates > Hominidae > Homo > Homo sapiens. The sequence goes on along the minus strand of NC_000018.10, from coordinate 51,096,204 downwards.
AATGCCCACAAAAGAAAGCAAGAAAGATCTAAAATCAACACCCTAACATCGCAATTAAAAGAACTAGAGAAGCAAGAGTAAACAAATTCAAAAGCTAGCAGAAGGCAAGAAATAACTAAGATCAGAGCAGAACTGAAGGAGACAGAGACACAAAAAATCCTTCAGGCCGGGCGCGGTGACTCACGCCTGTAATCCCAGCACTTTGGGAGTCTGAGGCAGGTGGATCACGAGATCAGGAGGTTAAGGCCAGCCTGGCCAACATGGTGAAACTCTGTCTCTACTAAAAATACAAAAAATAGCCGGGTTTGGTGGTGTGTGCCTTTAGTCCCAGCTACTCGGGAGGCTGAGGCAGAAGAATCGCTTGAACCCAGGAGGCGGAGGTTGCAGTGAGCCAAGATCATGCCACTCCAATCTGGGCGAACTTCAAAAAATCAATGAATCCAGGAGCTGGTTTTTTGAAAAGATCAACAAAGTAGATAGACTGCTAGCCAGACTAATAAAGAAGAAAAGAGAAGAATCAAATAGATGCAATAAAAAATGACAAACGGGATATCAGCACTGATCCCACAGAAATACAAACTACCATCAGAGAATACTATAAACACCTCCATGCAAATAAACTAGAAAATCAAGAAGAAATGGATAAATTCCTGGACACATACATCCTCCCAAGTCTTAACCAGGAAGAAGTCAAATCCCTGAATAAACCAATAACAAGTTCTGAAATTGAGGCAGTAATTAATAGCCTACCAACCAAAAAAAGTCCAGGACCAGATGGATTCACAGCCAAATTCTACCAGAGGTACAAAGAGGAGCTGGTACCATTCCTTCTGAAACGATTCCAAACAGTAGAAAAAGAGGGAATCCTCCCTCATTTTATGAGGCCAGCATCATCCTGATACCAAAACCTGGCAGAGACACAACAAAAAAAGAAAATTTCAGGCCAATATCCCTGATGAACATGGATGCAAAAATCTTCAATAAAATACTGGCAAACCAAATCCAGCAGCACATCGAAAAGCTTACCCACCATGATCAAGTCGGTTTCATCCCTGGGATGCCAGGCTGGTTTAACATACACAAATCAATAAACGTAATCCATCACATAAACAGAACCAATGACAAAACCCATATGATTATCTCAATAAATGCAGAAAAGGCCTTTGACAAAATTCAACACCCCTTCATGCTAAAAATTCTCAATATACTAGGTATTGATGGAACGTATCTCAAAATAATAAGAGGTATTTATGACAACTCCACAGCCAATATCATACTGAGGGCAAAAACTGGAAGCATTCCCTTTGAAAACTGGCACAAGACAAGGATGCCCTCTCTCACCACTGCTATTCAACATAGAATTAGAAGTTCTGGCCAGGGCAATCAGGCAAGAGAAAGAAATAAAGGGTATTAAAACGGGAAGAGAGGAAGTCAGATTTGTGTCTGTTTACAGATGACATGATTGTATATTTAGAAAACCCCATTGTCTCAGATCAAAATCTCCTTAAGCTGATAAGCAAACTCACTCAGCAAAGTCTCAGGATACAAAATCAATGTGCAAAAATCACAAGCATTCCTATACACCAATAATAGAGAGCCAAATCATGAGTCAACTCCCATTCACAATTGCTACCAAGAGGATAAAATACCTAGGAATCCAACTTACAAGGGATGTGAAGGACCTCTTCAAGGAGAACTACAAACCACTGCTCATGGAAATAAGAGAGGACACAAACAAATGGAAAAATATTCCATGCTCACGGTTAGGAAGAATCAATATCATGAAAATGGCCATAATGCCCAAAGTAATTTATAGATTCAATGCTATCCCCGTCAAGCTACCATTGACTTTCTTCACAGAGTTAGAAAAAACTACTTTAAATTTCATATGGAACTAAAAAAGAGCATGCAGAGCCAAGATAATCATAAGCAAAAAGAACAAATCTGGAGACATCACGCTACCTGACTTCAAACTATACTACAAGGCTACAATAACCAAAATAGCATGGTACTGGTACCAAAACAGATATATAGACCAGTGGAACAGAACAGAGGCCTCAGAAATAACACCACACAACTACAACCATCTGATCTTTGACAAACTTGACAGAAAGAAGCAATGGGGAAAGGATTCGCTACTTAATAAATGGTGGTGGGAAAACTGGCTAGCCATATGCAGAAAACTGAAACTGGACCCCTTCCTTACACCTTATACAAAAATTAATTCAAGATGGATTAAAGACTTAAATGTAAGACCTAAAACCATAAAAACCCTAGAAGAAAACCTAGGCAATACCATTCAGGACATAGGCATGGGCAAAGACTTCACGTCTAAAACACCAAAAGCAATGGCGACAAAAGCCAAAATAGACAAATGGGATCTAATTAAACCAAAAAGCTTCTGCACAGCAAAAGAAACTATCATCAGAGAGAACAGGCAACCTACAGATAAAATTTTTGCAATCTATCCATCTGACAAAGGGCTAATATCCAGAATCTACAAGAAACTTAAACAAATTTACAAAAAAAAAAAAAACATCAAAAAGTGGGCGAAGGATATGAACAGACACTTCTCAAAAGAAGACATTTATGCAGCCAACAAACATGAAAAAAAGCTGATTATCACTGGTCATTAGAGAAATGCAAATCAAAACCACAATGAGATACCATCTAATGCCAGTTAGAATGGCGATCATTAAAAAGCCAGGAAACAACAGATGCTGGAGAGGATGTGGAGAAATAGGAATGCTTTTACACTGTTGGTGGGAGTGTAAATTATTCCAACCATTGTGGCAGACACTGTGGCAATTCCTCAAGGATCTAGAACCAGAAATACCATTTCACCCTGCAATCCCTTTCCTGGGTATATACCCAAAGGATTATAAATCATTCTACTATAAAGACACATGCACACATGTGTTTACTGTGGCACTGTTCACAATAGCAAAGACTTGGAACCAACCCAAATGCCCATCAATGATAAACTGGATAAAGAAAATGTGGCACATATATACCATGGAATACTATGCAGCCATAAAAAAGGATGAGTTCATGTCCTTTGCAGGGACATGGATGACGCTGGGAACCATCATTCTCAGCAAACTAACACTGCATGTTCTCACTCATAAGTGGGAGTTGAACAATGAGAACACATGGATGCAGGGAGGGGAACATCACACACTGGGACCTGTCAGGGGGTGGGGGCCTGGGGGAGGGATAGCATTAGGAGGAATACCTAATGTAGATGACGGATTGATGGGTGCAGCAAACCACCATGACACGTGTATACCTATGTAACAAACCTGCACATTCTGCACATGTATCCCAGAACTTAAAAGTATTAAAAAAAAAATTAGCCAGGCATGGTGGTGCACACCTGTCATCCCAGCTACTCAGGAGGTTGAGGTAGGAGAATCGCTTGAACCCGGGAGGCAGAGGTTGCAACACTGCACTCCAGCCTTGGTGACAAAGTGAGACTGTCTCAAAAAAAAAAAACAAAAACAAATAAAACCTAGCCTGGGCAACATGGCAAAACCTTGTCCCCACAAAAAATACAAAATATTAGCCGGGCAAGGTGGTACAAACCTGTAATCCCATCTACCTGGGAGGATGAGGTAGATAGGATCACTTAAGCCTGGGAAGTCAAGGCTGCAGTGAGCTGTGATTGCTCACTACACTCCAGCCTGGGCAACAGAGTGAGCCCCTGTCTCAAAGAAAAAAAAAGTTTTTTACTTTAACATGAAATGTGAAGTACACTCCATGCTCTCTGAGAACTCATGGGTTGGAGAGAGAGGTGGTTTACCTAACAAGGCCACTATACAAAACAGGAGTTAAAGGAGGCTCTGAAGAGCCCTACAGGCTGCTTCATGGCCGACATGGACTTTCCCAGAGTTCTATAAGGACACCACGGGCACAGCAGCAGTCACAGGTTTCCCCAGCCCTGCCCTCTTCCTATGCTTCCATGACCTGCACTGCCCCTGATTTCTGCCTGAAGCAGCAACTGTGGCAGCTGCTGTGGACCCTGGCAGCTCTGCAGGTTTTCTTCAAGTAAAGGCTTCCCCAGTGGCCCAGCAGCCCTAGGTCCCCAAACCCACAGGATATTTGTAAAAGGTTGTTACTGTCACAACCATTCTAGTTCTGAAGGTGGGGAGTGGGTTTGTGGGTGCTCATTTTACCATTACACTGCATATCTTATATATTATGTTCCTTTTTATTTATCAAGCATTACACAGTATGTATGTATGTATGTATTTTGAGATGGAGTCTCACTCTGTTGCCCAGGCTGGAGTGCAGTGGCATGATCTCAGCTCACTGCAACTTCCACCTCTCGAGTTCAAGCAATTCTCCTGCCTCAGCCTCTCAAGTAGCTGGGATTACAGGAGCACACCACCACACCTAGCTAATTTTTTTGTATTTTTTGTAGAGACGGGGTTTCACTATGTTGGCCAGGCTGGTCTCAAACTCCTGGTCCCAAGCAATCCACACACCTTGGCCTCCCAAAGTGTTGGGATTCCAGGTGTAAGACACCACCACACCCATCCCTGTATTGTTTTAATTGTTTAAAATTGTTTTAAATGCCAATAACTATAGCCAAAGGGGTTGTTTGCAAAATTCTAAGGAATTTTGCAAAGGATACTGTTAGCACTGGAGATCTCGTGGCTGATCCTCCTGCCTGTCAATTGTTTCCTGCTTGTAGCCTGAGTCAGATGATGGTGATGCCAGCCGTCCCTGACGCCAGGACGAGTGAGACAGATTCTGTCCCTGCTGAACTCCTGCTTCCTGGGCCCATCAGTAGATACTTGTGGAGAGGCTTGGCTGCCTTCCCTAATTTAAATCCCCTACTCTTACCATGCCTGCGGTTACATTTCTGTTTCAGGGATGTTTTTAGATTTGCCCATTTCTATATGCTTTCACTGGCAACTCACTAAGGTCACATCCTCCAACTCTCGCTTTCACCTTTTTGGTCCCAAAGAAGAAACCTCAAGAATATTATCACTGATGGTGAAGAGATGTCCATGGATGACAACTATGAGGCGGCCCTAGAGAAATGCTAGTCCTAACTGGAGCTCTAAGACAGAGGGCCACCTCCAGAAGACTCAATTAATTAATGTAACTGAAAGGTTGTCTGATGTGACTGACCATAATGAAGGAATTTTATTATTCTGTTGCAAAGTTGGGGACTCAAATAAGAGCTACACAGAAAAACAAGCAAATGAACATATTGAGGCAATTAACTTCCAGAAAAAGGCAAAAAAGTTGTATAAGAAAGAAAATTGACAGAGTGGCCCAGCTGTGAATAACGAATTAATCAAAAGTTGTGATTTACTTTCTTCGGTGAATGGGTAATAATGGTGGTAGTAGTGGTATGAGAGAGCTAACTCAACATTTTCCAGAGTAAGAAGTCAGTAGATGTCTATATTTAATAATAAAAGAAAGATATGGCAATATGACTATGCTATTTAGAAAGATGTGGGTAAACCCAGAAAAAACAGCTGACAAACAGGAATGGGAGTGGAAAATGCAGAGGTAAGAGACTGTTGTCTTTCATCATAAGCCTCATAGTAATGACTTTTTAAAATTAAAACTTTGAGATAATTATAGATTCACATGCAGTTCTAAGAAATGACACTGGGCAATCCCATGTACCTTTAACACAGTTTCCTCCAACAGTAACATCTTGCCAAATGCTAGTACAATATCACACCAGGGTATCCACATTAATAGAGTCAAGATAGACAACATTTCCATCCCTAGAAGAATCTGTTACCCTTTTAGATTCACACCTACTTACCTCCCATCCCATGCCCTCCCTTGGCAACTACTGATCTGTTCTCCATTTTTGTAATTTTGTCATTTCAAGAACATTTTGTAAATAGAATAATCCATCTTTTGGGAATGGCTTTTTTTCACTCAACGTAGTCCTCTAAATGTTCATCAAGGTTACTGCTTGTATTAATAATTTGATCCTTTTTATTGCTGAGTAGTATTCCATGTGTGTATTACAGTTTATTCAACCATTCACCTGTGAAGGACATCTGTGCTGTTTCTAGTTTTTAGTTGGTATAAATAAAGCTGCTATAAACATTCAGGTACGTTTTCATACTTCTCTGGGATAAATGCCCCGGATTACAGTTGGTGGGTTATATGGTACGTACTTGTTTAGTTTCTTTAAAAGGAACTGCCAAAGTGTTTTTCAGGGTGGATGTACCATTTTACATGCCCACTAGCAATGTGTATATGTGGTCCATTTTCTCTGTATCCCCACTAGCAGTTGGTGCTGTCACTATTTTTTACTTTAGCCTTCCTGATTTATGTGCAGTGATACGTCACTGTGGTTTTAATTTGCATTTTTCTAATAGCTAGTAATGTTGAACATCTTTTCATGTGCTTATTTGCCATTTGTATATCCTTTTTGGTGAAATGTCTTTTGTCCATTTTCTAATTGGATTTTTTTTATTGTTGAGTTTTGAGAATTCTTTATACATTCTAGATACGAGGCCTTAATTGGATATGTGGCTTGTAAATATTTTCTCCCCATCCAAAATTTGTCTTTTTATACTCTTACTAGGGTCACTCACAGAGCAAAAGTTTTCCATTTTGATGAAATCCAATTGACCAGTTTTCCCATTTCTGAATTGAGCTTTTGGTATCAGGTCTAAGAACTTCTTGCTTAATTCTAGATCCCAAAGATTTTGGTTATTTTCTAAAAGTTTTATAGTTTGATATTTTAAGTATGTAGTGCATTTTTAGTTCATTTTTGTACAAGGTATAAGATTTGGGTCAACATTCATTTTTATGTGTGTCCAGTTTCTCCATCACCATTTGGTAAAAAGGCTAGCTTTCCTCCACTGAATCGCTTTTGCATCTTTGTCAAAAATCAGCTGTGTGTATTTGTATGGATCAATTTCTGGGTTCTCTTTTGTTCCATTGGTCTATGTGTCTATCCCTCTACCAATAACACACAGTCTTGATTACTGTAGCTATAATATCTTAAAATCAGGTAGACTGATCCTTCCCACTTTCTTTTTTTCAACATTGTTTTAACTATTCTAGTTTTTCTTTACACATAAACTTTAGAATAAGCTTGTTTGTACACAAATACATCTTGTTGAGATTTTGGTAGAAATTGCATTAAGCCTGTCAAATTTAATAAAATTGAGGGAGAATCAACATCTTTACCATGTTGTGTTTCAATCCATGAAGATGGTATGTTTCTCCATTTATTTAGATCTTTATCAGCATTGTGTAGTTCTTAGCATGTAAGTCCTATACATGTTTTTTAGACTGACACCTATTTCTTTTTTTAAGTGGTTGTAATTGGTATTGTATTTCTAATTTGTGTTCACACATTCATTGCTAATAATAAAATTTTTGTCCATAGAGCTTGTATCTTGTGTCATTGCTGGACTCATTTATTAGTTGTTTAAAAATACATTCCTTGGAATTTTCTACATTGATAATCACATCATCTGCAACTAGGAACCATTTTGTTTCTTCCTTTCCAATCTGTATTTCCTTTTCATGCCTTATTACACTGGCTAGAACTTTCAGCATTATTTTGAAGAGTGGTAAAATCAGACATCTTTGACTTGTTCTCAATCTTAGGCAGAAAGCATTCAGTTTTTCACCATTAGGCATAAAATGTTAGGTGCCAGTGTTTGCTAGATGCTCTTTATTAAGTTGAGGAAGTCTCCCCTATTCCTATTTTTCTGAGTTTTTATCATGAATAGTTGTTGGATTTTGTCACGTGCTTTGCCTGCATCAACTGATATGACAACATTTTCCTCCTTTAGTCTGACAATGTGATGGGTTAGATTGATTTTCAAACATGAAGTCTGGGATGCCTAGAATAAACCCCACTTGCTCATGATGCTTTTTTTTTTTTTAATAGGTTGCTGAATTCCATTTGCTAATGTTTTGTTAGGGATTTTTGTGTGAATATTCACAAGGGATATTGATCTGTAATTTTCTTTTTTTTGTATTATCTTTGAGTTTGTATTAAGGTAATACAAGTATCATAGAACGATTTGGGAAGTGTTTCCTTCTCTTCTGTTTCCTGGAAGACTACAGAATCAGTGTTATTTGGTAAGAATTCTCCAGTAAAACCATCTAGGCCTGATATTTTTGGGATTTCAAAATTAAGAATCTTATTTCCTTAATAGCTATAGACTTACTCAAATGATCTTTTTTTTTTTTCAAATGATCTATTTCATATTGGATGAGTTGTGGTAGGTTTAAGAAACTGGTCTGTTTCAACTAGTTTGTCAATTTATGTGTGTAGAGTTGTTTGCAGCATCCTCTTATTATCCTTTTGATGTCTGCAGAGTCTAGTGATCTCCTGTTTCATTCCTCATATTGGAAATGTCTTCTTTGTGAGTCTTACTAAAGGTGTTTCCAATTTTATTTTTTCCAAATAAGCTATTTCATTGGTTTTCTCTAATGTTTTTGCTTCAATTTTATTGATTTCTGTTCCTATCTTTATTTCCATCTTTTGGGCTGCTTTCAGTTAATTTTGTTTTTTTGTTGTTTTTTTTTTTGAGACAGTTTCACTCTATCACCCAGGATGGAGAGCAATGGTGCAATCTCAGCTCACCGCGACCTCCGCCTCCCAGGTTCAAGCGATTCTTGTGCCTCAGACTCCCAAGTAGCTGGGATTACGGGCATGTGCAACCACGCCTGGCTAATTTTTGTATTTTTACTAGAGATGGGGTTTCACCATGTTGGCCAGGCTGGTCTCAAACTCCTGATTTCAGGTGATCCGCCTGCTTCAGCCTCCCAAAGTGCTGGGATTACAGGTGTGAGCCACCGCACCCAGCCTCGCTCTTTTTCCAGGTGCTTGAAGTTGGGGCTTAGAGTATTGAGATTTTTCCTTTTTTTCCTAAGGTTTGCATTTAGTGCTATAAAGTTCTCTTTCAGCACTGCTTTTGCCATATTCCACAAACACTGGTGTTTTATTTTCATTTTCATTCAGTTCATGGTTTTAATTTTCCTTGAGACTTCTTTGACCCATAGATTACTTACATTGTTTTAAGTGTTTGGAGATTTTCCTGTTATCTTTCTTCTGATGATTCCTAGTTTGATTATATTGTGGTCAGAGAAAACTTTGACTTCTTTTACACTTTTTGAGTTTTATGGCCCATGATATGACCTATCTCGGTTTATGTTGTTAGCATTTGAAAGGTATATGAATGTTGCTGTTATTGGATGGCTTATCCTATAAATGTAAATTAGATCTTATTGGCCGATAGTAGTGAGTTCTTCTATATTCTTGATTTTATGTTTAATTCTATTGATTGCTGAAAGAGAAATATTGTAGTACTCAAATATAGTTATGGATTTATCAATTTTTTTTCTTCACATATTTTACTGCTCTGTTGTTTGGTGCATACCTATTTAGGATTCCTATGTCTTCCTCATGGACTGACCCTTTCATCATTATATGTTCCTCTTTGGTATTTTCTTTGCTCTGAAATCTATTTTGATATTAGTATAGACCATTACTGTTTTCTTTTAACGTTTAGCTGATATGTATCTTTCCATACTTTTTTCAGCTTGCCTTTGTTATGTGAAATGAGTTTCTTGTAGACAGTATACAGTTGGGTCATGTTTTCTTGATCCATTCTGCCAGCATTTCTTTTAATTAGTATAGACCATTTATATTAATGTAAATTACTGATATGTTAGCATCTAAATCTCCCATTTTCCATTTACCTTTGTTCTGTTCTTTCTGTTCTTTTTCCTGCCTTATCCTGAGTTACTTTTTGAGAATTCTCAACATTTTTGAGAATTTCATTTTGATTTATCTGTAATGATTTTGTGTATACATCTTTGTATACTTTTTTCAGTACTTGCACTAGGAATTTCATTATATATTCATAACATCACAGTCTACTACTGTCATTTTACCAGTTTGAGTGAAATGTAGAAAACCTATATTCCTATAGGTTCCTTTACTCTTACCTGTTTATAATTGTTTTAAATAGTACCTCTATATACATTTTGAACCACCTCAGGCAGTGTTATAATTTTTGTTTCAACTATCAAATGTAATTTATAAAACTCAAGTTGAGAAGGAAATCCTACTTACCCATATTTTTGCTTACCAAGTTTTTTTGGGGTTTTCGGTTTTTCCTTCCTGATGTTCCAACTTTGCTTCTATCATTCTTTCTTTTCTGCTTAGGGAACTTCCTTTACTACCACTCGATTAAGGTAGGTCTGCTGGCAATGGATTGTCTGCTCTCCCTGAACGCCTCTTGTCCATCTGTCTGAGACCTAGTGGTGGCCTAACAAAACTATCAAAATATAGATGTGGATGCCACTCCAAAAGTAGGCCAGAACTAATGGAATTATTCTTTTAGAATACAAAGGGCTGAGGAGAAAGGGCATTACAATTTATCAGTAAGACAACAGGGGTGGGAAAGGTTTGAAGAAGTGATGGAGATTCCCTAAGCTTTGAGACTGCCATTTGTGAGAGAGTTGTGACGTGGGAGGAGATGGAATTAAGCACAAAGAATTAAGGGTCAAGAGCAGAAGGCAGAGAGACACACAACTGCCCTTTCACCTGAAGTGCTCCACAATGTTTTTCCTTTTTCTCAACTGAATGCTAACCTACTATCCTCTTCAAGTTCTAGCCTAAAATACTATAAATTTCAGGTTAGCAAACAGGTGAGAAGAAATCTCTCAGCCCGATAAACTCTCTGAAACTCATGTCAGCAAGCTTAGAAATAAAATGCTGATGTGGTCTTGTTATATACAAGCCATTGCCACGGAATCTACTTACCTGACCACCACTCCCCTCCCATTGACCCCTATTTCACAGAGAAGGCAGATGGGAGAGAAACAGCTTTCCTTATCCCTTAGCTGGGCAATGAAAGGGTCTCCAATTTCCAATTTTACCTCTCCTTTAAGCATCCTGGTTCTTATAATTCCCTAGCACCCATCTCTCTGATCACCATCACTTCACCTTCTCCTTTTAAAAATGAGAGAAGAATGGGGACTGTTATTCCAGGGTCATATTTTAAATGTCACATTTCCCATTTCAGTGGCCACAAGGCAATAAAGGAAAATGTTGACCTAAAGTTTGAAAATTCTCTAAGTGATCAGAAACCCTTTCCAGATCCAAGACATCCACAAGCTTAAGAAAAAGAATGAGCACATAATGATTTAGTTGGCTTTCTCTTTTAATCAAAAACATACTTTGTTACAGAGTTCTCAAGAAAGGTTCGACTATTTTTTAGCCACAGACTTTAACCAGGCAAAAGTATACAGAAAGCCACAAAGGAACTCCTGGGACTTTCAACTGACCAGTTGTCCCCAAAGCAGAAGCTACGAGTGGCTCTTCTCTGGCTTCTGGCATAGCTGCATTCCTCTGAATTTAGGGGAGGAAACAGTTGGGAAATACCACCACCAAATCTGTCCCCAACCCCCAACTCACTTCTTCTAAACTGGGCTCTGCAGCCCACCAGGTTTTCATCATCTATAAGCATTCACACTTTTCCCTTAAATCACATGTCCAATGCATTGAACAGAACTCAATACTTGAAGAAAGTTTGCCAACTCCATGTTTAGTCTTAATCAATCCAAGCCCGTGAGTCCTTCTATCAATGACAAGCAGCCTTTGCAACAGCAGCTGGTTTCATCCCTTCCTCTCCAGCTACCACAAAGCTGGCCTCTACCAGGACTCCCCAACCCCCCACCCTCAACCCAGCCCCAAGGAAGGCTCCCAGGTCCTTGAAAATATGAATTTCATTAATTGTACTCATCCAAGGGTAGGCTAGAAGAGAGCTCTGAATGATCCAGCCAAAAGTCACTTAATCAAAATGGACCTAAAAAGAGCCAAGAATAAAGTTAATAATCATCTACTGGTATTGTTTTCTTGAGTCATATAAACCAGTTTAATTGACACGGTTCAAGGGAATTTCCTTGTTTTGAGCATAATATCACTAAGCATTAACAACAGGTTTTCAATCCATTTTCACTGAAAAAAAAAATTACAAGCACACACCACTTAGGAGGGTGGTGTCACACACACCAACTCAAAAGCTATAATGTCATGACTCGAAAGCCTTAATAAACTCTGACCAGAGTGTGTGCGTGCGTGTGTGTGTGCACGCAATTCAAAAGCTAGAATGTCATGACTCGAAAGCCTTAAACTCTGACCTGTGTGTGTGTGTGTGTGTGTGTGTGTGTGTGCGCGCGCGCGTGCGCACGCGCGTTAAGTGTTTATTGCAGCCCCTAAGGTGGTGCTAGGCCTTTGGTTAAAATTAAGTCTTAAGGGCATACTATGTAACCTTTTGTCCATAAAAGAACAGTAATAAAATATCAAGCCTAGTCTCCTTTGAATAACATGGAAATAAGTAAAAAGCCCCCTCAAACAGCAGAACAAAGATAAGGAAGAAATCCAAAACTGCTGCAAGGTAGCCAAGGTCACTTAGAATTTCAGAGCTGGAATAATTAATCTACTCCAACTCCCTCATTTTACAGATGAGGCAACTAAGGCCCAGAGAAGATAAATGACTTGCCCAAAGGTCACACATCAAATTTGTGGCAGAGGGCAAACTAGAGAGTGCAACTGTCTGGCCCAACCCAGAGCCATTACTTTCAGGTTGAACAAGAACACTGGCTCTGGACCTATTGAGAAAGCATTTAAATAAACGGTGTGAAAAGTATCCACATCAACAGAGAGAAATGATTGTCTTCACCAAAGGTTTTCCTTAGTCCTTACTACATTAGAAAAAAAAAAACAGAAAAAAAAAGGACAAAAAGTTTCATTCATTCATTCCAGTCTGATGTTAAAATCCCTGAAAACACTAGCAATTACTTTAGCTACTCCTTGGGGCAGGATGTCAGACCCTCAATTCTCATAAAGGCACCTATAGGTCAAAAATATCTGTACAGGAGTAAGGCCAGAAGGCAGGGCTTCAAAGGGGACACCAAAACAAAACAAATGGCCTTAGTTTCCCAAGGTTTGTTTTGCTTTGTTGTGTGTTGTTTGCTGGTGTCCTCCAGACAACGGTATTGCCTCTGGCTACTGATGCTAATTTAGTAACCCTTGTAACCCCAGTTTTTGTAAGAGCAGCATTCAAGTGGAAGCAATGAAACCTTTCAAAATATTATTCTAAGGGGGAAAATATGAATATGACTCACTTCTCTCTATCTCAACTACCTGAAACTCAGCAAGAATCAGGAAGCACTCTAAGCTACATCAAACTGATATCAAATGCCAATACAATGAGGTCTTTTTCAGCACTTCACAGGAAAGTGTCTTGGGTCCTGTCCCAGAGTTTGTACTTGTGTTTTAAAGAACGTTCTAGTAAGTTTGGTTATCTGGTTTCCTTGCCTAGGCAGTCAGAAATGAAGAATCAGAAAGAGAAGAAGAAAATGCTAAAAGGAGGCACACTAACACTCACATATGAATGGTAATTATCAGAGAGGGAAGAGACCAGGAGGGGAAGTGGGTTAAAAAAAAAAAACTAAAAATTCAAAACCATAGCTGTCTCAGACCATTTAGTAAAGGCAACACAGTCCTGTCTGTTTTAGAAGCCCCTGAAGTCCACAAAGATAGCCAAGCACAGAAAGAAATGTTACCATCTAGTATATCCTCTGATATACATATTAAATAACTCCACCAAAAAAAGGCTAAAAATTAAAACGTTTTACTTCTTAAATAAGGCAATTCTGGATGATGTGGAAAATTTCACTCCACAGTGATTCCAGATAAACAAGATAAGCAACCTAGCAGCACTGGGACAACTGCTAGGGATAAGGCTGGGCCTAGGATGCCACTTTGTGGATGAATAAGGCCATGGACTTTTTACATACTTCTTGGTATGTTCAAAGAAATTACTTAGTTATCAGGGAAAAAAATGGAAAGGCTTGAACAAGATTGTCATAGCCTATTCTCTGTAGTCTTTGCAAAAGAGGATATGAGATTATTTAGATAGCTATCTGCAACAAGATGGATTCTGCCTTTACGGGAAAAAAAAATGCATTACTTTAAGCTGAGTGTACCCCACCTACAAAATAATTGTTAACTGGCTTTAGAGGTAATTGCTTTCATATACTCATTTACCTCCGTAACCTAAATTTGCCATTTTCCCAATCTGCTATCATTAAATAAAATGCCAGTAAAGTTGGCAATAACGAAGGGAGCAAACTAGAAATTATCAACAAAAAGAACTCTGTTCCACTCAGAGAATAAAACTGCTTCTCCCAAAAGGCTCTCAGAAAGGGTGTGAACTAATGTGACTCTGCATAAAATGGTGAGTAACTATTAACCAGTTACCATCAAACCAGGCACAGAAACATTTACCATTTTATTCTTTAACCTCCATAGACACTTAAGGAGCATTAATAGTAAAATGTAAAATTTTCCTTCCCCAGATGACCATAGTCAAAGATACCTGCAACTCACCTTCCTACAATTAGCAATAAACTTTAAAAATAATAAGATGTATATCATCTGGGAGACAGGACATTTTATTTTGCCTTCAACTTGTATTACAAACACCCCCCTTTACACACCACACCCTGCCCCACAAAAATGGATTTTAAGTCTGAAATGCAGCACAGCTAATATGAGTTCAGTTTACTCACATGTCTCAAGTATGGCTCTCCTTAAGCCAGACCATGCAACCTGTAAATCTGCACTGTTCACAGGAGGAATGGTATAGGCAACCTATTTAGTGGTTACAGCAATACAAAACAGCCATGTTTCTGGAAAAAGCAAGGTTATATGGCAGTGATTTATTGTCATTATCTTTGTATACCAGGGGCGGTAAACTATTAAAAATGAGATAGACTATATCCCACGATCTACTCCCCGGAAAATAAAGGCAACACCATGAAGGATTCCCTTTGATAATGCACTGAAAGGCACTGGACAAACATGGAATGAGGTCTTACGGTGGGTGTACATGGCTCATCTCTCATTCAGCTTGCACTGAAATTCAACATTTTGAGACTCTTTGAGATATGAATTAGCTAGAGAAAACCCACCCAGAACCATAACCTCATAATTTTACCCTTAAAGTAGACATAAAATTTTAAACCTGTGAGAATCTTTAGTCTTATTCATCAAAGATGACTACCACTAAGAAATAGAAATATAGATTAACAACCAAGCTCTCAGGAATAGCTGATCATAACATACTAGATGTTTTCTCAAAAGCGTGTGACTAAATCTAGGTACAAATATAAGCACTTAACAACTAGAAGTATTTCTATACTTTATGGCTCTTAGTAGAAAGAAACCAAGACAGGTGGCTTGGCTCCAAAGAGATACTTCTTAACAAATATTTTTCACATACTTTCCCCAGATGATTAAACATGAAAACTTTCCTTAAAGTAGAAAAGGGAACAATGAGGCCAGGGACAGTGGCTCACGCCCGTAATCCCAGCACTTTGGGAGGCCAAGGTGGATGGATCACTTGAGGTCAGGAGTTCAAGACCAGCCTGGCCAACAGGCAAAACCCCGTCTCTACTAAAACTACAAAAGTTAGCCAGGCATGGTGGCGGGCACCTGTAATCCTAGCTACCAGGGAGGCTGAGGCAGGAGAATCAGTTGAACCCGGGAGGCAGAGGTTGCAGTGAGCTGAGATCATACCACTGCACTCCTGCCTGGGCAACACAGCAAGACTCCATATCTCAAAAAAAAGAAGCAATGAATTATGTCAATGTATGATTAAGGTTTTAATCAAATCATCTGGATTTTTAAAAATCTGTTATTCTAAAACTCACTCCTATTCCTCATTCACAGTAAAATGGACCTAAAGTTAGCAATTTCTAGAGAAGATGTCTTTTTATAAAACTGCCAATAAAACTTAAATCACCAAACTTTTACAGAAGAAAATTAGGTGTTTACTGAAAGAATTTGTAAGTAATCAAGAGTACAAATGAGGTGGTAGATAAGTTATTTAAAGACAAAAGTCATGTAGCTTGGATCAAGATCTATGTTTAAATCACAGAAATAAGCAAACTCAGTGGTTTCTAGGATGGTCTATTTAAAAGACCTTCTGAGCAAGGCAGTAGAAGCTGTGTTCATTCCAGGTGATATAAGGAGGACTATCATCACACAAGTGTTTCTATAGCTAAAAGTTCTCCAGGCAAAAGTAAACACATCTGAAAGATAATCCTTGATTTTATTTCATACTATTTATCCTGTAGACAATCTATTTATCATCTTGTAGATAATCAGGTCTATTTCTGCTATAGTAAAATAAAAATTAAAAAAAAAAAAAACCAACTCTACACATGATACACAATGTCCATGGGGAAGTCCCGGTAGAGTGTGAGGGAAAAAAACAAAGCTGCCCAATAGAACTGGCTGTTGCCTGTCATTTAGTAGAAGGTACCTCATCACTGAGATTGGACTCAAAAGTGCAAAAGAAAAAAAAAATCTTAAAAATCAAACCTAGAATTCAACTTTGTATGTTGAGATTCAGTTTTATTTATGCTACCAGCTAGGTAAAAAGCATACATATTGTGTCTGTGGTACAGTCAATACATCTGCAACTTTTCTACTTAAATTCTCTATACAAAGTCACTGCCAATTGATATGATCATTGATGGCAAAGGGCTTAGAATAACCAAAAGATATAAAAAAGTTTGCAGTCTTGCCCCAAGATACAAAAACTGAATTTTAAACAATATCATAACATACATGATTTAAACATTATACCAAAAAAAGTCACATCAAATCAAGTACAAAAATATCCAAACTACCTATTATGAACTGTAATGTTTCCATTATTCTGCACAGTATTTAACATAGAATTTAGCAGTTTCCAAAATATTCAGTTTATTCATTATTTAGTTTAAGCATTGCCACCTTTGCAGAACAGTGAGACATTAGGTAGAGTGACGCTGCTTTTAGTGTTTTAAAAAATACAAAACCTTTCCCTATGAATGAAGGAAAAGAAATTCCTCTTATAGGCTTCTTAGCAACCAACCTTGTGCCTAGAAATACAGAAGAATACAACTACTGTTTAACAGGGGAAAAGTATACTTCATCAACAGTCATCCACTAGGAATAACAAACGTAATTTTAAATTTTTTTGTCTGGTAATTTTAAGGGATTCTCAATATACACACAGATTAAGAGTTTTTTGCCTTGGCAAAAATAAAACTGAAGTTGCAAGACAATCTGAATTGAAACCATCTTCACTAATATAACTTGCAAAAAATATTTTGGATGAAAGATTACAATACATTATTAACTTACTTTTTAAACACAGAGTAAAGTTACTCTTGGTAAAATTAACTCACCCACATGGCACATTATTTTTGAAGTATGTTCAACAATAACAACTTGTACACAAAATAACATAGGTGAATTAACTTTGAGAACTTCTCTGCCTTTAAAATCAGCAATACTGGATTATTCTGTAGAATGATATACATATCGATGTTCTGCAGATAAAAGGCTCTAAGACGTTTTAAAGGGCTAAATTTTCTAGCACTGGAATGATTCCTTCATACATAACAGGTGAAGAATTAATAAGAATGTGTTTCTCCTAATCTTCAAGCTCTGAGCCATGCCTGACAAGTTCTGAAGAGGAAAAAAAAAATTGTTTTAATCCAGTTTCTGTCTGCTAGGAGCAAGGCAGCAAACACATTTTCAACCCTTTATGAAAAGATAAAGCAGAACAAAAGTGAAATATATCTTCAGATTATAAACAGGATTGTATTTTGTAGTCCACCATCCTGATAAGGTTAAGGGCCCCAACGGTAAAAGACCTCAGTCTAAAGGTTGTGGGTCTGCAATCGGCATGGTATGAAGTACTTCGTCTAGGAGCTGGAGGGCCCGGTGTAAGTGAATTTCAATCCAGCAAGGTGTTTCTTTGATGCTCTGTCTTGGGTAATCCGGTCCCCAGCCTTTCACAAAACTCATCCTGAGTATGCATAAGCGACGAAGGTCATCAACACCAATTCCAGCAGCAGCTGACAGACCTAACAGAAAAGATTTGGAAGACATCAGAGGGACAGGGTGATCTCTTCCCATCCTCCCTACATTCTAAATTAATCAAGTGACCAGCTTTCTGTATTTCATTCTCCTCAGCATATAACTTCTCTGCTAAAGTGCCAAGAAGTAACAGTAGATCTAAACTTTATCAACAAGCTGCACACTTTTGGTTAAGGAACTTTACATTTCACATGTGTCTTCTAGCTACAACCAATTATAAAGTAAATTACCACAATCCACCAACACCTCACCTATTTTTTTCTTTAGAAGTGGAGGTGAAGGGATAAGAAACAACTTGTTTTTAAGAGGTAGTGCGTGTCCACAGGTTGCTTCTAAAAACCTTACTGTCTAAACAGCCTAGTTCAGAATAAGACATAACTAATAATGAAGCAGTTAATATTCTTAGTTCCACTAAGACCTCTTAGATGACCGAGATGAAGTCTCTCTCTCAATTTCAAAGTGTAACAGAGTAATACACTATTACTCAGTGGTGGCAACTGATGAGAATATGAAACTTAATAATAGTTCTGGATTCTTCAGTAAAAGCATGTTTATAACACTGAAACCAGCAAATTAATGGTATCACCCCAAATTTTAAAAAATCAAATTCTCTCAATGAATATGCCTAATCTACCTCTAAATTGTAAACTCCTGAACATAAGTCACAATGGAGACTGCATCTAATTTTCCAGTCAGAACATACAGTCATATAGTCCATCTGCATTCATCAATATTACAATGAAACTAATGGGAGGAATTTGCATGTACTGTAGAGAAACCTGCAGGGCCACTGCAGTTTTCTTAGCCAGTGTGATTTGCTTACCACACTGAAGAGGTTAAGAACAGGGGTTGAATGAATCACTAGTTATGCCTTCAGACGTGGAAGATGGGTGCCACGTGTTTCCATCATAAAAGTCTATAGTCAGGAGTTTAACTCTGCAGTAAAAAATTCCCCATCAGTGTGAAACCTGGCACACAGTTCAATTTTACCCTAAAATTAAAAAAAAGTCTACAAGTTATCAAAATACCACCCTCACTTAGTTTTCTCTCCATGTTTAGCATACTTTAAAAAAAAAATTGGAAAAGTGTCCAATTCTGAAATTGAAATATGCTTTCCTTACTAGAATAAAGCCAAGCACTTCAGTGATTACAACCCACCCTGGCTGGTGAGGCAGAATTATAATAAGCATCAACAAAAAAGGAGGAGATAGAACAGTATAATATAATAATCATCCCCTTTCTCCTTCATCCCATACTCCATTTTTGATACAAAAAGAATGCAAACAGGGTCATAGGCAAAAAGCAACTATTACAGAAGAACAGATTTTACCAATTCAAAAATGTCATCATCCCAGTAAAAAAAAACTTTAATTTCTATTACTGCTCAAAGAAACTAATCAACTGAGTAAATCAAGATAAAAATATCAACTATTATACCTTTAAAAAAGAATGAAAAGCATACTTACTGATAGCTGGAGCTATTCCACCTACTGATCCTGGGCCAGGGATGTTTCCTGCCACGGCTGCTGCCTGGGCAGCTGCTGCAGCTTGTGCAGTAGCCGCCTGCTGCTGCATCTGTCGATGACACTGACGCAAATCAAAGACCTTTTAAGAAAAAACATTTCATACTATGAGTTCATAAAGAAAAATTCCATACATTAAAAACCAATGCCTGACTTATTTAAAACTCAGTTTCATTATACCTCTCACATGAAAAGAATTAATTAAAACATGTAAACTTTTATGTACATTGTGATTGGTCTAAAACTAGTTAGGAAAGGTGGCTTGGAGCTCACCAAGAAGATCATGTCAACATCATGATGGCTTTGGCTGCCACACGCCTCTGTATCTTTTATCTAGTTCGAAGTGGGTCAGCTATTACTGTCCTTGTGGAAATCTGTGTAAAATGTACAATTAAGAAGTCCCCCTCCCCCTTTCATAATCAAATTGCTGAATTTTCCTTAGGCTGGAGTTGATAGCTTTGGTCGCCTGGCCAACTTTTTGTCTTATCATTTTTGCTTATTTGGAGGAGTTTAACAAAATGGCACTGTCGCTATATAAGAGAGATCAACATTTTTCAGAGATGCGTACTTTAAGCAAATAGAAGCAAAATAATATCCAGGACTTGTTTTAAAATACTTAAGAAACAACAACAACAAAAAGACTAGATCAAACAAATATAAAATTGTAACTACTTAATCCGTGCGATGGGTATATGGGACTTCATTAGTTTCTCTCTACATTTCTTTGTTTGTAAATGTTCATAATTTTTAAGGAAAAAAAAGGCCCAGTTTTAAATCCCATCACCGATACCTGCTAATTATATGGGCTGAGTTTCTTTTATCTATAAAATGGGAATGCTAAGTGTACATACTTTCATGAGGTTGTTGCAAACTTGGCATAGTATACAGTTACTTATTTTGTTTTTAGCCTCCCCCGTAGTCATTTATCTTTCAGGATGAGTTAAGGCGTTAATAAATAATTTTACTTTTATCAACCAAGTGAAGAACTGGCATAGTAAGGAAGGGGTTGCCATATCTACCCTTATATTTATGAAAGTACTGGAATGTTCTTTTAATATGCAACAAATTACAGATAATAAATCACATCACCTTTTTTTCTGGGGAAAAAAAAATCTTCCTAAAATATTTGTTTATTTGCATTTTTAAAAAGCATTGGAAGATTACACAAAAAGAATTTGCAGGAAAGGAGAACAAGGACAGGTTCTGAAGCAAGGCTGCTCAATGTCCACTGTTTTTAAATCACTTTAATTTCTGAACCATGTGGCTATACTCCCTATCTAAAAGGACATGAATATTTTTTAAAGTCCCATTACGTACATAAGGGGCCCAATACAAGCAAGCATAAATAATCTTGAAAATAAGAGAAATCTGAGAATGCATAATTTTTTAGTTGATGATAAACAATAGTTTTAGAACTTAAACCATAATTTTCAGATGCTTGAAAAAATTCTGATCATCTTCAACCATGGTATTTACATGAACCACAAAAACATACAATAACATACACTCTCCAAATAACAAATTGCACTCCTACTTACTCCTATTTCTCTACTCAGTGTCCATTTCCTCAAAAAACTTTTCCCAATTAGCACCAATGAAGGACAACACTCAGACTACCCTATTCTTTAAACAGACATGAATTTGTCCAATATACATATATGTATTTCCTGGACTATTAGGTCCTAAAATACTTTAGTAAAGAAAGCAATGACAGGGGCATGGTGGCAGATGCCTGTAATCCCAGCACTTTGGGAGGCCCAGGTGGGAGGATCACTTGAGCCCAGGAGTTCAAGACCAGCCAAGACCCCAACTCCACAAAAAAATTTAAATTTAAAAGAAAGCATGACAAAGTCAGGTTCTAGAAATCAGAAAGCCCACAACACCCAGAAGTGAAACCACTACTTCCTCAAATTTCTCACAGTCCATTCGTTTCAGAACTTCTAGGCTATGACATTTGGAAGGCATTACCCAGTACAGAACAAAGCAGGGACTCAAACATTTGAAAAGGTAAATAGCTCTACAACCACTTTTTTAAAGAAGTAAATTAATAAACTTTACTTTTTTAGAGCAGTTTTAGGTTCACAGCACAATTAAGCAGAAAGTACAGAGTCCCTGTCCCCACACCCAACCTTCCGCCACTATCAACATCCCCACTACAGTGGCACAATTGTTACAATCAATGAATTTACACTGACACATCATTATCACCCAAAACCCAGTTTACGTAAGGGTTCACTCTTGGTGTTGTACATTCTATGGGTTTGTACACATTTATGATGCTGAACACCTTTTCATATGCTTGTTTGCCATATGTGTATCTTCTTTGGTGAGGTGTTTGTTCATGTCTTTTGCCTTTTTTGTTGTTGTTGTTAAGATGGGGTCTTGCTATGTTGCCCAAGCTAGTCTTGAACACCTGGGCTCAAGGGTCCTCCCACATCAGCCTCCCAACTAGCCAGGACTACAGGCACATGCCACCATGCCTGGCTAATTTTTTTTTTTTTTTTTTTGGTAGAGATGAGGTCTTGCTGTTGCCCAGGCTGATCTTGAACTACTCCTGCGCTCAAGCAATCCTCCTACCTTGACCTCCCGAAGTGCTGGGATTATAGGAGTCAATCACTATGCCCAGTCTATTCTGCCCATTGTTTATTTTATTGTTGCATTATTTTATTGTTGAGTTTTAAGAGTTCTTTGTAATTTTGGATAACAGTCCTTTACTAGATGTGTCTTTTGCAAATATTTTCACCCAGTCTGTGGCTTGTCTTCTCATTCTCTGACCCTGTCTTTCACAGAGCAGAAGTGTTTCATTTCAATGAAGTCAGGCCTATCAATTCTTTCCTTTATGGATCATGCCTTTGATGTTGTATCTTAAAAGTTCTCGCTTTTTCTCTTGGCCAGGCACAGTGGCTCTCTCCTGTAATCCCAGCACTTTGGGAGGCCGAGGCAGGAGGATCACTTGAGGTCAGGAGTTCCTGACCAGCCTGGCCAACATGGTGAGACCCCATCTCTACTAAAAATGCAAAAATTAGCCAGGCATGATGGTGCAAGCTTGTGATCCCAGATACTTGGGAGGCTGAGACAGGAGAATCCCTTAAACCCAGGAGGCGGAGGTTGCAGTGAGCCAAGATGGCACCACTGCACTCCAGCCTGGGCAACAGAGCAAGACTCCGTCTCAAAAAAAAAGTTCTCACTTTTTCTCTTATATTATCTTCTAGAAGTTTTATAGTTTTGTGTTTTACATTTAGGTCTCCACAACTACTTTTTTTTAATCATCACTAACCAAGTATGGTGTGTGTGTGTGTGTGTGTGTGTGTGTGTGTGTGTGTGTGTGTGTATATATATATATATATATATATATATAATGTTATCTGGGAGTAGGGAATAAAACTTAATTATAATCTCCAAGATTCAAGTATGCCTTTAACATTAACACTCCCCCACCCCCACGAGTCATTTAAAAAAATAACCAAGTAATATGTCACACATAGGCTCTCTCCAATGTGTTGTAAATAATCGCAATTAGGATTGTTTCAGCCTGAATCTATGCTAACATCAGCAGCACATATTACAGGTTACCCACACGGATTAAACTTTATGACTTGCATCTGTAGATGCAGTAAAAATGATTCATTGGGCACCTCAGCAAACCTCCCTTCCACAGATTATTTACGTAATTATAGCACTCAAACCAGAAGACCTAAAATTATTCAGTTAGGTTCACTAATAACTAAAACCTGCATTGCCTCCTGACTTCACACTGTAACTAATCCATTGATAACGGATACCATAACAGATTCCATTTGTTACACTGGATGATAAAAATTAAAGCTATTATTGAAATGCTACTGTCTTCCTTTCATAATTTGACTAAATTGTTGACAAAGGCAATTCAAAGTAATCAAAGGCTTTAAATATTCTTTTTGGCTCAGATCCAAAAAATATTTCTGACCACCACTCCTGAGCTAATTTCTGCTTTAATTTATTTAACCATGTTTTCTGAATTTATTACAAAACCGTTACTTAACAAAGATGTGTGTCTCATAAAGATCACTGACAACATCTTTAGGATATTGTCTTTTACAACCAGGAGTCAAATTTTGCCATTTTCCTTTGACAAGGCTTAAATGCAATACTATATAATCTTAAATTAACATTAGGAAACAGTAATCCAGAATGAAAAATGCACCTGAACATAAACAAGATTGTGCTAAGGACATTCTAAGTTCTACTTGACTTAGGGAATCACAATGAGTGTTAATTGGGAATAAATTTAAATGAGGTTCATAATACCCTCTGACCTAGTCCACCAGTGGTTTAGAAGCATCTGCTGCCCCTTCCTCTAAAATAAATGTGTTCAAAAACAAACCCAACTCAATATTAACACAGGAAGTTTGCAAATCAAAACTACCACAATAAGATTATACTTCACACCTACTACAATGGCTAAAATAAAAAAGACAGATAACAAGTACTGATGAGAATGTAGAGAAATTGGAACCCTCACACCCTGCTAGTGAGAATGTAAAGTGGTGCAGCCATTTTGTAAAACAGTCTATCAGTTTCTCAAAAAGTTTACATAGAGTTATCTTACAATCCAGCAATTCCACTTTTAGGTATGTACCCAAGAGAAATGAAAACACACAAATACTTATACACAAATGTTCATAGCAGTATCCTTCATAACATAGCCAAAAAGTGGAAATCAAGTCCATCAATGGATAAACTGATGAACAAAATGTGTGTGGAGCACTATTCAGCCATAAAAAGGAGTGAAGAATTGGTATGTGCTACATGGATGAAGCTTGAAACATTATGCTTAGTGAAAAGAAGTAAGTCATAAAAGACTATATTACATAATTCTCTTCTATATAAAATGCCCTGAATAGGCAAATCTACAAAGAGCGTAGAATAGTGGTTGTCTAGAGCTAATGGAAATGGAGATTTGGGGGTGATAGTTAAAAGGGTATATGGAGTTTTTTTCCACAGTCATGAAAATGCTCCAAAATTGAGTAGTAATGACTGCACAATGTTGTGAATATACTAACAATCATTGAATTGTCCAATTTAAATGGGTGACTTGTATGTCATGTGAATTCTCTCTCAAAATCTCAATAAAGCTATTAAAAACTTGAAACGCCCAGTGCTAAATAACACAAAACAAAACATATTTTACTTTTGAAAGCAAAAGAACAAGGCCACTTAAAGAGAATTCAAACATTTGCTTCATTTAAAGCTTGTAAAATGTCATTTCATTACATCAGATTTTCGTTAAGTAAAAAATGACTACTATGTCATGAGAGAAGCAGGAAAAAAAGTCAACTTAGAAGGGTGAAAAAAACCACAATTTAGTCCTAGCTTCTTGGCTTATAAAATGAAATTATGGCTCTCCAAGTGTGTTTTCCTCATTTTAATTAAAAAGGGGAATGTGTGTGTGTGTGTGTATGTGTGTGTGTGTGTATGTGCATGCACACATTTGTGTACTCAAAGTGTGGGCACTCCTTCCAGGGGTGCATGCTATCTACATACAATTTACCCCAATAATATCATCTCCTGTGAAAATCTGATAACTTACAAATCCCTTAGTTACTGCTACCCAAAAAAACGAATGAAGAAAATGCCAATGGTTAAATTTTAAGGTATACAGTATTCCTCCCTTATCTATGGGGGATATGTTCCAAGACTTCCAGTGGATGCATGAAACTTTAGATAGTACTGTGCATATACTATGTTTTTTCCTATACATACATACCTCATAATGAAGTTTAACTTACAAATTAGGCATAGTAAGAGATTAACAACAACAGGTAATAATAAAACAGAACAATGTTAACAATATCCCAGCATCATTACCCTTGCACTTTGGGGCCATTATGAACTAAATAAAGGTTACTGGATGACAAGCACTGTGAGACCATGACAGTCAATCTGAAAACTGAGCTCGCTACTCAGTGACTAATGGGTGGGTAATGTAGACAGCATGGATATGCTGGCAAAAGGTTTTACATCCCAAGCAGAATGGAGTGAGATTTCATCATCTACTCAGAACAGCGCACATTTTAAAACCTATGAATTGTTTCTGGAATTTTTCATTTAATATTTTTGGACTGTGGTTGACCATGGATACCTGAAGCCATGGAAAGTGAAATTGTGGATGGGGTTGTACTTGTAACTGTCTCTTTCTGACTAGTAAGACTCTTCTAAAGAACAGTAATATACTTGGTAAACAGACATAATTATTTTAAAATCTTAGTTAATATACACAAATGAGATTTTTTTAAATTCCAAATATCTTGTCCAACAAGGTATTTATCTACTTTTCATGGTAAAAGTATGAGATCACTATTAAGATCTGTCCAAGACAGTGGTTTATCAAGTGATGACTTGTCTCACACCTTGGGGGCTTTTCAAAGGCCATCTGTACCAAAATATAAATAAGTCACAATGTATCTATTTGACATCCAAGAAATTACACTTGCACGATTCCACATTATTTAAGCTCAATTGTTTTAAATACTACTCCATATCTGATTAAGTTTATAAATACTATCTGGCACACAGTATATATTCAACACCATAGTTCTCTATCCAGTCACTTTAAATTACATAAATAAAACAAGAGACTTCTGAGTCAAGATGGGTTAAGTGGGTATACATAATCACCTTCTCTCTCTGCTTCAACCACATACAAATAACAGAAAAACTATTTAAAATAGTCATCCTCTCCAAACTGATCATGAAATTCATATGGAAACAATCCATACATCCAAACTGATGATAAATAAAACCCACAGTGGAGAGCAGAGACTAAAGATAGGAGGTACTAGGGGTATACCAAGACCATAAACAAAGGGCAGGGAACAGGAATTTGACTTCTTGGAATAATATGGAGAGAGACAACAGCCAAACTCTCTGGGGGCTACAAGTGGGCACCTGCCCATAAATCAAGTGCTGGTAAAATACAGCCAATTCAGAAGTACACCTAGGAATAAAATATTTGCCCACGGCAGGGAAAAGTTTCAGAGAAATCTAGGCAATCAGGAATTAGGCCCCAAGCATACCTGCAGAATGGAACTCAATTTCCTCAGGAGACAAAGTCCCCCTACTTCCTAAATTTATAAGATTTGGTTCTGAGATGTGAATCCCAGATGCCAGGGTAAGGCAAAATTGCCACATAGGGTGAAGCAATGACAGGAAGAAAAAATAAATAATAAAATGAGTGAATTCTCTCAAAACAAACTTGGCCCACGAATACAAAATGGACTACAAAACATATAAGGAAATCCAAAGCCATTAAAAAATAACAACAAAAGGCCAGGCGTAGTGGCTCACACCTGCAATCCTTGCACTTTGGGAGCTGAGTTGGGCTGATCACTTGAGGTCAGGAGTTCCAGACCAGCCTGGCCAACACGGTGAAACCCCGTCTCTACTAAATACAAAAATTAGCCAGGCGTGGTGGCACACACCTGTAATCCCAGCTACCGGAGAGGCTAAGGCATGAGAATCACTTAAACCCTGGAAGCAGAGGTTGCAGTGAGCCAAGATGGCACCACTGTACTCTAGCCTGGGTGACAGAGCAAGACTCTGTCTCAAAAATAATAATAATACAGCATAAATAACCAATACAGAAATTACTTGTGGAAAAAAACTGCAAAATACAAATAATTTCCACCTCATAGAGACAATTCCATTATACATACCAGTCTAGACTTATGGGTACATATAAACAAATAACAAATATCATGATATCATTTAACAAAAATGAGATCATAGTCTATGTATTGTCTATTTATTTATTTATTTTTGAGAAAGGGTCTCACTCTATCACCTAGTCTGGAGCACAGTGGCATGATCATGGCTCTCCGCAGCCTTGAACTCCTGGGCTCAAGCAATGCTCCCATCTCAGCCTCCCAAGTAGCTAAAACTACAGGCATGCACCACCACACCCAGCTAATTTTTTAATTTTTTTGTAGAGATGGGGGTATCACTTTGTGGCTTACGTTGGTCTTGAACTCCTGGTCTCAAGCAATCCTCCAACCTTGGCCTCCGAAAGTGCTAAGATTACACGCATGAGCCACTAAATCAGGCCTTATGTATTGTTTAATAACTAACTTTTCTATACACATGGATATCCTATCAATAAATATAATACTTTATTGCTTTATTCTATTGTTCTAACAGACTATAACTGATGCTCTATTGTTGAAAATTTTAACAGGGAATTGATGCTAATTTATTAAGTGTAATAAATAGCACCGCGATTATGTTTTTCAGAAGTCTGTATAGATTTGTGAGTTACACAGGAGTATTTTATGAGTTACTCACACAGAAATATTTTATGAGTGACTATGCTGTTTGGAATTGGCTTTCAACGACTCCAGGAAAAAAAAGTTGGGGGAGAAACACATTAAAGATTGGTAAAGTGCTGATAATTGTTGCAGCTGGATGATAGGTACATGTGGTTTATTATTTTCGCTATACTTGGCATGTTTAAAAGTGTCATATAAAAAAATTCCAACATTCTTTAACTGAACTATAACTGGAAATGAGAAACTGGGTTTGCTGTTGTGAGGTAATCAGGCAATTCCATTTTTATGGATGCTATGGGGCTACATTATTTTTATCCTAAGCAACTTCCTGGTAATAAGTTATGAGACACAGTTAATTCTACCAATTTACAATCACTGACAATGAAAATGTTGAGGATGACACACAATTAAAAATATATTTAGGCTATCTAATTACAACTGCCTTTCTCTTTCAAAAACAGGTTATATTATAAAGTAAAATTCAAACAGGTTGAATATATAACTAGTGAAAAATATTTCAGGCTTATCAGGTTCTTAATTTGAAAAGCTATTAATTTTAGAATTCTCTTCCATAAAATCCTGAAGATTGGCTAAGATGAAAGTCCAGAGTCTGATTCTTACAAATTTCAAGTTACAGGAATACAACTTTGGAGGCTTCACTCAGTATTTTCAAGAGCCTTTGTATTACTCTAAAACATGTAACAGGCCTGGCACAGTGGTTCACACCTGTAATCCCAGCACTTTGGGAGGCCAAGTTGGGCGGATCACTTTAGGTCAGGAGTTCGAGACCAGCCTGGCCAACATGGTGAAACCCCGTCTCTACTAAAAATACAAAAAATTGCCAGGCACAGTAACATGTGCCTGTAATCCCAGCTACTTGGGATGCTGAGGCACGAGAATTGCTTGAACCCAGGAGGCGCAGGTTGCAGTGAGCCGAGATCACGCCACTGCATTCCAGCCTGGGCGACGAGAGCAAGACTCTGTCTCAAAAATAAATAAATAAATAAATAAATAAAATAAAAAACAAAATGTAACAAATTGGCAACGATAAAACTAGATTACTGATAATGTCAATAAATGCCCTCAGAAAATGTGTTTTTTATACTTAAACACAATTTCTTATTATTTAATATATAAAACATTTTTCCATTCCTTCCACCCAGATTTCAATTCTTTTGACAACAAATAGAGCTTTAAGTCTAAAATATTCAAATAAAATTGTAACTAACCTTTATATATGCACTTGGGTAGATCTTATGAACAGCATCTCCAGGTGCACGCCCAGCTTCTCTGTCTAAGTAGTAACTCTGTACAAAGACCGCGTGGTCACTAAGGCACCTGACCCAAACATCACCTTCACCTTTACATTCCAACTGCACACCTTTGCCTATGTGCAACCTTAGGAAGAAAAAAGAAATTACATTTTATCTTGATAAGTATTTTAAATTAAATTTTAGTTCAGATTGTATAGCATGCTTAATATTGAAAAATTAAAAATAAAGATCACATAAAACCAAAAGATAGCTATTAACATTTTTGTATATTTCCTTTTTTCTTTTCCTGTTCATATCTAATAATGATGCACATATTTACAACACTTACTATGTGTCAGGAGCATGTAGTATGAATTCTCATTAAACCCTTACAACTCAACAAGTACTATTATTCTAATTTTTTTAGATAAAGAAACTAAGGCATACTGTCCAAATTGATAGCCACTAGCCACATGTGACTATTTAAATTAAATTAAAACTAATTAGAAATCCGATTAGTCAATCAAGTGAGCTATAATTTAAGTGCTCAATAGTTACATGTGGCTAGTGGCTACCGAACTGGACAGTGCAAATATAAATCATTTTCTTCATCACAGAAAATTCTATTAGGCAGAATGGCTTAGAGGTTAGGTAATTTGCCAAAGTCACATGACAGCAAGTGATAGAGCCAAGATTATGTTCTTTAGCACACACATCCTTAAAAGCCGAGATCATACAGTAGCTAAAATGGAATGTTCCTGTAATATTTCACTGTAAGCATTTCCATTTCATTATATAAACTTTTTTTTTTTTTTTTTTTGAAATGGAGTCTCACTCTGTCACCCAGGCTGGGGTGCAGTGGCACGATCTCAGCTCACTGCAACCTCCACCTCCTGGGTTCAAGCAATTCTCCTGTCTCAGCCTCCTGAGTAGCTGGGATTACAGGTGGACACCACCACATATGGCTAATTTTTGGTAGAGACAGGGTTTCACCATGTTGGCCAGGCTGGTCTCGAACTCCTGACCTCAAGTGATCTGCCTGACTCCGCCTCCCAAAGTGCTGGGATTATAGGTGTGAGCCACCGCACCCAGCCTCATTATATAAACTTTTAAACATTTTAATGACTGTATAAAAAAGGAAAAATTTATCATAATTTACTTAACCATTTCCCTTTTATTACCAATTTTTTTAACATTATAAGTAAAACTTTCAGAAACATGTTCTCATTTAATATTACTTCCTTTCAGTAATTTGTAGAAATGTATGATCACAGAAAATAAAATTTTCAAACTGAATTTCAAAAGGTATACTTACTATTCGAAACATAGAAACCTACTAACATAAAAAAGGCTATCTTTTATCATTATATGTTAAACAACAAAAACACCGACAATTAAGATGGAGTGCTTACAAATTCTGAGTTTTCAACATGACCTTTATTCCTTTATTTATATTTAAGAACACATATAATGTACATGGGAAAACATAACCTTGAATAAAAGACAATGTACTATGCTCAATTTTTTAAAGTAACTATCTGACTATACAATCAATACCTTGCTCTCTCAATGGCTTCTGTCCTGTGGACATTGGAGAGTTGACCCAAACAAAAGCGATCTCCTCCAGAAGGGTCCACGTATCCATCAACAGTAACAATAGGGCAGCTTGAAGGAACCTTAAATGTCTCTCCTACCTGAACATCCATTTCAAAGTAAGCAATGGAACACCAATACTCAGGAGCTATAGGAAATAAATGGGAAAGAACATCCTCCCATGAGAAAGATATAAGGCTTTCACTTGCACTCCACAACACAGTTTTTCCTAAAAGAAAGGGTAAAGGGAGGGGAGATGGAAATGTAATGCACCCAAAACAACTGGATTAAAATAACATAATGCATTAAAAGGTAGGAATTTCCATGTCTTCTATTTTCTAGCTCAGTACTTAGCACTGTTCTTAAAACACTAATTTTTTTTTTTAATTTCCAATTACCACTTATCCTCAAGTTCTAAAAGTCATTTTTTAAAATCTGGAATTTGGTTCTTACCTCAAAGGACCAGGTCAACTGAGAATTTAAAGAACAGAAATAATCAGAATCTAAAATAAATTATTTTACCATGGTATTTCATTTGACTACACATATTCTCTATGTAGTCTCAACTTTTATTTTTTAAAAACACACTGACCCTAAGATGTATTCCAGGGAACTGTCCTTGAATAACATCGACTCATGACATATTTTTATAGATTCCCTAATTGAGAGAAAGTGCATAAGCAAGTCAGCTATCCCATCCCTGAGTTAAGGTTAATTATACTCTAATCACACAGTTGTTGTACACACAGATTCTCAACTGTCTCTTGGGTAGAAGGTCATTTGTCCCACCTATGCCATAGCAAAAGGTATTTTTAGTGAAGTCAGGTCATGTTAACTACCACAATTTTAACTTTGGAGATGTATTTAGTGTACTCATTTGAACAATAATATATAATTTTAAATCACTGGGAAAAAAGAGGTGCTACTCTGGTTTACAAAGACAACTGATCAAGTATTTCTAATTTTTATTTGTAAACAACAATTATTACATCAAGCCCAAATACATAAAAATTATTTGGCTTTCCTGTTTTAACTCATTTAACAGATATCTACAGAGTATCTAGGGATCTTTCTAGGCACTGCATACACAGTAGAAAACAAAACAGCTACAGTCCCTGTTCTCACAGAGGTGCAGGGGCAGACAAATAAGCAAACAAATGAAATAACTCAGATAACAATGAACACTGTGAAGAAAATAAAACAGGGTATGGAACAGCAGATGATTGGGAAGAACACTTCAGACTGGATGGTAGGGGACATCCCATCTGAAAAGATGGGACCTGAATAACCTTTTATCTATGTGAAGACTGAACAGATTTCAAAGAGGAAGCGAAAGCAAAGACCCCAGGGTGGAAATAGGTTCGACATATTTAAAAGAAAGATTTATCTGTATCTCAATAAGCTGTTTATGAACTTTAAACTAGAATTTGAAGCAATAAAACTTTCAACAATCTTACTTTCAACAAAGTTACTTAGAATGACAAAAAAGAAACCCAGATCTTACGGAAAAAAAAAAAATAACCTAAAATGAAGTATGATTGATGCTTAAAATTTTTTTAAAAGAAAACAACTTGTAAAAGCTATGTACCCTAATTACTTTTCAAAATGCTGCCAAGCAATAAAATACTTTCCAATGCAATGAGGAGTTATCAAAACAGATCACATGAAGATTGGATAATTCAAAAACTTAAAAACTCAAATGTTTTGCCATGTCACTCTAATGAACTTGTCACAAAGATAAATATTTGTTTACATATATTTCATTATGCTTAGAACATAAAAACCAGTGATACACTAAGTGTCTTCACTGAGTGTCTTCTTAAAAAGCCAGTTTTGAAGTATTTATGAAATTATTTTCAGCCGGGCATGGTGGCTCATGCCTATAATCCCAGCACTTTGGGAGGCCAAGATGGGCAGATCACTTGAGCCCAGGAGGTCAAGGCCAGCCTGGGCAACATGGTGAAACCGCGTCTCTACGAAAAATAGAAAAATTGGCTGGGCGTGGTTGTGTCCACCTGTAGTCCCAGCTACACGGGAGGCTGAGATGGGAGAATCACCTAAGTCTGGGAGGTCAGGGCTGCAGTGGGCCATGAGAGTGCCACTGCACTCCAGCCCAGGCCACAGAGTGAGACCCCGTCTCAAAAATTTAAAAAAATATATATATATTGTCTATAGAAAATGTAATGTGAAGGTATCACATTATGCTATGGACAAGAAGCTTCAGCAAACAACTGATAGGTACACTGGTTAAACCAAAACTACAGAGATTGTCTAAGACAACAATTACCCAATGTTTTGGTGGCCAAAAAAAACACAACAAAAAACAGTAACAACACTTAAAAGTGGTCTTTACACAATCAGTCCAAATGTTAAATTGTTTTAAACAAGTATTTATAAAGCTAGGTAAAAAGAAAATGAGGGCCAGGCACGGTAGATCACGCCTGTAATCCCAGCACTTTGGGAGGCCGAGGCGGGCAGATCAAGAGGTCAGGAGTTCGAGACCAGCCTGACCAACATAGTGAAACCCCGTCTCTACTAAAAATACAAAAATTAGCCGGGCGTGGTGGCGGGCGCCTATAGTCCCAGCTACTTGGGAGGCTGAGGCAGAATGGTGTGAACCCGGGAGGCAGAGGTTGCAGTGAGCCAAGTCGCGCCACTGCACTCCAGCCTGGGTGACAGAGCGAGACTCCGTCTCAAAAAAAAAAAAAAAAAAAAAAAACAAGTAAAGCCAGATTACTAGACTGTTTAGGGATGTATTCATCACTTTAAAAGGGCCAGGCATGGTGGCTCATGCCTGTAATCCCAGCATTTTGGGAGCCGATGGGGCAGAGATCACTTGAGGCCAAGAGTTCAAGACCAGCCTGGATAACATGGTGAAACCCTATCTCTACTAACAATACAAAAATTAGCCAGGCATGGTGGCGGGTGCCTATAATCCCAGCTACTCGGGAGGCTGAGGCAGGAGAATGGCTTGAACCTGGAGGTGGAGGTTGCAGTGAGCCGAATTGCATGACTGCACTCTAGCCTGGGTGACAGAACAAGAGTTCATCTCAAAATAAATAAATAAAAATTTAAAAAATAAATAAAAGAGCAAAAAAAAAGTGATATCCATAAAAAGCAGGACAGTAGCTACCTCTGGGGAGAAGGAAAGAGGTTTTGACAGAGACAAAATTCATGGGGTAGGAGGGTTTCTGGGATGCCATAATGTTTTAGTTCTCAATCTGTGTAGTGGTTACATGAGTATTGGTTTTAGTGATGTTAGACTATATACTTACTTGTGTTACATACTTTTCTGTATATTACATTTCTCAAAAAAAGAAAGTTTATGAAAAGGCTAGACCCCTTGACCTACAAAAATGTTTAAAATCACAACACACAATGTAACACAGAAAATCCGTTACAGAAGATAATAAATATATATCGTTAAAAGAATGCTTCTGCCCCACTAATATCACCTTTTCCCTAACCAGAACAAGTATTTGCCTCTTAAATCAGCAAAAAGTTTATTAAACTATGACATCTACTGCTAGCCAGCACAGTAACCCTGGTTCTCACACTCTGGTGTCACTGTAATATGGCCTTTTGATCTAGAAATTCTACAAATTTCTTAAACTAAAATATGAGAAAAGTTATAAACACAAAGATGTTCCCTTCTATTTTTTTAAACAGCTAGAAGAAAAATTAAACCAACATAATCAATAACAGAACATTTACACAAAGAAAATTATGTAGACCTATTTAAGAATTTAAGACCCTTTGAATTAATCATTATGGGCGCTGTGTTTATGTTTTAAAAACCTTTACTGGAAATATATACTAAGATATTTACATATAAAACTAATATAGGATTTGCTTCAAAATAATATAGAATGAAGAAAGAGAGTGAGTATGAATGAAACAAGATTGGTCATTACTTGATAATGGCTGAAACTGAGGAATGAGTACAATGGGGGAACTTCCTGTATTATTCCGGTATGCTTAAAATTCTTTATGCTTGACTTATACACAGTGGAGTACTATTCAGCCATAAAAAAAATGCGATTCAGTCACTTGAGACAACATGGATAGAACTGGAGGTATTATGTTAAGTGAAAGAACCCAGGCAAAGAAAGACAAACATCACATGTTCTTATCTGTGGGATCTAAAAATCAAAACAATTGAACCCATAGAGACAGAGAGTAGAAGGATGGTTACCAGAGGCTGGGAAAGGTAGTGGGGGATTGGGGGAAGGTGAGGATGGTTAATAGTACAAAAAGTAGTTAGAATGAATAAGGTCTAATATTTTACAGCACAACAGGGTGACTGTAGCCAATAATTTAATTGTACACTTTAAAATAACTAACAGAGTATAGATTGTAACACAAAAGATAAATGCTTGAAGGGATGTATACCCCATCTTCCATGATGTGATTATCATGCATTATATGCCTGTATCAAAACATCTCATGTGCCCCATAAATATATACATCTCCTATGTACCCACAAAGATCAAAAATAAAATCATTTAAAAATATATTTTTTTAATTTTTCAAGCTTGGTGTGGTGGCTCACGTCTATAATCCCAGCACTTTGGGAGGCTAAGACAGGAGGATCACTTGAGGCTAGGAGTTCGAAACCAGCCTGGACAACATAGCGAGATCCCATCTCGGAAAAAAATAAATAAATAAATAAATAAATAAAATTATTAGCAGGAGGACTGCTTTAGCCCAGGAGTTCGAGACCAGCCTGGGCAACATGGTGAGACCCTGTTATCTACTAAAATACAAACATTAGCCAGGCATGGTGGCCCTTGCCTATAGTCCCAGCTACTCTAGAAGCTGAGGTGAGAGGATCGCTTGAGACTAGGAGGTCAAGGCTGTAGTAATCTGAGATCATGCCACTGCACTCCAGTTTGGGCAACAGAGCCAGGCCCTCTCTCAAAAATAAACAAGTAAAAATAAAAATATAATTCTTCATAATTTTCTTTTAATTAGGAGGAAAATTGAGTTTATAGTTTCCAAAAAATTAAGGTGATTAGCTGAAGTAATATATTTGCATCTTTTTATGCTAAGAAAAACAGATACGAAAGGATGAGAAAAAAATTCAAAATCTATGTTTGTGTTACAAGGGACTTTCAGTATTTTATTTTCAAGTGTTTTCTGTTTTATTACCTCTACAGTTTCAAAAATTATACACAAACTTTGAACTGAAGAAAGCTACTTAGCGATTTACTCTTTTGCATACAATTTAATCAAATAGTTTCTAAATTCCAGTTAACCAGAGATCCTGAATAGAGTGAATTATTTTTCTTTTCGGCATGTACTTAAGATTCTTTCCTGGCTTTTTAAGCTATAGTTTTACAGCTGTTCTATTTTGAAACCTAGTTTTATTCTGCTGCATATTTATGTATTCAATGCTGAAGTCAGCATTTCTGTAATTCTCATTTTAGCTGAAAAGATAGTTCTTTTCTTTTGGGGACAGTTAAACTGAATAAAATATAGACAGTCTATGTGTGACTATATTGACTACTCAAACTGTTGATTAACTCATGTCATGATGAGTATTGTACTCATCTGAGAAGTGACCCCATAATTCCATTAAAGCCTGTGTTTGTGCGTTTCAATCACCACTAAATCAATCTAAATACAGGAAATCAATTTTGAAATACACTTACCAGGATGATTGGAAATGGGAGGCTGGAATGCAAGCTCATTGTGAACAGGCCCTAAAGAAAAGACAACAAAAATTCCATTTTTATTTACTAAAAGTTGTCTAATGCTAAAACTTTCAGTAAATCTTACTTAAATATAACTATTATAGGTTAGGAATTGTTTAAAACAAGCTTATGCAATGTCTAAGAACTTAAAAGTTTACAATAAGCAAATAGTCTTAAACTATTAATACTTTTGTGGATATTTAATAACTAACATTTCAGTGCTATCTGCCAAGTGCTATTATTACACAATTTACACATAATTTTATATCCAACATTTAATACAGATCATAAATGAATTATTCATGTAACGTCCAATACAGTACAATTTATAATGCAATGTATAATAATAAACTGTTAGGTCTATTCTAAAAACAAGTGCTTATGTTAATTAAGGATGTTTATTTAATGGAATCATAGCTAACATAATTGAAAACTGGTAATGTGTTAAAACACTGTGCTAAACACCTCACATAAATTATTACGTTTACTTCTTACGAACACCCCTTGAGGTAGATACTACTATTATTACTCTTGAGGCTTAATGAGGTGAAATAACTTGTCAATGGTCACACAGCCTGTTAAAGGTCCAAACCCAGCACCCTTCAACACTATGACGGCCTAGGCAGCCATTAAAAATTACATTCTCTTAAGAAATGGAAAAAATAGTAACATAACTGAAAAGAAGCAAGATATATACAATACACATAGAGTAGGAGCCCCTGTCAATTTACATATACCTGTTTATATGACTGGAAGGAAAATAACAAAATATTAGAAGTGGCTGTTTTTGAGTAGCAGGATTCAGGGTAATTTTGCTTTTCTTATTTATACTTTTCTATATTTTCTAAGTTTTCTTTGGTACTATTAATATTATAATGAGAAGAAAGGGATTTAATGTATATAAGAGTTATACTCTCGATTTTACTAAGCCATATGAACAATGCTCCTATTCTACCTGAAACTACATGTTATCTGTAGGGTATTCCTCCCAATCATGCCAGCACAGAGTTATCTATAGATTCAACATTATCCAAAGTACACTGAATACTACGCTGAGGGAAACCTTGAGAACTTAGCACTCAAAGGGTTTCAATCCATTATGCGTGGATATACAAGACACAGATGAGATCTAAGAACATATACAAAGCAAACAAACAAATGAATGGAAATCAATGTGATGTTAATGAAACATTAGCAACAGAGAAATAAATGTATTTAGCAAACATCACTCCTCTAAAATAAAAAGGTAGGATAACTATGAAAAATAATACTGTTTACAAAAAATACTGAAAAGCACTATTTAATGAAACAAAATCACAGGATGAATAAAAGATGTAAAAACATTTTTAAAAAACAGAAAACAAAGCCCTACCAAAAAAAAAAAAAAAATAGCCCTTACAACAAAAACAAGAGCTTACAGTAATGTCCGGGATGGGGCGGCATAGGCGGGTGGTGCTGAAGATGGCCGTTTTGGTGGTGAGGCAAATTAGGTGTGTATGGTGCAGTCCTACTTCCAGTCCAGGTGGTAGTGCTGTCTAAAAATTAAGGCCCACATGGGTTAATTTGCTTTTATAAAGGCTGCCTACTTTTTTCTCAACTATTTAAAAGATTTTTTAAAGTATGTACATACTATGATGGTAAGTAGCTGGCTGACCAGTAAATCCATTCTGCTGCTGTCCTGGCTGAGGCCCTGATGCTATCTGCAACAGTCCTTCACTATGGCTGCCCCCCAGTATACTGGCAGGCTGACCTAGAGGAACAAGAAGACATTAACATGGTACATTCATAGATGTCATCTTATGATTTCATATACTAAATGAAGGACCAATTTTATCTGATAATGCACAACTATAAAGATGGGCAAAAAGTGTAACTCACCCATGGCCTATCAGGTAAAAAACCTACAGTCATCTATAAAGGCAAACTTTAACTTGAGGAAGCTCAAAATTATTCCATTTTAGGTAATGTCTAACTAATTGTAGTGGCTTATTTCTTCACAAACATATTTCAAATGCCAGCAAAACACCACTGTACGTCTGGCCTATCATATTAACTTCTTCAGAGGTATGTCAGTTCATCCTGGCCACTCCATCCACCTCTCTCTCTGGACCTTTCTGATTAGGACCCCAAAAATCCAGGCTCAAGAAAATGTTGAAAACTGAAAAATTAATCACTATCAGCACTGATACTAGTAATGGCAGAATGCTAGGGTTTGACAGAGAAAAGCAGAGCAGAAAATTATTTTAAATAGGATGTGATAGTGAAGATGAGGAAGTTAAAAAGATCTAGCTCTGCTGTCCAATCAATATACCATTTACTGGTTAAAAACAAACAAAAAAACTATCAGTCTACTTTCAAATTTTTTCAAGAGCTTTTATAAACCAAGAATCATTTCTTTTCAAGAACACCATCATATTCCCAGATGTACAAGAAATTAATTGCCCTCTCTGTATGTAATATACCAAGAGAATCAAGCTTCTCTTGGCTTGTATTCTATTCAAAAACCATCCTATGATATTGCTTACTGTCCTACATTTTTAAGGCTTTTTTTTTAAAGTGGAAATTTGGTTTCTTAAAGAGCATTAATTAACTCGACTGTTAATCCTATTTGGAAAGCACTAAAGTTATAATTATTTATAACTGGCATCACCTCATTCTTTTCTAAATGGGAGTATAATCAGATGGAAGAGAGTAACATGTCACCATTGCTCAAAGTATCAAAGAAAAGGAATATTTTTCTTTTCTTTACATATCACATTTCCTTAAAGCTAAGAATTACAAAACCAAAAGCTAAAGAGAATATTTCAATACTCCCCAAATTATTTATCTGTAAAAATGACATTTTAGCAACCTCCCTTCCTACTCATCCCCCAGATTCTGCAAGTTATCTTTAAAGGTTAATTATGGTTTTGTTCATATTTTTAACAATTCTACAGGCAATACTCTTAGCTAACTTACAAAAATTGTCATTAACTACACAGGATAAATTATTTTAATTTACAGGTATTTAAAAGGAAATTCTTAAAATATTCAGGTGTCAAAAGAACATAAATTGTAAAGTGACTCACTGTAGTTATCCATACTGAATACTTCCCTTATACAATTCTAAGTATGTAAAATAAAGTTAAACAATACGACTAAATCAGCTCACGTAAAATAGCCTTTCAAATCTTCTATTTTAGTTCAACTTCTTTTCATCAATATACTTTTTGAGACCTAAGGGAACCCTCTTTTTTTTTTTTTTTTTTTTTTTTGGAGATGGAGTCTCGCTGTGTCGCCCAGGCTGGAGTGCAGTGACTCGCTCTCTGCTCACTGCAAGCTCCGCCTCCCGGGTTCACGCCATTTCTCCTGCCTCAGCCCCCGGAGCAGCTGGGACTACAGGCGCATGCCACCACATAAGGGAACATTTTGACACAAGTTCTAAAACTTACAGTATTTACGGTATTCGATTATTAAAATCTACCCAATAAATACCAGGATAAAATTAGCTGCATTTCATTTCTATCACTTTTTCTAATCTTTGAATAGGATTCAACCTCAGGAAACAACACAGTCAAAATGAAGTCACTTTAGTAAGCATTGACAAAGGCACAGAAATTCAATCTCCAGATAATATAAACAGAAGTAGGTAGCTGTGCTCTAGCACTAATCTACGTTCAAGTGGCTATAATGTACCTTCTTTTATTTTCTATCACTACCCACTGTTTGTCAACCATATTCCTAATTTGGTAAATAAAAAGTAGACAGATAATAGAAGCACCAAGTGATTAAGGAACTGGGTTCTCAAGTGCTTAACCTATATGACCCATTTAGAATATGCTGCCTATAGTGAGACTGTCATCTCTTAGATAGCAAACCAAAAACATGTTGCTTTGAAGTGGTGTAATGAATTAAAGGGGAAATTCTGGTATACTTCACTTGAAAACTCACAATTACAGAAATCAGTCCCCCATTTATTCCAAAGATCAAAATTTCTATGTTGAATCTAATCTGATAGTAAAGCAAATACAATAATGGTACTTTCGGTAGCAACTAACACAGTATTAGCCCAGAGCTGTCAAAAATCTATTCTGATGTGGGTTTACATAAATTCCTTTAGCAACTGCATGCAACTAACACCATACACATGCCAAGACAATGCTCTATGATTAATTGAAAAAAAAAAAATGAAAAAAAAGCTACTTCATTTGCCAAGCAGCAAACTATCAAACCTTTGGTTACTGTGAAAATAAGTAACAGAACCAGGTCATATGATCATGCCCCCAAAAACCTGAACCTAGCAGCCCCTCTCCCTCCTATGACATGGCAGAAAAGAAGGATCTTTCTGAAACACTTTTTTTTTTTAATTACACATATATTTTAAAAAGAGATATAGAAGTTAGCTTATATCAAAATTGACTTAATTAATGTCTATCTTGAGCAATATATAACAAATTTGTCAAGATCCCTTTGCACAGTGAGAAAATCAGACAACTACTATAAGGTAATATTGTCCCAGAAAAACCAAAATAAGAACACCGCATTAAAAGAAAGGTTGCAATTCCATTAACACAGACCTTCATAAACATCTTGGATCAAAACTACTTGTTAATTATTTAAATATTTCTCCAAAATATATCTGGGAGCTTAAGAGGCTACTTACTGCTACATGTAATAGTAAAGTATAAATCAGATCATTAATTTAAATCAATATTATAATCAAAGCCATTACTTAAATTCCAAGTGATTGTGCATACCTGTTTAATACCTGTTTACCTATGAAAGATACTACAGTTACTTTTAATGTTTACTTACTTGGAGTTTCCCCCCAAGTGACTACACATAAATAAGCAATGATTAGGAAAACTCAACTTGCTGACTACATCTGATTCTAGAACTCACTTGTGGAAGCCACAGGAATGTTGGGAAAGTTGGCAGTGCTGGTAGCATTAGACTCAGATGGGGCTAACAGAGCTGGGGTGCTGTATGTCTCTGTCGATGCACGATTACTTGGTGGATGCTGGATGGTTTGAATTGAATGTCCTTCAGTGGACAACGATGGCTGTCCCTCAAAGTCATGCACATATTCATCCTTCACCATCATACTTGATGGAGCTATATAGAAAATTAAACATATTTTAAATTTTTATAAGCTTCTATTCCCAGAAAAAAAAATCTTATTAGCAAGTAATATAATAACACCTAAAATCAATTACAGTGTAAATTACTAACCTTAATTCAGAATTTTTTCATATTATTTTAAAAGCATACTACTTTACCAGCAAAAGTCATTTATTCAGCGGTAACAGCATGAGATATATTTTATCAATCAATCTGACTCTCAAATTTGAAGCTAGTCTATGTTTCAACAGCCTCCAGCAACAATCCTAAAAAGGTACTCCTCAGTTTCTTGATAAACCTAGAAGAATAATCACCTAAATACATAAGGCAGGCAAAAACCGAATGGCTGGAAAATGTGTCCAGCTGAGAAAAACAATTATTCGGTCTAAATAGAGACTGAGTATTTAACTATATCTTTTTGTTAATTTCACACTGTGGAGATATGAGTGGGATCTGATAGATATCCAATCCCAGGATCTAGAATTATTGTTAAGCAACATATTCTTTAAAAATGAAGTGTACTGAATGTAATGTCCCCTATAGGTTTAGAACCAAACGGAAAAATTATAAATGAAAAGTCAAACTGAAATTTCCCTCTAGAAACCCAACCCAAATAAGAGTATTTGATTAATATATGGTGTGAGAAAACTCAGTAATCAACATCTTTCACCTATGTGATTACACCTTCATAAGCAAAGCTAGATTCCAGCTGATACAGCATAACATCTTTCCATTAACCAACCAGGAAATAGTTAGCTCTGCTGTATGACAAAAAGAAAACTGAAACTGAACTGCATTAACAATGTTAATTCTCTGCCCAGAACCTTCCCATTTGTTTTTAGGTTATTGTTTTAAGGTTTGCTTTTTACCTTTAGCAACCAATCCTTTATTGCTTCTAAACTAACACTACTCCAGAACTTAACAATCCACTGAACTAACAGTAGGTTCTCTTCTTAAAGCAGTCAATTAGTAGACCACAAAAAGACATTCCCTTTTTCATTAAGAACCAGCATATCATTTCCCTTATCTTTCCCTATGTCAACCTTTGAAAAAAAATCTACTACATGTAAATATCAGTTAAGTTACATGGGTACTTTTTATTAAATTGAGACTAGTTTAAGGCAGTAATAATCATCCATTGTGCAAGTTTCTATGTACAACCTCTTAAAAACCTCTTAAGAAGTATGTTCATGCATCAAAAGTCATGAAGATGATATTCTGAAGACCTATAAATCCCATTCCAAAGTTCCTCTTTAGAAATTTTATGGAAACAAAAAGATAATCAAAAGGATGCGTAACAAATTATGTATCAATAAAAAAAACTGAACACAACCACTCATCAACATTGGCCAAGTTATAAAAATAATAAAAAGAAAAAAATTGTTTGGGGCACAAAATTGGTATGTCTACACTTATTCAGCCTTATATTACACCCTTCAACAAAGTTCAATGATTTTCTTCATATAAATCCTGACATCTCTAATTAATTCCTGGACATCTTAGGTTTTTTTTGTTGTTATAATGACTGGGATCTTTTTACCAACTTACTGGTTTTGCTAGCTGATTTGAGGATACAACTGGTCAACTTGGTACTCACTGCTTTTGCTTTTCAGATGACTCTTCAGTTTAATCAGCAATCATAACATCTTTATGTACCAACTGTATTCTGCTTTTAAACAGTTATGACCCATAAATCTTTCTTGCCCTAAATATGCTGGCTAAACTTCCCAAATGTAAGTTTGAAACTTCTACTGGTCTACAGATCTCTTTAACCCCAGATAATCCATAATAAATGTTTCTCAGGTAAAACTAAAGGTATCAACAAGGATAGAAGTCTGCAATATATTTTTGCCAAGAGAATCAAAGCAAGTTACAAAGCACTATTGTACACTATGATCATATGCATGTTTAAAAAATCATATACTGTAAGTAAAAAACCAAGGTCCAGAACAGTATGCATAGTATACGTTTTGTGTAAGAAAGGAGGTATGTATTTTTTGCATATAGAAACCCTGGAAGGAAACACCAGAAACTAAAAAAAGTGATTACCTGAGGTAGGGGGGAATGGGGGCAGGGGTGGGAGCACTTCTTTTCACTGTATACCTTTTTATAGTATTTTGATTTATGGACCATGTATTGCCTATTCAAAAAAATAAAATTAAAAAAACATATAGTATATATTTTTTAAAGTCCAGAAAAACAGATACCAAACTGTTAAATATTTCTCTTTATGGGCTAGCATTCAACAAATTCATTCACTGAAAAAATATTTCTTGAGCACTTCTGTTCCAGGTACTGTTCTAGTACTTGGGATATATCCATAAACAAAACAAATATCCCTGCTGTCATGG
Source organism: Homo sapiens (assembly GCF_000001405.40). NCBI lineage: Eukaryota > Metazoa > Chordata > Mammalia > Primates > Hominidae > Homo > Homo sapiens. The sequence continues at coordinate 51,052,423 of NC_000018.10, read as the reverse complement.
AGTTTGCAGTCTTTTGTAATATTTTTCCATTGTTTAAATATCTAATAGCAAGCACACATTACTCCGGCTCCTCCTAGTTGCCTATTCTTGGGCAAGTTCCTTCACCTCTCCAGGTAGCAGTCCCTTCATCTGTTAAAGTATAAATAATCCCACCTCCCATGTAGAAGTATCATGAGAATGATGACACAATACTCAGAAATCATTTAGCTCAGTCTGACCTGACACACGAGTACCCAGTGTTAGCTATTATTATTTAACCATATTTTTAGAGTAGTTATACATATATATAGTGATTATAAAATGTTCTAAGAGGGCTGGGTGCAGTGGCTCATGCCTGTAATCCCAGCACTTTGGGAGGCTGAGACGGGTGGATCGCCTGAGGTCAGGAGTTCGAGACCAGCCGGCCAACATGGTGAAACCCCATCTCTACTAAAAATACAAACAAAAAAAAATGCTGGGCATGGTGGCGGGCACCTGTAATCCCAGCTACTCAGGAGGCTGAGGCAGGAGAATCGCTTGAACTCGGGAGGCGGAGGTTGCAGTGAGCCGAAATCGCACCATTGTACTCCAGCCTGGGCAACAAGAGCGAAACTCCGTCTCAAAAAAGAAAAAAAAAATGTTCTAAGAGGGTCAAAGAATATATTCTCTATAGGTGACAAAAAAGCTGAAACCACTGGGCCCACCTTAGGTCTGTGTTCTTTATCATCACCAGCAACCAGGACACAGCACCTATCTCATGGTATTATCACTCTCTTATTTACTTTTTCTCTCCTCCACTAGAGTATAAGCTCACTTGAGTAGACAAAACATACCTTATTATCTAAGCATCCCTGGAACCTAACACAGTACCAGGCAATACATGCTTATTAAATACTTGTTAAAATGAATACACAGGTCAACGTGGTCATAGAAAGTTTCATGAAAGGTAAAAGATAGGCTGGAAATGATTACCACAAGACTTTAACTCAAAAATGAAGGAACTGTCCCATTTTCTTAACTTTTAGTTACCTGCTCTTGTATCATTCCTTTGTCCAAATCTAGAAGGAGCTGTGAGAAATACCAGTTGTTTTCTGAGGAAATAAGACACTGAAGACAGCCTTTACAAAACCACCACTAGGGGGATCTACAAGGCTGAATACAGCCCTACAGTCACTATAGAAAGGCTATCAACCCGTACAATCCCATCAATAACAGTGCATCAATAATTTTAGAATAGGGGAGGTGTGTGATGAGCACTCAGAATTTGAACCCCCTCACAAACAGCCCCATAGAGAGATTCAGACACACTTATCATTGCAGTCTCCCAACCTTTAATACCCACTGAGACAAACGTTTTCTCCAAAAACATGGATGGAAAATGGTGAAGATATGAAACGTGTTTACTTTCAAAAAAAAAAAGAAGTGATACAATATCAATGTCTGCGTAGCAAAGAAGCAGAGTTTTCACCAATCTTAAAGCAACCCTTCCCAGACCACCACAACAGCTCCTAATAATAAACCCACACTTGTCAGAAACCTACTAATCACTAACAAGCACCACAAGGCAGTGAGTCTTCCTCCATTACCAGTGATATGGGAGAAAGGTGGAAAAAAAAAAACAAGTAGAATTGCATACTCTTCCTAAATTTTGGTTAAGGTCACCTAGTATTTCTGACCCACCTCTAAAATTCTACAAACAAAAAAGGTGCTAAACTACTACTAACTGCCCTCCAGAACAAGAGCACACCTTTCTAAGATGACAGTGGTTCCTTTTTTTTTTTTTTTTGAGACAGAGTCTCGCTTTGTCAACCAGGCTGGAGTGCAGTGCCACTATCTCGGCTCACTGCAACCTCTGCCTCCCGGGTTCACACCATTCTCCTGCCTCAGCTTCCCAAGTAGCTGGGACTACAGGCACCCACCACCACGTCCGGCTAATTTTGTATGTTTTTAGTAGAGACGGGGTTTCACTGTGTTAGCCAGGATGGTCTCGATCTCCTGACCTCGTGATCCGCCCTCCTCGGCCTCCCAAAGTGCTGCGATTACAGGAGTGAGCCACCGTGCCCAGCCTCCCCCCACTTTTTTTTTTTTTGAGACAGTTTCGCTCGTTGCCCAGGCTGGAGTGCAATGGCGTGATCTCAGCTCACTGCAACCTCCACCTCCCGGGTTCAAGCGATTCTCCTGCCTCAGCCTCCTGAGTAGCTGGGATTACAGGCACCCGCCACCATGCCTGGCTAATTTTTTATATTTTTAGTAAAGACAGGGTTTCACCATGTTGGCCAGGCTGGTGTCAAACTCCTGACCTCAGGTGATCCACCCGCTTAAGCCTCCCAAAGTACTGGGATTACAGGTGTGAACCACCGTGCCTGGCTGACAGTGGTTCTTTATAAGAGTTTCTCTGCAAATTAATTAGTTCTTACAGAAATTTTAGTTTATTAAGTTCTAAGTAACAGAGCTAAAGATTTAATAAAACTCCATTCTCAAATATTACAATAAAAAACAAAAACACCCCCATTCACATTTCATTTTCTCACCTTAAAACACTTTTTCTTTTTAAAAATACAATTAGGTAAGCTGTGATGGGCATATGCTTTAAAGTAGCCTTGATTTATTTACTCAAAATGTAACAAGACTGAAAAAATACAAAAGAGTGCAATTTTAAACCATTCTCAACATTATCATTCATAAAAATGTTAGGCTGAAATGAAGGAAAATTAGAATACTGGTATTTTTAAAGGATATGTTATATGTGATTCCAAATTACCAAATATTCTGGGTATTTAACATCCATTTAAACTGGCTCTGTGAGATTTTCTTCAAAAATAGGTCTTAACTCAAAAAATATTCTTTATATTTGTTTTTGGTGCATTCCTCTATCATATTTTTTTACAGTACTTTAGTTCATAAATTGCAGTTCAAATACAAAGAGCAATAGCCAATTTAAATCCAGTTTTAAATCCAGTTTTAAATGCCCCTAACCTCAAAATCTACATTTCCAAAGCAGTAAGTTATTTTCTTGTTAATGTTACTGCCTGCCGCTCACACAAACTAATTCTAGGTCAACAAAAAAACAGAGAGGATAGGACAAAACAAAGAGAAAGTAGTAAGAAACAGATTACCTACCATTACTCTGCAGTGTTAATCCTGAGAGATCTTAATTGTTTAAAGGGGAAAACAAATGAAACATTAATCATTACAATGAAAGTATTTTCCATTTAAAAACAGAGAATGTAAATTTAAACCAAAGATTACAAAAGTTCATGAACCATTTCAATTCAGAAGTAGCATAAACGCTATCTAACAATACATAACTAAGTATTCAAATTTATAATGCTTTCCATCTTATTTCTCAAAAACAATGTTCTAAAGGGGCAAAATATCAACTACAATACTCGGTTTTAGCAGTCAAAATATAAGTTTGTTCCTAAATTCAAATTTAAATACGTATATTAAAAATGTCTGATTCTTTAACCTTATTTAAAGTCGCGGGCTATCTTCCAAATTTATAATTTAACTTACAAAAATTGAAACACTATTGAGATCCTTTTCCCTTTATGTTTCTTAGGATGAAAGCAAAGTCTACTTACCAATTCCAGGTGATACAACTCGTTCGTAGTGATATGGATTCACACAGACACTATCACATTTTAAGTCAAACGCATACTGACAATATTTAACATGTTTTAGTTCATTTTTGTGAAGATCAGGCCACCTCCAGAGACGGGCATAGATCACATGAGGAAATCCTTTCCGACCAGCCACCTAGAAAAATAAACGACCATTTATTCATGTGTCACATTATGCAAGACACTTTTATATATTCTGATTTAATCCTCACAATCCTACCAACTCAGTATTACAATCCCCATTTCATAAATAAGAAAACTAAAATTCACAATAACTAACTTGGCCATGTCATACATCAGACCTAGAATTTAAACCTTGGTATAATTTCAAGGCCTGTGCTCAGGTTTTAAAAATGTAAAAAGTGACTGGGCATGGTGGCTCACACCTGTAATCCTATCACTTTGGGAGGCCAAGGCAGGAGGATCGCTTGAGCCCAGGAGTTCAAGACCAGCCTGGACAACATGGCAAGACCCTTGTCTCCACAAATAATAAAAAATTACCCAGGCATGGTGGTATGTGCCTGTAGTCCTAGCTACTCAGGAGGCTAAGGCAGGAGAACTGCATAAGCCCAGTAGGTCAAGGCTGCAGTGAGCCATGTTTTGCACCACTGCACTCCAGCTTGGGCAAAAGTAAGACCATGTCTCAAAAAAATAAAATAAAATAAATAAATATGCAAAAAGACTGTGTTGCAGAAACTATGTGTAAAGTCTTGAAATAAAACTTTAAAATCTACGACAAAATTTCTGTAAGATTTATTTAAGCAAGGGAGCTGTATTATGAAGTTCTACCTGAAAAATGTGACCAATGAAACATTTGCTAACAGTGAAACATATCAGATTTCTAAATTATAAAAGGACTAAGTGTAATCCGGTTGTTTAAATGTACATACAATATCAAAAAAGAAAACAACACGACTGGGCACAGTGGCTCACGCCTGTAATGCCAGAATTCTGGAAGGCTGAGGCGGGTGGATCACCTGAGGTCAGCGGTTCAAGACCAGCCTGACCAACATGGTGAAACCCCATCTCTACTAAAAATACAAAAATTAGCCAGGCATGGTTGCACTTGCCTGTAGTCCCAGCTACTTAGGAGGCTGAGGCAGGAGGATTGCTTGAACCCAAGAGGTGGAGGTTGCAGTGGGCCAAGATCACGCCACTGTACTCCAGCCTGGGTGACAGAGCAAGACTCCGTCTAGGAAAAAAAAAAAAAAGAAAACAACAGGCTACAAAAATGAATACCAAAGTGCTAAAGGTAGTTCTTGCGAAGTGTGGGTTTTCTGCTTTTTATTTTTATTTTCCAAATTTTCTCCATTGAACATTTTTCTGAGTAGAACATTAAAAAACTTTAAGATTTTATCTTTTGCATATTCTTCCAGAAATTCCCATAATGCATATTTGTACAGGATGCACAGTATCTGAAGAGATGGAGCACAAATTAAATTACCCTGTAGTAGCTTGAAAGGAAACGTAGCAAGTTTTTAAATCTGCCACCATAGAGGGTATAGAAAAACTCTTATAAGACTAACCTGAAGCCTCCCATCCAATGTTCTCTGTATGGTAACACATTTACTAGGATGAGCTCCATTTGTAGTTATAGCTGTTATTAAAGAATCCAATTCATCTTTTTTCTCCTTCAGCTTCTTTACCAAACTTTCAATTGCTCTTTTTGCAAATGTTTCACTCTCTCCACCTTGTCTATGGCACATCAAACTATGCACAATGCTCAGACAGGCATCATTACTTGTTGGTGTATTCGTAATAGACATATTGTCCATTTGTTCAAGTTTTTCCTTTTAAATCAAATATGTCTCCAATTTCTGAAGCAATTTTGATCCTTTGGAAACAGTGAAAAACAACAGCTAACGTTGCAAGGAAAATTGTTAGACATGTATTCAGGATAACCTAAAAAAGAAAAAAAAAAAAGACACACATCAGAACACATTTTACGAAGTAGATCTGACTACTTGGGAAAAGATGAAATTGCTCTGGTTAAGTCAGAGATTCAATGCACATAATTAAAATTTGATGCTCAGAGTTGAAAATTACTTAAAATTCTTACAAAATATTAGCCATTAAAAATAATTTTTAAAAATAAAATTACTTAATTAAAATGTCACTGTTTTTGACATTCCAAAAATATTAAAGTTAGGTCTTCTCATTATGATAGTGGCATGCTCAATCAAGTCTTACTGACTTTACTAGTCACCCTAAAGGAAAATCTTACCAGCACTTTTTTAAAGGATTACTTATGAGGATCAGCACTAGTTAAACCTAAAAGTCTATTACTAATATTTATGAAAAATTTACCATCGCCTGGTATGAAATTCTACCTAGCAGTTAACACTCACCTTTGTTAAAAGAGACCAATTAAAAAAAAAAAAAAACCCCAATTTAGAAATGAACAAAAGGATTCTAAAGGACACTTCTCCAAAGACGATGGCCAATAAGCACATGAAAGATGCTCGACATTAGACATTATGGAAATGAAAATCAAAACCACAATGAGCTGCTACTTCATACCTACTGAGATGGATATATCAAAAAGACAATAGTAAGTATTGAAGAAGCCGAGAAATTGGACCCTCACTCCTTGGTGCTGGGATTACAAAATGGCACAGGTACTTTGGAAAACAGTCTGGTATTAATACAAAATGTTAAACAGAGTAAATATGACCCAGCAATTCTACTCTTCACACTTCTACTTGAGGGAAATGAAAACCCATGTCCACACAAACCTGTACATGAATGTTCATAGCAGCGTTGTTCATAATGGATACAACTCAAATGTCCATCAACTGATGAATGCATAGATAAAATTCCATACAACGAAATATTATTCAACCATAAAAAAGAATAAAGTACTAACAAATTATAACATGGATAAGCCTCGAAAACACATGCTAAGTGAAAGAAGTCAGTGACAAAAGGTCACACATTATATAATCCCATTTATATGAAATATACAGAATAGGCAAATCCACAGAGACAGAAAGTAAATCAGTGGTTGCCAGGGCCTGGGAGGAAGGGGAATGAGGAATGACTGCTAATGGGTATGGTGTTTCTTTGTTATAATGAAAAAGTCCTAAAAATTGATAATGGTGATGGTTGCACAACTCTGACTATAGTAAAAACCACTGAATTGTACACTTTCAAATAGTGAATTTTATGGTATGGAAATTATATCTCAATACAGCTGTTCTTTAAAGAGATCACTAAATTCCTCAAAAGATTTTACCTGTAAAAGCAGCAGGGTAAATTATTTTCAAAAAAATTAAAATAACAAAAACTGAAGATTAATAAAGAATCCATTCAACAGGTAGAAAACTAACTTATCTGATCCCAAGACCCCACAGAGAATAGGAAAAGGCCATTAGCTTAAGAATAAAGAAGATAAAGCAGGACTGGAGCCTGTACTTTGTGTGCTTGTTTGTATTTTATTTGTTCACTGAAGTTGCATTCCAGACTTATCTTGCTTTCATTTTCTTTTACTGCATACTTGAATCCTTAAAGTATCCTCCCACAAGATTAATAAAACTCATCATTCTACCAAAATCTCTTCCTCTTCTGAAGACCTTTGTTAAAGTATCAATTCCACTCAATTACCTAGCCTTGGGAAGCTTTGCAAAAGATCTCTGACGTGCCTCTTTCCTTCACTATCCCTACATTCCGTTACAGTTACAAGATTCTTTACCTCAGTCTTTTCTATCTCTCCTCCCATTCTCCCTGCCACTGTTGTAGTTTTGAGCCTCTTCAGAATGTACATCAATCACCTGATATTGAAGACTTGCTCCTCCCTCTGTTGTTATCTCTTTCACATAAATGTCTGTCTCAACTCATAAACCCCATGCAGAGAAGCAGTTTTTCATATGTCTTAGAGCACTTGCCCACATTAATACACATGCTGAAGGTACACTTTCCAAATAACCAAAGATAACCTGCATGGGAGATTTTGGAGTCAAGAGATTTGAATTAGAATTCCAGTTTTCATAGTAGTCAGAAAATGAAGTTACTCTGAATCTGGATTAAAAGGAGGGTATACAGAAGCTCAAAGGAAAAATTCTGCATAACGTGTCTGATACATAGTGTTCAGTAAAAAAGCTACTGTTGAAATATTAACATGCTTAATTGTGGCCAGGCACGGTGGCTCACACCTGTAATCCCAGCACTTTGGGAGGCCGACGCAGGTGGATCGCTTGAGCCCAGGAGTTTGAGACCAGCCTGGGCAACACGGCAAAACCTGATCTTTACTCAAAATAAAAAAATTAACTGGGTGTGGTGGCACACGCCTGTTGTCCTAGCTACGCGGGGAGCTGAGACTGGAAGATCACCTGAGCCTTGGGAGGTCAAGGCCTTGGTGAGCTGTGATTGTGCCACTGCACTACAGCCTGGGTGACACAGTGAGACCCTATCTCAAAAAAATAATAATAGTTTTACAAGAAGATTTTTCCTAAAATGCATTACGCATTTTTCTGCATTTTCTATTAAAATCTGTCTAAAAAAATGTAGGAGGTTCGCCAGGCATGGTAGTGTGGGCTTGTAGTCCCAGCTCCTCAGGAGGCTGAGGCAGGAGGACTGCTTGAGCTCAGGAGTTGAAGGCTGCTGTGAGTTATGATTGTGCCACTGCACCCCAGCCTGGGCAACAGAGTGAGACTCAGTAGAAAGGAAAGGAATCGGGAAAGAGGGAAAAGGAAAGATACGTTAAATTACAATTTAACAATTACGATTACAATTTAATTGTAAATTACATGTGTAAATTACAATGTAACACATTAGTTATTTGATTACATATCTGTCTCACATTGTTGCCACAAATTAGAAATCCAAGAAAACAGCAACAACACTCTCATTTTAGAAATTCCCAGCACCATGCACAGTTCCTGACATATACCAGGCAAGTGTTTCTGGACTGACCATAGCTTTTTATTCTGTGGAATTGTCTTACAACAAATTAGAAGAGTGCAGACACTTTTGAAGTCATTTTCTGATATTATATTCCAAAAGATGTGTATGAATCTACAATGCAATTAAAATGTTTAAGTGTTAACTATTTCACCACAATCTCACCATCAAATGTCATCATTTCTAAAATTTATGCTATGCTGGGGCCTTAACGGTATCTCAAAGTTTGTTTTAATACCAAGTTGCTTTGAATACAAATGATAATGACCTCGCTTTCTTAAACAAACAGCTTTCTCATCTCTCTCTTTATTGTATTCCTATGACCACAAGTGCCTGAAACATAATTAAAAGTTATGCATATAAAAAATAATACTAGCAGGAATAAAGAGATGTATTCCTACATTAAATGGTTCTAGATTATGGAAGTATGGTAGGCAAGAGCATAATATCGATATAAATAAAATTATATATTCTAATTAAAGGTCTAGCCGCATGACTGAATGTTAACATCTCTCTCAATTCTCTCATCTATAAAATGGAAACACCTGCCCTGACAACTTCACAAATTTATTGTGGTAATTAGATGCAACAACGTACATAAAAGAAATGTGGGAAACATAAATTGACCAATTCAACAAACACTGTATATACAAAGCACTACAGATACAAAAACAGGAAGCCCATAGTAAGAAAGTGGGTCTGGACTCTCTCAGACCAACATCCCATTTTTTTTCCAACAAATAATTTATATCACCACCTTAGCTTTACTGAAACAAAATTCTAAACTACTTAAACATATTTTGAAAATTTAACAATGCCCTAACTATAACAAAAAGGAGGAAAAGCTTAATATATAATGTGTACTTCCACCTATAAATACTCAGGCATGCCAACTAAGTTAGAATGTATAATAAAGAAGTTAGATGCTAGCACTTATATACAGAATCATTACAAATGTGACAGCTACAAATTCAGACCTTCCAAGACAAACGTGTTATACTGGCAACTCAAATAGCACAATGGCACTGCAGTCAGTAACATGGATTTTCCCAAATGGTGAACTCTTAAACAACTTGAACTAAGAAAATGAATTAACAAGAGGCTGGGGCAGGAGGACTGCTTGAGCCCAGGAGACCAAGGCTACGGTGAGCTATGACTGAGCCACTGCACTCCAGCCCAAGTGACAGAGTAAGATTTGGTCTCAAAAATAAAAAACAAAACAACCAAGTCCGGGTACAGTGGCTCATGCCTGTAATCCCAGCACTTTAAGAGGCCGACATGGTTGGATCACTTAAGCTCAGGACCAGCCTGGCAACAAAGGCACGGTTGCCAGGACCAGCCTGGCAACAAAGTGAGACCTCCTCTCTACAAAAAATACAAAAAATTAGTGGGGCATGGTGGCACATGCCTATAGTCCCAGCTACTCAGAAGGCTGAGGTGGGAGGACGGCTTGAGCCTGGGAGGCAGAGGTTGCAGTGAGCCAAGATCACGCCACTGCACTCCAGCCTGGGTAACAGAGCCTGAAGTAAGGGAGGGAGGCAGGGAGGGAGGAAGGAAAAAGAAAGAAAACAGAGAGAAAGAGAGAGGGAGAGAGGGAGGGAGGGAGGGAGGGAGGGAGGGAAGGAGGGAGGGAGGCAGGCAGGCAAGAAAAAAATGAATTAAAAGAAATTTAACTCCTGGCAAAGTGAATATATATTATAGAGTTAGGTTCTGGGCTAATTATATTTTCCTCCTACATGAATTTCTGGGGCATCTGAAAGTCTTGTGGGATGCAAGATAATTATTCGCTGTCTCTCACATTGCAGGATGGCATCCCTGGCCACCAATCCACCAAACCCATCCACAAATTTCTACAACATCCCTTAAAGAGCAGTACTTACTCCACTGAGAACTACTAATCTGGAAGACCCAAACATATTATTACATAAGTAATAAATGCTAAAAGAAGTAGGTATAAAGTGATTTGGGACTATAAATGAGGGAGCATGGAAAGTTCATAGGTAACCTAGGTCTTGGCACAACGTATCAGTCAGGATTGGCTAGTCTATGCTGCAGTGACAACCAACCCCCAAAAGATCAGTAGCTTAAAACAAAAGCTTATTTTCTGCTTAGGATATAATACACATTCATCACAGATCAACTGGGGGCACTGCTGTCATCGCTCAGAAATTAGACTGACAAAGGCTCCATTTCTACATATGTCCTTAAATGGCAGGAGAAGGGATAGGACAGCTCATATATCTTCTTTTAAAGGCTACCACTTCTGCTCATGTTTGACTGGCCAAAGTCATAAGGCCATGCCAGGAGTTCTCAACCAGGGGCAACTTTGTCCCTCAGGGGACACTTGGCAACATCTGGAGGCAATATATGGTCACAACTGGATACTACTGGGCATCTGGTGGCTAAAGGCCATGGTTGCTGCTAAATACCCTGCAATGCACTGGACAACACGCAAAATAAATTATCCAGCCTAAAATGTCAACAGTGCCAATGCAAGAAACTCTGGGCCATGCCTAATTTCAAGGTAGGGATGAGGGAGACAAAGAAGCACAATACTACCATGTGCCAGGGGACAGCCATCAGAATATTGGTAGAATAGTATTAATGGATTACCACATACGAATAAGAATTTGCCAGGCTGAAGGAAAATGATGAGGAAAAGCAGAGACGGATAAGAGCTTTGTCTAGAGTAGGTTCATGGTAGAAAGAGGAGAAAAAACAGCATTAGATTTGTATTAGAAAACTTCAGTGAGAGCCTGGAGAACAGCTTTGGAAAAGGAAATAGAAAACCAGTTAGGAAACAATTACCAGAAAAGCGGTAAGATCCTAGACTGGGGCATGGGCAATGGGCCAAGGAGGGGAGGGGGAAATCAGTGAGCTATTTCTAGGTAGAAAAGACTGGAGTCTTTAACCAACTGAAATATGAAGGGTGAAAAAGGGGGGACAAATAAAAGACGACCCATTTCTAGATAACTCAATGATTAAAAAATTTAAAAGCAGGTATGTAACAAATTCAGCTTTAGATATCTTGAGTTTGAAGAGATGAGAAGTTAGGCCTATCTGAAAGGCACTAACATATACAGGTATTAGATGCAGTCAAGAGTTATGAGAGGTAAAGAGTTAGCAAGAAGAGACAGCTGATTCTTGTTATCTGCCTGTTGTTTTTCCTCTAGCCTTGCTATTAATTGTAAGCTGTCACCTGACGTTGACCATAGGTATACTAATAAATGGACGAGAAAGCCAAATAACCAAACTAATTAAGATACTCTCTAAAATTAAACAGGCTGAATACTGGCCAGAGAGAGGTTCTCATGTAAATTCATGTATTTTAGGTAAGGAGTGTTGACATTTTTTCTCAGATGTTAGTTTACTTTTGAATTAACTGTATTATATGTGTCAAACATGTATTTTCTAGAAGTTGTAAGTGTTTTGATCAGTGATCAATAAACTACTTACTATGGGAATATTTGAGAAAAGTGCTTAAAATTTTTTTTTTTTTTTGAGACAGAGTTTCACTGTGGCCCAGGCTGGAGTGCAGTGGTGCCATCTTGGCTCACTGCCACTTCTGCCTCCTGGGTTCAAGCGATTCTCCTGCCTCAGCCTCCCCAGTAGCTGGGACTACAGGGGCGCATCACCATGCCCAGCTAATTTTTGTATTATTAGCAGAGACAAGTTTCACCACGTTGGCCAGGATGGTCTCGATCTCCTGACCTCATGATCTGCCCGCCTTGGCCTCCCAAAGTGCTGGATTACAGGTATGAGCCACCATGCCCGGCGCAAAAGTGCTTAAATTTAACTAGGGGAGGAGAAAAAAGCTGGGCCTGGTAATATATCAATGTTATTACTAGGAATAAACTCTAAACTTAGGTTTACCAACAGGAAAAAAAGGTGTTCACGGTTAGTGCAACTGTCTGCAGCACAAGCTAAAGACTAAATCCTAGACAGCAAGTTGAGGTTCTTCAAACTGAGGGCAGTTGGCGAACTTCCAAGAGCACATTTATACAGCAATAAAAGCAACAAAAAGTTTTTTTTTAACTTTTAAGATGAATGACAAAGGACAAATCGAGATGTATGCTTCTTGTTTACCTATGTGTCTTAAATGTCATTTTGGTATGCCACCTTCAGTTTAAATGATCTTATTTAAAAATTACCCTTTTTGGATTAATAAATTAAAGGCTGTTAAAAGAAGAAATAACAAAGTACTATAGGTGGACATCAGTTTTTGTGTACCAGCATGTATTTCTCCATTTGTAAAACAGCAGTCTGATTTTCCAAGGAGAATCTCCCCATCTGGCCAGGTGGGACAATTCCCAGACTAACCAGAGCCACCCCCTGGCCACAGTGTTGTTTCTGATGAAAAAGAACGCAAGGCAGGCAAGTGACATAGCTCTAGCACTTCCGATGGAACTACGGGGGGTGGGGGGGTGGGGGGGTGGGGGGGGGAAGGCCCTCTTCATGCTTCCTTGAAGCTGGGGATAGTTAGCCTGCAAACTACCTGAGAAACAGAAAGAAAGCAAAGTCAAGAGTCCTGGTGATGCTGCTTGAAACCCTGGATATAGCAATCTGAGGTCAGCTCTATCTCCAGACCAAGCCAATGAATTCCCCTTTTTACTTAAGTCTGACTCTTACATGTTCCCTGATAACTGAACAGAAACTGAATGACTAACGTCCTTAGAAATAACAGCAATATAGTACAAACCATAAAAACAATTCAATCAATCAGTAATTTAGTCGATAATGCATAGAAATAGTTACTTTAAAACAGCAGCTGTCAAACTCTCTGATCTCAGGATCCCTTTATTCATATTCTTTTTCTGAGACATAGTCTCAGTCTGTTGCCCAGGCTGGACTGCAGAGGCATGTTCTCAGCTCTCTGCAACCTCCGCCTCCCAGGTTCAAGTGATTCTCGTGCCTCAGCCTCCCAAGTAGCTGGGATTACAGACATGTACCACCATGCCCAGCTAATTTTTGTATGTTTAGTAGAGAAAGGGTTTCGTCATGTTGGCCAAGTTGGACCTTTATTTATACTCTTCATTATTAAAGACACCAAATAGCTTTTATGCGGGCTATATACATTGATATTTATCATATTATAAATAAATAAAACTACTAAAATTTTTGGTATTTGCTTTATTAATTCATTTAAAATAATAAACCCATTACGTTAATATAAACATCTTATGAAAAACAGAATTTTCTAAAACAAAGTCAGGAATCAGAGTAACACTGTTTTACATCTTCACAAATTTCTCTTAATGCCTAGCTTAATAGGAGACAGCTGGATTCCCATATCTGCTTCTGCATTCAATCTGCTATGATATGTTGTTTTGTTTAAAGTACATGAAGAAAACGTGTCTCACATGGACAGCTAATTGGAAGAGAGGAGTATTTTAACAGCCTTCTCAGAAAACAATGGATATTCATCTTTTATTCAACACCAAAACTCAAGTGGCAATTCTGAAAGGTTAGTTGCAATGTGGAATTCACTGTATCAGTGAACTTTTTGGCTCTGGTGTATATAAAAATCCATTTGTCTATGTTGTACTTTGAACGGATCGCCTACCCATGCACGATTTTGTAACATGAATTGGTCATTTGGGAAAATATTGGTTCAATGAGTTACACAGATCTTCCCAGTGTTGACACACTTCCTCATACTGCCCCCCCCCCCACAGTCTCGCTCTGTAGCCTAGGCCCGAGTGCAGTGGTGCGATCCTAGCTTAATCCAGCCTTGAACTCCCTGGCTGAAGCAATCTTCTCACCTCACCCTCCTGAGCAGCTAGAACTACATGCCACTACACCTAATTTTTATATGTTATTGTAGAAACAGGGTCTCGAACTCTTGGCCAAAAGCAATTCTCCCACCTCCGCCTCCCACAGTGCTAGAAATATGGGTGTGCATCATCGTGCCCAGCCCAACATATTTTTTTTAATCACATTCCTTAATATCACCACCCATCTCATCAGAAAAGTCTTTAAGTATTAAGAAACTGGCAAGTCATAGTGACAGGAGTTTCCCAAAAATCTGATTTTCACTTGAAACATCAGATTTTAGCACTGGCTATAAATGTTCTCCTCGAAGTGGCCAGCTCACTTTATTCATTTCCAAGGAATTACCTGCCAAATACTCAAATCTAAATAGCTATCTGAGCTTATCTGTCATCCTGTTAAATAAAAATAAAAATGGTGTCCCACTAAAAAGCAGCTAGTTCAGCTTGCAGCTCAATAACACAAGTGCTTTTCCTAGAAAAGAACACTGTACTTCAATGTGCAGAAATGCTTTATGCATACTTCCCATTTAATCACACTATTAAAAAGACATACTCCAAGGTAGAGATTTTTTTAAAATTAAACCTTTTTACTGCTGCAGCAAGGGGATTATTAAGTGAAACCGGCATTTTTTCAAATGCTTATGTGTGTTTGACTATAAAGAACACAATGAGGACTCATATGTTTGGTATAACTGCCTAGAGTCATTTTAAAGTGCCAGCAGTTTACCCACCACTGCTCCTTCACCACCCATACAAATGTCCTCACAGTGAAAGGGCAAATAACGTCTCAGTTTCATTATGAAAATAATTTTGATTTTGTGAACCCCTTAAATATAAGGATCCTAGGGATCTCCAGGAGTCTGTGGACCATACTTTGGGAACCACTGTTTTAAAAGATGGTGGAAACCAAACTGAATTTTAATAACTGATAACTGAAAAATACATTTTATAAAACTTTTTTTGTTTTTTTGAGACAGTCTCGCTCTGTCAGCTAGGCTGGAGTGCAGTGGCACAATCTCAGCTCACTGCAACCTCTGTCTCCCAGGCTCAAGCAATTCTCTTGCCTCAGCCTCCCAAGAAGCTGGGATTACAGGCATGTGAGTAGCTGGGATTACAGGCATGTGCCACCATGCCCAATGAATTTTTGTATTTTTAGTAGAGACGGGGTTTCACCATGTTGGTCAGGCTGGTCTCAAACTCCTGACCTCAGGTAATCCGCACCCCCCTTGGCCTCCCAAAGTGCTGAGATTACAGGCGTGAGTCACCGCACCCGGCCTCATTTCATAAAACTTTTAACTGAAGCAGAGTTTCAAGTCATCTAGCTTATTCCTTCAAAGGGGGATGTATCAAAATCCCCCGCAGGTTAGGCCAGCTCCACTAACTAGAATCAAGGGTGGGGCTGTACCTTTAAAAAACACTCTGGAAGTCTGAGGTACTGTTAGTTTTACAAAGCATTGATCTAGTCTACAATCTTTACTTTACAAATTAAGTATCATGAGTATATGCAACTGATTAAAAAGACTAATTATATAGAAGTTGTATCATTTTTCCTTACAATTAGCCAGCCCCTTCATTATTTCAGCATCTATACACATTCTTCCTTCAACTAGTTTTAGTAGGCATATTTATGATGTAAGACACACCTAATGTGTTTATGTACAATGATTCCTGGCTTAGCTTACCCCATTAAATATTATTTCCGGTCATCCTTTCACTAGATTATTCAATTTTTACAAGGACTGCCCATCTACTGATAACATATGCTCTAGAATTCACTAGTGAATATCACTGACAAATATCCTTAATTCATCTTATATTTAGAAATACATTTTGACTTGAAAAGACCTGAGTAGCATACATTCATCCATATTAACATACAGAAATAATACCTTACTATAAAAATATATATTCGGTAGCATTCCTAGTTTTAAATCATAAATAAGATTTGGCTAGCCTGGGCAACAAAGCAAGACCCCCGCCCCCCCATTTCTACAAAACAGTTTTAAAAAAATCAGCCAGGCGTGGTGGTGCCGGCCTGTAGTCCTAGCTACTCTGGAGGCTGAGGCAAGATCTCTTGAACCCAGAAGTTGAAGGTTATAGAGGGCTATGATGATGTTACTGCACTCCATCCTGGGCAACCTGTCTCTAAAAAATAGATAAATAAAGCAGTAAGGATAAGCATACCAAAATAAACAAAACCTTTAGAATCAAGAGGCACTTTTTAAAAATAACACAGATTCCCATGCCTCCTCCACTCCATTCCCATTCTGAAGCAGCATGTGTGTTGCAATCAGATGGGAAAAAATATTTTTATTTTTTTAAATAGCTCTTCCAGAGACAGAGATGAAACTACTCCATAGCCCAGCACTTGGGAACTACTTCAGGTGATGTAAATGGAGAGCTGAACATGCCCTAGATGATCTCTACAGAAGTACTAGCTAGCTGGCCTAGCTGAGCAAATGTCTCACAGTGTATTAATTAAGCCCTGACAGAAAAAGCCCAATGCAACCTGCCTCTCAGAAACCAGTTAAGTGACTAGTTAATTGGGGGCTTGAAAATGTAAGGTTTACCAAGTAGATTAACGCCCTAAGAAGACAATTTGCATTGGGAGTTATATTTATTTATTTATTTATTTATTTTAGAGATGAGGTCTCACTTTGTTGCCCAGGCTGGCCTTGAAATCCTGGGCTCAAGTGATCCTCTTGCCTTAGCCTCCTGAAGTGCTGAGATTATAGATGTGAGCCACCAGACCAAGCCCACAGGGAGTTCAGATGCTAACTTGGGGACTTAAAGTAATTAGTCTCCAAAAGGAGTACAAGTAAGCATTTGAGAATATACTTTAAAAGAAAATCAACTTCCTATTTAAAATAGTGATGATATACTAACTTCTCATCATGGGAAATACAGCTTCCTAAAACTTACTACCAGACAGTTCAAATAAACTGAAAGTGAAGAAAGAAACAGAGGAGAAAGGAATAGGTGACAGGAAGGGGGAGAGAAAAGAAAGAGACAGACACAGAAGCAAAGCAAATGTGGCAATACTTTCAAAAGACCCGTTAAGTTAGATGTGTGAGATGGCTACACTGTACATGTGTGTAACACTGTATTAAAGAATGTAAAGCTAACACAAGTGAAACAGTTCAAAAGAAAAAGTCAGAGGACCCTAATGACTCAATCACTGCGGAGGGCTAACCTGGCTGCACCCTAGACCAACCAAATCATAATTTCTGGGGCTAGAATTCAGGTATCAGTATTTTGTAAAGCTCCTCAAGGGATCTAAAAGTACAGCCAAGATTGAAAACTACTTGCCAGGCGTGGTGGCTCATGCCTTTAATCCCAGCACTTTGGGAGGTCGAGGTGGGACGATCACTTGAACCCAAGAGTTCAAGACCAGCCTGGGCAACAGAGAGAGACCCCCATCTCTACAAAAATTTTTCAAAAAATTAGACAGGTGTGATGGTGTGTGCCTGTAGTCCCAGCTACCGCAGCAGCTGAAGTGGGATTGCTTGAGCCTGGGTGGTAGAGGCTGCAGTGAGCTATGATTGCAGCACTGTACTCCAGGCTGGGGCACTGAGCAAGATGGAAAGAAAAAGGAAAAAAAGGCTGGGCGCGGTGGCTCATGCCTATAATCCCAGCACCTTGGGAGGCTGAGGCGGGTGGATCACCTGAGGTCAGGAGTTCAAGACTAGCCTTGCCCAAAATGGTGAAACCCCGTCCTCTACTAATAATACAAAAAAATTAGCTTGGCATGGTGGCGCACGCCTGTAATCTCAGCTACTCGGGAGGCTGAGGCAGGGGAATCGCTTGAACCCAGCAAGTGGAGGTTGCAGTGAGCCGAAATCGTACCATTGCACTCTAGCCTGGGTGACAAGAGCGAAACTCCGTCTCAGAAAAAAAAAAAGAAAAAGAAGAAAAAGAAGAAAAAGGGAGAAAGGGAGGGAGGGAGGGAGACAGGAGAGAAGAAAAGACCGTTGCCCTAAACATTGGGAGTAAAAAAGCAATAAAAAGATGAATTCAACACATTTACAAGTTTTCCAAACTGCAAAAAATTCTCATTTGGAATATAAATAATGAAATACAGTCTTTGGGCTGAACGGTCTTTACTGTTACCGCCAATTTTAAACTGATTAAAATGTTAACAGACCCTCTTTACAACTGGTCTTTGGTACTTATCTGATCTATAATATAATTTGCAGTAGCAACTCATCAAGGCTTAGATTATGAGAACCTTATAAATTGTAAGAATCCGACTACCTACCATCTTAGTTTTACATATGTAAGCACTACCCTAGTTTTCATTCACTCTCATAGTTAAAAACAAATGTTCCCGGATGCCAATTACACCAGGTAATAGTGTTAAGGTGACACAACCTAAAATACCTTGTTCCTGAGAAACTGGAATTCAGTCAAATTTCCCATTACCAAAATTACACATTTTAGAAAGAGAAAACAAAATCCAAAAATTCTAAATCTGACTTATGATCAAGCATATGCTTGATATATGCAAACAGCATCATTCTACAAGTAGCTCAAATGAATATATCTAGATATATTTGTGAACTGTTTGAATTTCTCATTTTAAAACAATTGAGACTTCATCAACTGTTGAACAAAAAGCCCAAAATGTGATAATTTTACAAAACTGTATTAAATGCTGTTATAGGACAGGCGCAGTGGCTCACGCCTGTAATCCCAGCACTTTGGGAGGCCAAGGCGGGCGGATCACCTGAGGTCAGTTGTTCAAGACCAGTCTGGCCAACATGGCGAAACCTCGTCTCTACTAAAAACACAAAAATTAGCCAAGCGTGGTGGCACATGCCTGTAATCCCAGCTACTCAGGAGGCTGACGCAGGAGAATCGCTTGAACCCGGAAGGCGGGGTTTGCAGTGAGTGGAGATCGCGCCTCTGCACTCCAGCCTGGACAACAGAGCGAGCCTCCATCTCAAAAAAAAAAAAAAAAAAAAATGCTGTGTTATGCTGGTGTAAGTCCTTTAACTGTAGAAAACAATGAAAACATTTTAGTCAGGTTACTTTTATACGCGATTAATGGTCACCTCAGAGTCACCCCATTCATCATGGCTTTAAGACAAAAAAAAATTTTGGGGCGTAACCACACAGTCTTCTAGTTCAACAAAATAAGAGAAATCCAAACATATATAATGACCATTGAAATGGCTAATACAAGATGCTTAAAGAACCACTCTAAAAAAATCGCTGGATTAAAAATGAAAAAAATGGTTAGTCATGAACTAGAGAGGGACAAAATGAACTAAGTTTAAACATCGACAAAACAACATGTTTTCACCAAAATAGGCAAAAATTTAGACAAGCCGAAATATGCAGTTTAAATATAATGAACCCTACAGATTCTGTAGGGTTAACCTCCCTAGCAGAGGCCTCAGTAACTCACACCTCAATTAGAATAGTGTCTAATGATGTTACTATAACACTGGCTCAATCAGAAAAAAACTGCTTCCAAGTGGGAGAGCTGGAGTGTGACTGGGCAGCATAAATTAGGTTAATTCTCGCTCCTTAATTTGCGGGGAGAAAGAAAAACTGAAGGGGAATACAGAAAAAGAATTCACACACAATCGCTCGACTAAAATGTAGCTTAAGAAAGTGAAGCAGAGGTTTTTAAAAGTAAGATTTGCTGCTTCCTAGTAGAGGGAGAATTGCTTCAAACAGCAAAGCTATCATAAAAGATCAATCATTCATGTAAAACTTATTCCAAAATATTTCAAAGTGACTTTCTCGGCACAAATTTTCATTAAGTCTGAAAAACAGATTTGCAGTTTGGTTTTTTCTAAACTCAAGATTTACAATGAAGGCAGTGACCTAAACAGAAACATACACTCCCACTTCAAAAATAAAAAAAACGAAGATGCAATACTTCTTTAAAACTCGCCCAAAAACCTGGAAAGCAAAGAAAAAGCCACTTCTATTAATAGAGTCACAAAATGTTATAACGACTTTTATCAAAAGAAGCTTTTAGTTTTAATTCCAACAACTTAAACCTACATAATTCACCATCGTCTTTAGACCTAAAGCTACTCCGAATTACAAATGCTTGGTCCATCTCTATTACATTTGTTCTGTAACAAACCCATTTAAGTAAACAAAATCATGACAGCATTATGGAAGAAACACTAATTTTAAAAACCGTATTTTTAAATGTTAATCATTTTACAGTTTGGAATATTATGTACTAATCATATCAGAACTTTCCAATATAGAGAGAGTAAGTCCTTAGCATTAAAAAAAAGTTACATTTTAGAACTTCCTAGATTTCAACTGAAATATATATTATCTAGTCTCTGCAGGGTATGGCAAAAGTAATTTATGAAATCCACCATAAAAATTATTCAAATGCCTTGTTCTAAATCTAATTACGAAATTACGCATTTTTTTTTTTTTGATACTAAATGGTTTTTGCCAGCAAAAAGGAGTGAACCTACTTCTTAAAACACCCGAGTAACCAAGCTGCTACTAAGACTAGAAGGATGCTAATTCTGGCAAAAGTCAAAGGTTACTAACAAAAATTAGCTAAGATTATATGTTTGCAGAAAGTCAATTCAGGGTAATTCCGCTATTATCCTGTTGTGTTTATTATTCCTAAATAACTGGCAATTCCACCTTAAACTACGGTGCAAAAACTAAATGCATTAAGAAACTAATTGGGAAATAAATGTGTTTTTTTAAATAAAAACAAACGTACTTAGGTTTTTGAAGGGAAACAGCTATCAATCTTCAACAGGGCTTTTTAAAGCCTCTGCACCAGCAAATAAACCTTTCAGGTTAACTAAACACACTTGTGTCTTTGAAAATCTAGTTTGAGAAATCCTAACAGCAGTTTGGGACAAGTGATGGAGCCACCGCCCTCCACCCTACACCAATTTCACTGTCAGTACATGCAGTGCTAACAGTAAGATCAGCTGTGTCTTTTATTAGGAAGCATGTTTTATTGGGGGCAAGGAGGGGTTCAGTTAGGTGCTAAGAATGTGTCCTGCATACCGCTGTCACTCTCAGTACTCAAAAAGTAAACATATCAAAGCCAGAAGCGTAAACTGGCATGACAAGACTAGGAAGAGAAAGTAGGGGACAAAGACAAAACAGAAATTGGCTGGAGAAAATAAATTTAGACAAACAATTTACAACTTTCACTTAGACCCTAAGGCAACACATTCCAGCCGACCCAACGCGCTCAGCCGGGGCGACCGTGAAACTACTGAGAACAACAAAGAGGAGCGGCGGCCGCGGCAGGAGTCCCGTCCGAGTTTAACTTGATTCTCCCACGAGCTGCAAGCGGAGCTGGGGGCCCGAGGGACGCGAGGCACCGCCGCCCGGCATTCAGCCGGCCCGCCCGGCCCGGCTCGTCAGGCCGCCGCGGTCGCCCTCCCAGAGGATTCCGCGCGCTCCCAGCCGCCGCCGCCGCCGCCGCCGTCGTCGGGAGCCCGCCCCGGGGCGGGGAAGCCACAGGCGGGGTGCGCGGGCCCGGCCGGGGGAAGGGGAGGGGACATGGCGCGGTTACCTGGGCTCGGGCGGTGGCGAGGGGAGTCCGCTCTCCCGCGCTGCTGGTCCGCGGACGCACCGGGCCCGTAGCTTTCCCCGGCGGCCCGGAGAGCTCCTCGGCCCCCGCCCCGAGGCGTCCCGGCCAGGCCGCCCCTCCTCAGCGCCGCGCCGCTGCCCGCGCGGGCCGGACCGCCTCGAGCTCCCGGGCCGCCCTGCGGCGGGGGGCCTCTCTCGCTGGGCGCCTGGCTCCCCTCACCCGCTCCCACCCCCTGGGCGGCCGCGGAGCCTAGGGGAGAGCAGGAAGGGCCTCCCGAGGAGAGCGGGAAGGCGCGAACGCAGGCTCCGCCACCCAAACCGCTCCGTTACCGCAGCGGCGACGACGACCAGGGCCGTGTTGTTGCTGCCAACTTGTCGAGAAGCCACTGAGCATGCGCGCGCGGGGACCACATCCGGGTAATTTCAGGGTTTGGCCCTTTTCCCCCGCAGCTTTCCTTTCTCCCGGCTGCCCCCGCCTCCCGCTCCGAGTGACGGGGAGGGTCGCTCTGCGCAGGCGCCTACAGGGCAGCGCCAGCCGGCGGGCGGCTCTGAATCTGGACCTGGGCCTGGGCCTCAGCGCGGGCGGAGGCGAAGGCCTGTTTGAGGGAGTGGTCGCCGGGGAAATTGGCATCTCGTTGCAAAAAAGTATCCAAGGAGCGCGGGAGAGCTCGGCGTAGAGTGGGCGTCCAGTAAGTGTTTATAAATAGCTATTAGCCCGGCCTTTGTTGTTTTTTTGTTTTGTTCTGTGTTGAGGACCTGCGTAGGCACAAAAATTGGCCTTCAACAGCCAGTCGACAGCTCTGGGGAGAAGGTGGCTAGGTTGTAGGAGTTCACTTCGGGAAGAAACAGACGCTGGCGGCACCTTCCTTCTCTTTCTGGCAGCCCCGAATCACGAGCCCCAGAGGTGTTTACACTCGAGAGACGCACAGGACAGTCAAGGAATCACATATTGAAGAGCCTTGCCAGGCGTTGCAAGTGTGAGTGGATTTTGTTGGAAGAGATGTAGGCGCACTCTCGGAGCTGGAGGCGAACTTCGAATCCTACGACACACCTGTTAACTAGGTTACCTGTTTGTTTGGTGGGGGAAGGCATAGGCTCTGCTTTTGACTTTATGCCTCTTTTATTTCACATTTTTTACAAGACGCATGCATTTCTTTTTCATTTAAAACGCATTAATGATTTATTTTCACCAACCAGGAACTACTTTTAGTCCCTCCAAAACCAATGATTAGCCAGTTCTAAAGTCATTTCTTAGGTCACGTCGCCCAGAAAATCTCTACACCCACCGTACGCCTTCGCCACTCATACTCAGTGCTTCATTCTATCCTCCACATCACCGCCTGGGCCATTCCCTCTTTGACCAGAAAGCCCCTAAAGCTCCAAACTGGTGTTCTCTTACCCCTGGGGTTTATGGAGACCAGTTTTAAGGGAATTCATTTCCACATCTTCCATTGCTATATATTCTATTTTCTAAACTTGCCCAGCTTGAGAAAGGAGCTGAGGACACAGCATCCCCTTTCAAAACTGTCCTCCCACCTTACAGAAGAAAGTCAAAATTCTCACCCACTACTAAGGTGCATGGGATCAATGCAGAACCTCCCCAGCAATCCAAAAGGGACAATTCAAAAATCGGTATCTATGCTGAGAAAGTAAATGACCTTAGTGAATGGATATTAAATTATTTTTCAAGTCAGATAGTTTTCAAATCTTTTCTGTCAACAAAACTGAAGGAAGATCTGTCAGCTGATAGATTACAA
This sequence comes from Homo sapiens, assembly GCF_000001405.40. NCBI lineage: Eukaryota > Metazoa > Chordata > Mammalia > Primates > Hominidae > Homo > Homo sapiens. The sequence continues at coordinate 51,028,849 of NC_000018.10, read as the reverse complement.
AACATGATTTGGTAACAGATCAATATGTGAATCTTAGGTAATATACCTCAGAAGAAGTTTTTAAGAAATTGAGACATTGTTATAACTAAACTTCTTCTATTCCGTCTGTATTAGTTACCTATTGCTGTATAACAATCTCACCACAAATATAGAAGCCTAAAACAACAAACATTTATGATCTTACAGATTCTCTGAGTCAGGATTCCAGGCATGGCTTAGCTGGGTCCTCTACAAAGTGAGGCTGGAACAAAGGATCTGCTTCCAAGTTCATGTGGTTGTTGGCACCATTCAGTTCCTTGCAGGCTACAGGACTGAGGGCCTTAGTCCTTTGCAGGCTGTTGGCTGGAGACCCCCTCTGTTCCTTGCCATGTGGTGCTCTCCATAGGGAAGCTAACAATATGGCAGCTTGCCTCTTCGAAGCCAGCAACGGGAAGAGTCTCAGCAAGACACTGGTTTCAATCTTATGTAACATCATCACATACACAGTATCACTCATACTCTGTCACCTTTGCCATACATTGCTGGCCAGAAGCAAATCACAGGCGCCACCTACATTGAAGGGGAAGGAAACACACAAAAGCTTGAACACCAGGAGGTGGGAATCATATGGGGCCTCTTTAGAGTCTACCACACCATGTATTTATTTATGCAAATGATATTCCCTGTAAGCTCAACCTCTTCTCAGAATTTCCCTTCAGGTTCCCTTCACCTTTTTACTTAAGGAAACCCAACTTTGCCCTGGGACACTGCTCCTCCTTCCACCTCTCAAGTAGTGGCAACTGTGTTTTCTTTCTTTTGTTTTTTTTTTTTTTTCATTTTTAAAATAGATCAGTTTTATTCTGCTAGTTCCATAAAAACAATGTAAACGCAAGCGTTCTGTACATCTTGCTGGTGAATTCACATAACGTTTAGTTTCCTGATCCTTGACCTCCTCGTCTTCTCCAGTTATTTTCTGTTTGGACTACTGGCCACAGGAGTGGAGTGGGATTGGGGCTTAGGAGAGACCAATGTGGCCTTTTGGTATGACTTGTTTTATTGCTTGCCCTCTCAGCACACTCCTGTTACTCCTAACACAAAGGTTGAGATTTAAGCCCTTAAACCTGTAGGTTTCACCGTCAGCTTTTTCTTTTTTTTCTTTTTTTTTGGCATAGGCATTACTAGGGACGTGAATGGGAGACTGGTATAGAAAGTGGTGAGGAGCCGAAGCCAACAAATTGCTTTAAACACAAGATGAAAATGCTCTGTTCTGTCCTCACGAAGAATCACCTAATACTGGTGTGAGGCATCTCACTTAGCTGTAGAAAAGTCCTTGGAATTAGATCTCAGATAGTTCCAGCTTTAAGACAGTAAAACCTTTTGGCAATGGGCTAATTGCCTTAAAGGAAAGAAGAGTTCTTACTTGAAAGACCTTGCAGGTGGAGAAATTGTCCTACAAAGATTCTTGGAAATGTTAGTGGAGATAACTGACATGGGTAGCTGTGGGACAACCAGGAACTGTCAACAGCCCGATCTCAGCAAAACCAGAACAGCCAGTTAATAGTTCTTCAGTTCTCTGATGGTCACAAATGTAATTTTATTTTATTTAGCCTTGTGGAGGTTCTGCAACAAATGTAATTTTAAAGGAATTGGGAGCCAGAAAGATAAATGCAACTCCTTCAACTATGTGACAGGGCAGACTGGTTAATCTGGGTTCCCAGAGTGTGGAGCAAGTGCCCTGTATCAGAGAACAGCCCAGGGGGAACTTGCATGATGCCGAACCCCACAGGACAGAACTACTTCCGGCAACTGTGTTTTCAACCTTCAGCTTCTTAGTGCCTGGAGGTGAGATAGGTTTCCTTCTTGCTTCTCAACATTGCTTCCAGGTCATCCCCCTCCTCCTCTAAACCGGCAGCTTTAAATCTTGCTGTCCGATACCTCTATCGCTGACCTCACCCCGCTTCATCTCTGCACAATTTGCTCCTGACATTCACTCCAATGCCACTTCTGTCCTAGTGGTAGGTGGTTATAAGATCTTCCCAGTACCCTGGCCTCTCAGTTCCTTTTCTTCTTCTCAAGGATCTTCTTCATTGCTTCAATTTTATGATCTTACAGTTTCTCTGGGTCAGGAGTCCAGGCGTTGCTTAGCTGGGTCCTCTACAAAGTGAGGCTGGGATAGCGGATCTGCTTCCAAGCTCATGTGGTTGTTGGCAGCATTCAGTTCCTTGCAGGCCTCAGGACTGATAGCCTCAGTCCTTCCTGGCTGTTGGCTGGAGACTCCCACTGTTCACCATTAACCTCAGGTAGACCCTTAGTGCTGTTCAGCAATTCTCTTATACTTCCCTGATCCACTCTTCTGGATTTTATACCTTCTCTGTCCTCTAACTTACACATCCTCCCCTTGATCATTCTAGATTTTGTACCTTCTCTAACTTCAAACTTGCACATATCCTAACTCAGCCACTTCCTCCCATGGTCATAATCACCGTAGCCTTATCAAACTCTGCAACTTCTTCATTATCTCAGTTTCAAACATCTCACACCCTGATCACTACCTCAGTTTTCCAGATCACTCCCTATAGTACTCTAACTGCAACAATTCTTGAACCCTCATATCTGCTGTCACCCAGCCTCAACCCCCAGCCAATCACAATCACTCTTACACATGCCCTCAGCCCCCTTGCCTTTTTTTCCCTTTGTTGTGCTTGCTTGGCAAAGCCACAACCCTGATTCAAGCTGGCACCCATGCATCTGAATGTGGCGAGAGAAGAACACAATCACACTGACTACCTTCACTTTAATTTCATCACCATGAACCTCAGATAGACCCTTAATGCTGTCCAGCAATTCTACTTCCCGCCTCCATTCTTCTGGATTTTGTACGTTCTCTGTCCTCTAAGTTGCATGTCCTCTCCTCAATCATTCTCAATTAATAGCCTTGTTTAGAAAATTGAAGCAATGAGAGAAAAAATTCCACAGAATCTCAGCATCACCCACACCCACATACCAGCCTCTACTTTGCCTTCCCCACCCTCACATGGTTGAATTGCCGTGCTCCTAGCTAAAGGAGTATTGTCACCAAGACATAGATTCCAGTACTATCTTGCCTAATCAAGATCCTCACTGTCACTCCAGCAATTATCCGCCTATTCTGTTTTATCAGTATTTCTCTACTGGGTCATTCTGATAAGCTTACAAGCAGCTGTGATTTTTCCAATCCTACAGATTCTTCTCTTTGACCTATTTCTACTGTCAGCTATCACCTATTTCTCTACTCCCTTTACAACAAAACTTCTAAAAGAGTTTTCTATACTTTGTCTGCAGTTCTTCTCCCATTCTGCAACAGCAGAATACATCCCATACAATACCATTTATACAAAGTTCAAAAACATGTCAAGCATGATACGTATGTTAAGACTCCATACATATGTAGTAGAATCATTACATGCGAGGTACACATGTGGCGTATTTTAGGTCATCAGCTGAGTGTTAGGTTTCCCATCCTCTCTTAAACTCCATTCATGCTTTCATCCTTACTACCGTATCAAAACCACTCTTGTGAAGGCCAACAAGGAACTTCACATTGGCTAAACCCAATGATCTAGTCTCGGTTCTCATCTTATCTGTAACAGCTGACACAGCTCATCACTTGATTCTCTTTTTTTAACCACATCCTCTTGGTTTTCCTCCTTCATTCGTGGTTCCTCCTTCCCTGTCTTCTTTGCTGGGTTCCATCTCTTCTCTCAGACCCCTTAACTGGGGCTTATTCCCTGAACTCTTTATTTTTTTGAGACAGAGTCTCTCTCTGTCACCCAGGCTGGAGTGCAGTGGCATGATCTCGGCTCACTGCAACCTCTGCCTCCCAGATTCAAGCAATTCTCCCTGCCTCAGCCTCCCAGGTAGCTGGGATTACAGGCGCCCACCACCACACCTGGCTAGTTTTTGTATTTTTCCGTAGACAGGGTTTCGCCTTGCTGGCCAGGCTGGTCTTGAACTCCTGACCTCAAGTGATCTGCCTGCGTCAGCCTCCCAAAGGGCTGGGATTACAGGCATGAGCCACTGCACCTGGTCCCTTGAACTCTTTTTAATCTATACTCATTTCCGTGATCTCATCCAGTCTCCTGACTTTCAGTACCATCTAAGATATATAATATCATCATATATGATGACAACTCTTAAATTTATATCTCCAGCTCGGATCTCTTACCTGAACTCCAGATTCTGATATCCTCAAACATGTCACAAACTGAGCAATATTCTCCCTCAAACCTGTTGAACCCACTAGCTTTCCAATCTCATTTGATAACTCTATTGTTCAAGTTGTTCAGACCAAAAACCCTGAGCAGTTTCACTTTAATTTCATCACCATGAACCTCAAGTAAATCCTTAGTGCTGTCCAGCAATTCTGGATTCCCCTCGTTTTCTCACACCCATGTCTAATCCACAGAGCATCCCTAACCACCTCCACTGCTGCTCCCTGGTCTGAGCCACCATCATCTCATCTTTGGATTCATCTTCTAAAAGCTCTCCCTGTTCTCATGCTTGCCTCTTCCCAACATAATAGCTAGAGAGATCCTTTTAAAATAGAAGTCAGGGCCAGGCACAGTGGCTCACGCCTATAATCCCAGCACTTTGGGAGGCCAAGGCGGGCAGATCACGAGGTCAGGAGATTGAGACCATCCTGGCTAACCCGGTGAAACCCTGTCTCTACTAAAAATTACAAAAAAATTAGCCGGGCGTGGTGGCGGGCGCCTGTAGTCCCAGCTACTCGGGAGGCTGAGGCAGGAAAATGGCGTGAACCCAGGAGGCGGAGCTTACAGTGAGTGGAGATCGCGCCACTGCACTCCAGCCTGGGTGACAGAGCAAGACTCCGTCTCAAAAAAAAAAAAAAAAAAGTCAGACATCTGCACTCTGCTTAAATCCCTGCATTAAATGATCCTCATTTCATTTAGAGTAAAAATCTACATCCTTACAATAGTCTAAAGGGTTCTATAAGATCAGCATCACCACTCCACCCTGAGCATTACTTCTCTAATCTCATTTCCTATCAGTCATTCTCCAATATGTCCTAACCTTCCCGACCTCTTTTCTTGTCCCTAGAAGATGCCAGCCATGCTCCCAAGTTAGGGCCTCTGCACTGGCTGTGCCCTCTGCCTTGTACATGTTTCCCCCAGATATCTGCATTGCCAACTCTCTCACCTCCTTTGGTCAAAAGTTACCTCATTGAAGCCTATCTTGACCTTTTAAAAATCACAGCCCATTCTTAACTCTCACAGTACACCCAAAGCCCCTTTACCCTGCTTTCTGTTTTACTATAGCACTTCTGACATACTATATGATTTACTTATGTGTTGTGTTTATTGTTTATTGCCTATTACCCCCCGCTAGAATGTAAGCTCCATGAGGGCAAGGATTTATCTGTAGTGTTTACCAGTGTATCCCAAGTGCCTAGAGTAGCTATTGACACGTAGGAGGTGCTCAATAAATATTTGTTGAATGAATGAACAAGGTGTTTGTGCTTCTATCCATAGAAGTGAAAACTAGGATTAGGTTTGACCCAATTCTATTTCATTCAGCAAAAATATCCTTTAATTTTAATAGATACCAAAATATGTAATATTTTATGTTGTTTAGATCAATTAGATATTAAAATTATACAATCAAAATGAGCTTTTTAAGCTTATCAGACTCAGTCAAGAATTTTTTTAAAAAAATTTTTTTGTAGGGAAATATGATAGGTTGATCAATAAAAGACTCTCCAGCTTAAAATATTATATTAAAATATTGAGGGGTAAGTGGAATGGAAATACAAGATAAGAAAAAAAAAGTGATGTAAAATTTACTTTAAAGAAAAGCTTGTTCATATATTTTTTAAATGGTTGATAGATGCATTATGATCTTTAAATTTCCTTGGATACGTTTAAAGAATGATGTAACAATCTTATTTTAAAATGCCAATACTTACGCCAGAAATAACAAACCTTACTATTATTTAAACTTGTGATGAAACATTTTAGATATGACCTTTAAAAGTTCAAGAAGAAACAGTTTTAGCCAGGCGTGATGGCTCATGCCTGTAATCCCAGCCACTCAGGAGGCTGAGGTGAGAGGATTGCTTGAGCCCAGGAGTTTGAGGCTGCAGTGGGCCGTGATCATGCCACTGCACTCTAGCCTAAGTGACAGAATGAGACCCTATCTCTTATTTTAAAAAAAAGGACGGAAGGAAGGAGAGAGAAAGAAAGAAAAAGGAAAGAAAGGAAGGAAGAAAAAAACACAGTTTTTCAAATTTCTTTTAGGAGAAAAGCAAGCAAGAAATCTTGAAGACCATAGTTCCAAAGCACTCAAAGGGAGCCAAGCTACTGCCAGTTCCACATAGATCTCTGATAGGCGCAGGCAAAGACTTGAAAGGTTTATTTTCCTTTTGTTTTATTTAATGGTTTTACCTCCTATGAATAGGAGCTTTCTAAGGGTGAGGAGAATATAGAAGTTTAATCTTTTCATCCTTGGGATGGAGACAGAGTGCTCTTCCCTCAAGTAAAGGACCTCCTGGCACAAGTTAGCATCATGATATTTTAGTGTCAACCCAATGTTTTGGGTTTGGTTTGGTTTTGTTTTTTAGAGATGGAGTCTTGCTGTGTTGCCTTGGCTGGACTCAGACTCCTGCGTTCAAGTGATCCTCCTGCCTCAGCCTTCTGAGTAGCTGGGGACTACAGACATGCACCACTGCACCCAGTTTAATCCAGTGATTTTTAAAATAATTCCAGTTGCTCCTGAAAATTACTTGACATCAATTAACCTAAATATTACAAGTGATTCCCACATTCCTAAAAGCAATAAAATAAACTCTGTCATCTCTTTGGCTTAAAGTATACAGCCATAGAAATGTATTACCTATTCAAAATATTAGATTGAAACTGGATTCAAACTTGAGATTCAAAATGACTGGAATCCAGGCTGTGTCTGGAATATTCTTGTTCCTGTCCTTTAGGACTCAGTGGTCCTCTAGGAATGGTGCCCTGCTGTGTCAGAGTTGGCTGCCCTTTCTTTCTGCTCCCAGACTAGGCTGTGAGTTCCCTGAAGATAGAGGTTCTCCTTCCCCCACGTTCTCTGAGTGCCCAACACTGGGCTTGCCCATGGCAAGTGTCAGAGAAGCGAGAGATGAGGCTGGGAAGATGGATCTGGGGCCAGACAACGAAGGTAGCTGTGCTGATGAATTGAACTCCATTCAGGACCAGATATGCTTGGGATTTTTTCTTCTTTTTTTAAAATCTTATTGAGGTATAATTTACATATTATAAACTCGACGCAGTGGACAATTTGATGCATTTGGGCAAATATATGCAATGTGTAACCACCACTACCAATCAAGTATTAGAACACCTCTATCCCTCCAAAAAGTTCCCTTATGCCCCTTTGCAGTCAGTGCCACCTCCCAACCATATGTTCCTGTCCCCAGGCAACCACTGCCATGCTGTCTGTTCCTAAGGCATTTTTTCTAGAATTTCACATAAATGGAATATTTCCATGTGCAGTCTTTTGTATTTGGGTTCTTTCACTCAGTATGTTGTTTTTGAGATCCAGAATGTTACTGTGTATCAGTAGTTAGTTCCTTTTTATTGCTTAGTAGTATTTCATTTTATGTATATGCAAAGCCACAGAAACAGAGGTAGATTAACAGATCGGTGGTTGTCAGGGGAATTGGGAGGTACAGGGTTTCTTCATGAGGTGATGGAAATGTTGTGGAATCGGATAGTGCTGAGAGTTGTACAACATTGTAAATATACTAAGAGACACTGAATGTACACTTTGAAATGGTTAAAATGGTGAACTCTAGGAAAATTTTATGTTTAAAAAGCTAGATTTTAGCAAGCACCACAAGCATGTTACTAAGCGAATAATCTTTGCAGTCTCACTGACTTGATTCAAGTCCCCATGTCACTCCTTACTAGCTATGAGACCTTGGACAAATGATTCTAAGTCTCAGATTCTTCTTCTGTGAAGTAGGGGTAAAAATACAGCCCATCTCACAGAGCTGCAGTAAAAACGAAATGAGACAATGCACTTGAAGCACTTGGCATGGCGCTGACAAGTGCCTGATCAGTGGCAGCTTCTTGTTTAATCCACCTGCGCCTGCCATGTGTCAAGCCCATTACGTGTCTTCATCTATTTGATTCAACATGAAGGAGGGACTATTCCCAATTTACAAGTGATGAAACTGAACCGTTAAGAGATTAAAAAGTTACTTGTCCCCATATTGAGGGACATTCTGTAACATAACTAGTCTATAATTTTCAAAAATGTCAATATCATAAAAGACAAAGCCTGAAAAACTGTTCCAGATCAAAGGAGACTAAATACACAGGACAAGTAAATGTCATACATGATCCTGAATTGAATCTGGGGAAAATTTTTGCTACGAAGGACCTTATTGGGACAATAGACATGATTGGAAAATAGCTTATAGATTAGACTATAGGTATATAATAGATTATAGATTAGATATAATAGACTATAGATTAGATAATAGTAAGGTTTCCTGATTTTGATAACTGTAGCATGCAGGCCAGAACTAGGGCGAGACAACAGAGGCTCCTAGGGTACAAAGTTGAAGGAAGCCCTCTTGAAGGGCCACTCACGCTCAGGCCTTGTTAGCCTCCATCTAGTTCTAGCCCTGGTGTTGTCGTTATGTAGGAAAATGTCCTTGTTTTCAGAGCTACACACTGAAGTATTGAGGGTAAAGACATGCCAGTATATGCAATTAACTCTCCAAGAATTCAGGAATAATCATCATACATAGGTAGAGCGAAAAAAATGATAAAGTATACACTGCAAAATGTTAATAGTTGGTGAGTCTAGGTAAAGTATTTACAGAAGTTCTTTGTACTATTCTTTTTTTTTTTTTTTTTTTTGAGATGGAGTCTCGGTCTGTCACCCAGGCTGGAGTGCAGTGGCACGATCTCGGCTCACCACAACCTCCGCCTCCCGGGTTCAAGCCATTGTCCTGCCTCAGTCTCCCAAGTAGCTGGGATTACAGGTGTGTGCCGCCACGCCCAGCTAATTTTTTTTATTTTGAGTAGAGACAGGGTTTCACCATGTTGGCCAGGCTGGTCTTGAACTCCTGACCTCGTGATCCACCCATCTCGGCCTCCCAAAGTGTTGGGATTACAGGCATGAGCCACCATGCCCGGCCCTTTGTACTATTCTTGCGACTTTTCTGTGAGTTTGATTTTTTTTTTTTTTAATTTTAGGTCACTTGTCCCTGTGATGAGGTTCACAGCAGAGCTGGAATTTGAACTCTCTGCCCACAGAGTGTGGCATGGTGCTATCTGCAACCCAAATAGCTCTACCCTGAAGCCAGGGCCTGGGAGGGCCTGCTGATCAGATGCCTCAGAGCAGCATTTCTCCTACTTTAACATGCACACAGATCACTTGGGGAGCATGTTAAAAAGTAAATCCTGATTCCTTGGATTTGAGGGTGGGCTGGAGACTCTTCATTTCTAATAAGCTCTCAAGTGAGGCCAATACCGCTGGTTCCAGAGGCAAAGCCCTAGAATCCAGGGTCTAGAACTGTGTAGGACCTAAATCTAAAATGTACTGGGGAGGGGAATAATGGAACACTAAATTATTTAGGAGACAGTTCACAGTCATGATTCTACCCACCTAAAATGCTTTGTGATGAAAGTTAAATTTTCGGACATCGTTTCCGTTGAATAAACATGTAGAGTGAGCCTACTGGTTGCCATATCTTAGAATGCAGAATTGAATGGCAATGGATATGAACTGAAACACAGTTTATCCAGTCTTTCCCTTCCCCCAGTAGACGCCAGATCAGACTTACATCTAGACAGATTTTAGTCCCTCAGGTGAACTTGGCATCTAACGGTTTTCCTCAGTGTCACAGGTACAAGAGAGAACATCACAAGCAGGGAGTGCTGGAAATGACAAGTTCATCCAAAACAAACCTGCCAGGCACGGTGGCTCACGCCTGTAATCCCAGTACTTTGGGAGGCCGAGGCAAACCATTTGAGGTCAAGAGTTTGAGACTGGCCTGGCCAACATGGCAAAACCTCGTCTCTGCTAAAATACAAAAATTAGCCAGGCATGGTGGTATGTGCCTGTAATCCCAGCTACTCAGAAGGTGGAGGCAGGAGAAGCGCTCGAGCCAGGGAGGTGGAGGTTGCACTGAGCTGAGATTGCACCATTGCACTCCAGCCTGGGCTACAGTGCTATGGTGTCATTTCAGTGATAAAAGTTAATGAATATCTGTGTTACTTTCAACTCTGAGGAGGAAAACAATCTACCTAAACACCACCAAATTATTTCCATATTCTTTAAGCATTTTTCTTATTTATTTATTTATTTTTTTTTGAGAGGGAGTCTCACTCTGTCACTCAGGCTGGAGTGCAATGACATGATCTCGGCTCATTGCAACCTCCACCTCCCAAGTTCAAGCAATTCTCCTCCCTCAGCCTCTTGAGTACTTGGGATTACAGGTGCTCACCACCACACCTGGCTAATTTTTGTATTTTTTAGTAGAGATGGGGTTTCACCGTGTTGGCCAGGCTGGTCTTGAACTCCTGACCTCAGGTGATCCGCCCACCTCGGCCTCCCAAAGTGCTGGGATTACAGGCATGAGCCACCGTGCCCGGCCTCTTTAAGCATTTTTCTTGGGAGACAACCTTGAGGAAAAATAATTTTAGCTTAGACCAGAATCACAGTTACTATTTTTTTTTAAACTTTTAAGAATAATCAAGAGTTACCTTTTTGAGGTAAGAATTAGGCCCAGCAGATGGGTATTGAAGAGAGAAGGAGACTGTGAGCGCTTGGGTGAGCACAGACCTCATGTCTGCTCCTCAGGACAAACTGTGTGTAAGGGGCAGAGAAGGGAGGGGATTCCAAGACCCAGCCCCTCCTCCAAGGAAAGATGGAAAATCCATCACTGCTCTGAGGCTCCCAGAACACTCGCCCCTCTAATGTCTGCTGTCCCTTTCTCCCAGAGCTGCTGCTGCCTCTCTGCTTTTCCTTCCTCCCCTTTCCTTTCCCTAGCCGACTTTTGCTTCCCTGGCACTTCTGACATGCTTCTCCCAGCTGCTGCCCTTGAACTGCGGCCCCCTTCCTTCCCTCTGTGCTGTACCACCCAGGGGAGCCGGCTCCCAGGATGAGCTGCAGCACAGTGCTTTCTCAGGTTGAGGGAGCCTCCTCCAGGGCTCGGGTACCAAGGCATCTACATCTTTAATCAGGAAGGAAATAGCACCACATAACCCTGGGCATAGGTGTTTCCCTCCCTCCTCCTTTTCAGGGAGGCTGGTTCCCAGGTCACCTCCTACCTGGTTCAACAATAACATCCCCCATCTTTAAGAAAAATGCTGTGGTTCAAAAGCCCCTCTGGGCCCAGCTGCCTTCCCCAGTACACAGATCATCTCCATTGCCAGGGAGCTGCAAAGTGGCTCTGCACTTGCCAGAGGCTACACTGGTTAGTTAGAATGCGGGTCCTGACTGCAGGCCTAACCACAGTCCACAAAAGCTCCCCAGAGAGTGTTCTTTGTTGGTAGGTTTGAAACAAAGGCCCAGGAATGCGGCTTACACAGTCCTGACCCTACAGCTGGCCCTCCATCCTCACTGCTCTCCCAGGAGAAGATGGGAACTGGCTTCTTCAGCCAAGGACAAAGCCACGGTGGACAATCGCAGACCCAGGCCCAAGGTTTGCCCTGTCTCCTGCCTCCATCTTTACAAATCTCATGCATGAGGCCAACTCCCCTCCTACTGATGACTCCATCTCCTCCGTTGATCTCATCCAAACAACCTCAAGGCACTCCACTGGCACTTGATTTTGTAGTCTTGTGTGTATACATTCCACTTCATTATGAGACGGTAGATAGAGGCTAAGACAATGGATGAGCTTTGAAGTCAAATGGACAAGCATTCAAATCCTGGCTCTATCTCTGTGCCCTCCTGGCAAGTTACTGAACCTGTCTCACCTTCAGTTGCTTCGGCTATAAAAGTAGGTATAACACTTGTTCAAATTTTTCTTTTCCTAAGATTTAAATGAAAATTCTCATCCAACAAAAATTTATTGAATTTCTACTCTTTGCCAGGCACTGCTCTAGATGGAGATACAGCGTGAGACAAATTTCCTGGTCCTTAAAGAACTTATTAAATACATTCTTTTTTTTTTTTTTTTTTTTTTTTTTGAGACAAAGTCTTGCTCTGTCACAAGGGTGGACTGCAGTGGCGCGATCTCAGCTCACTGCAACCTCTGACTCCCTGGTTCAAGCGATTCTCCTGCCTCAGCCTCCCAAGTAGCTGGGATTACAGGCACGTGCCACAACGCCCAGCTAATTTTTGTATTTTTAGTAGAGACAGGGTTTCACCATGTTGGCCAGGATGGTCTCAATCTCCTGACCTTGTGATCCACCCACCTTGGCCTCCCAAAGTGCTGGGATTACAGGCGTGAGCCACTGTGCCCGAACTTATTAAATACATTCTTTATAAAGACACATACATGCATATGTTTGTTGGTGCATTATTCACAATAGCAAAGACATGGAATCAACCTAAATGCCCATCAGTAATAGACTGGATAAAGAAAATGTGGTATATATACACCATGGAATTCTATGCTGTCATAAGAATGAACAAGATAATGTCCTTTGCAGGGACGTGGATGGAACTGGAGGCCATTATCCTTAGCAAACAGATGCAGGAACAGAAAATTAAATACTGCATGTTCTCACTTATAAGTGGGAGATAAATGATGAGAACACATGGATACATGGAACCACACGCACTGGGGCCTGTCAGATGAGACGGGATGAGAGGAGGGAGAGGATCAGGAAGAACAGCTAATGGATGCTGGGCTTAATACCTGGGTGACGGGATGATCTGTGCAGCAAATCACCATGGCACATGTTTACCTATGTAACAAACCTCCACATGCTGCGCATGTACCCAGGAACTTAAAAGTTAGAAATGAAAAAAAAACAAACTTACATTCTAGTGGGTGATACATATGATTAACATGTGGCCAAACAGATAATATAATATTAAAGTGATAATTGCAATTTTATTAAAAAAAAAAAAGACCATAGAGAATTAGATTGGGGGAGGAGGTGGAGTACTATTTTAGATAGGGCAATCAGGAGAGGTTCTCTGAGAGGGTGACATTTGAGTAGGGACCTGAATGATGGAGAGAGCTATGCAAAAATCTGGAGAGAGCTGATGTTAAGATCCTGAAGCAGAACTAAGCTCAGTGTATTCACATGACAGAAGTAAGGTCAACACAGTTAGGGCAGGATAAGAGAGGAGTGAAGTAGGAGGTGAGATGGGAGAGAAAATACATGTGGAAGAGGCTCCATAAATATTCTTTTTTTTTTTTTTTTTGGTGAGACAGAGGCTCTATCACCCAGGCTGGAGTACAGTGGCACGATCTTGGCTTATTGCAGCCTCTGCCTCCTGGGTTCAAGTGAGCACATCCAGCTAATTTTTTGTATTTTTAGTAGAGATGGGGTTTCACCATGTTGTCCAGGCTGGTCTCAAACTCCTGACCTCAAGTGATCCACCTGCCTCAGCCTCCCACAGTGCTGGGATTACAGGTGTGAGCCACCACACCTGGCCCGGAAAAAACTGGAAACAATCCAAATGTCCATTCATAGGTGAATGGATGAACAGATTGTGGTAAATTCATTCAGTGGATGTTTTAGTCCATTCTGCGTTGCTATAGCGGAATACCTGAGACTGGGCACTTTATAAACAATAGAAATTTATTTGGTTCACGGTTCTGGATGCTGGGGAGACTAAGAGTATAGCAGCAGCATCTGGTGATGGCCTTTGTGCTTCAACATAACATTACCTCTTAATGCCATCACAATGACAATTAAATTTCAACATGAGTTTTGGGGAGACATTCAAAACCATAGCAATGAAACACTACTCAACAATAAAAATGAAATGAGTTACTGACACATTCAAAAACATGGTGGTTGGGCCACCCAATTGGGGCATCTATATATTATATGCAGTTAAGTGATTAGTTATGCTTATATAATATTTATAGTTTGGAATATTTATGTTGCACTTGTGGTGTTAACTAACCATTCCTGTGGTGCTGAAGCAGCATCACTGTCTGGGGTAAACACCTGGGGTTCATTGTCTCGTGCTGAGAAGATTAAGGACACGGACACACAAGGAGTGAATTTGGAAGCAGAGGTTTAATAGCCAAAACAAAGAGAAAGGAGAGCAGCTCTCTTTTGTGAGAGAGAGAGGCATTGTCTGAAGGGGAAAAGCTGGCCTGCAGCAGACTGCAGCAGATTTTATAGGCAGGCTTGAAGAGGTGGTGTCTGATTTATGAAGGCCCCACAGATTGGTTCGACCAGGTGTGATGTTCACATGGCACAAGGAGACGGCTGGTTGCCCCACCCCAATCTTATTATGCAAATGGGCTGTCCACTTGGCCAGTGCCATCTTGTCTGCTTCTTACTGTACACATGGCTAGCAAAGAGAAGGAAATATGGAGCTACCATTTTAATCATGCCTAGTCCCAGGTAGCCTTTTCCTATTGGCACAACTGCCAGCATTCACCCATGCAAGCTTCCAGCTTGCTTGTCTATGCCTGCAGCTCGATTTTACAGGCTGCTCTTTGTTAGAAAAGAAATGATTTGGGGGCTGCTTTTCATTAAAAGAAAAACCTTACCAAGGACTTTCTTACCTTCACAATCTGCCTAAGTAATTTCTTTTTAACTCCTTTATCAGTGTTTCTCAAATTTACCTGATAATAATTACCTGGTGCAGGCCGGGCGCAGTGGCTAACGCCTGTAATCCCAGCACTTTGGGAGGCCGAGGTGGGTGGATCACCTGAGGTCGGGAGTTCGAGACCAGCCTGACCAACATGGAGAAACCCCATCTCTACTAAAAATACAAAACCAGCCAGGCATGGTGGCACATGCCTGTAATCCCAGCTACTCGGAAGGCTGAGGCAGGAGAATCACTTGAACCCAGGAGGCAGAGGTTGTGGTGAGCCAAGATTGCGCCACTGCACTCCAGCCTGGGCAACAAGAGCAAAACTCTGTCTCAAAAAAAAATAACTACCTGGTGCAGTAGGCTAAATAATGGCCCCACTATGTCCATGTCCTAATAAACCTTGGAACATGTGAATGTTACCTTGAATAGTGTTTTTGACTGTTTTCTGTTGCTATAACAGAATACCTGAGGCTGGGTAATTTATAAATAAAAGAAATTTATTTCTCACACTTCTGGAGTCTGGAAAGTCCAAGAGCACGGCACTGGCATCTGCTCAACTTCTGATGAGGGTTTTCATGGTGAAGGGCATCACATGGCAAAAGACCACAGGCATGCAAACTCAAGTCTCTCTTCCTCTTATAAAGCCACCAGTCCCATCATAGGAGCCCCATCCTGATGACGTCATCTAGTACTAATTACCTCCCCAAATCTCTGCCTCCAAATAGCATCAAGATATGAATTTGGGGATTTAGTTTTCAACACATGAAATTTGAGGGACACGTCCCAACCATATAGCATATGGCAAAAGGGAGTTTGCAGATGTGACTGAGTTAGGATCTTGAACTTGGAGATAATGCTGGATTATCCAAGTGGACCCAATGTCCAGTGGTTCTTATAAAAGGAGCACAGAAGGAGTCAAAGTTTGAGGAGAAGGTGATGTGATTATAGAAGCAGTAACTGGAGTGATGCTCTTCAAAGATGGTGGACCAGGACACAGCCAGCCACCAGAAGCTGAAAAAGGCAAAGAAATGGATTCTCCCCTCAGAGCCTCCAGAAGAAACCTCCTGTCAACACCTTGACTTTAGCCTAGTGAAACCAATTTTGGGTTTCTGACCTCCAGGACCATAATAAATCCATGTTGTTTTAAGCCACTGAATTTGTGGTAATTTGTTACAGTGGCAATAGGAAACTAATACACCTGCGGTACTTGCTAAATATACAAATTACCATCCTTCTCCTATATAAATTCTTATTATGGAGGTCTAAGCTGGGAGCCAAATAATTGTTTTTTAACAAGGGTCCAGGGGATGTTTATCTTCAGGTCAATTTGGGAACTGTTGCTGTAGTGAACTGGGATAGCTCAGCCGAATTCTTTACCACTTTTCTGGTGACAGACTTCATCTGCTTTGGCTACAAGTGTGGAGACATAACCAAGGATTGGCCAGTCCTGGCACTCCATTGCCCTAGAGCTTGAGACTGGTTCACGGGCAGACATGTGGCCCACACTGACCAATCACAATCCTTCTCTAAGACATCATACATGGAAGCCATCAGAGAAACATTTTCTTTCTTTGTGCTGGGATTTGGTTTGACAGTGGTACCCCAGCATGGAGTATTGGCCTGCCACTGCTGGCAGTCAACTTCTCTGACTACATCGAGGAAGGTCATTTGCAGTAGGAAAGAAGATAATAAACAAGAAAACGGAGTAGAAATCCAGAAGGAGAGAGAGGGAAAACCCTACTCTCCTTTGAGCCTCAGATCCAATTGCATTTGATGCTGGTACCATCCCTGTTTTTTTGACCTATGAGAATCAATACATCTTATTATTTTTCAAGCTCATTGAATTGGTTTCAGTCTCTTGAAATATATGGACTCCTAACTCTCACACTGGGGTGTTATCTGGAGTGGGAGGGGAATAAATTTTTTACATTGTCTGGCTTTCTTTTCTCCCATTTCTATGTACAACATCAACTGCTTCATATTTGTCTATGCCAGTTTACACTAGTCTGATCAGAATGTATATACTAAAAAAAAAGAATTTATATAGTAATTGTGTAAAAATTTTAGTCACTCTCTCTCCACCACTCACACTAACTCCTTACAGTATAAACGTTTTCTGCCCCAACCGCATAGTCCCCAGCATCTGTATGTTCAGGCTGATTCTCTTTTCTGCTTCTAACTCCCGCTCCCTCCCATCTATTCAATGACAAGAAATTCTGGAGCTGTGGCTCTCTTCCAATAAAAACAAACTGTAAAACTCCTATGATTGCTTTTGTGCAAAGTACTACCTACAAAATATCTTCTGTGGTTATATTATATGGAGTTTTATAGGCATCTTTAGCTTGAAATTTAAGGAGCAAGGATATTCAGTGTTGACTGGGAGATTCTCTCCCATTATTTGAGTTACTTCATTGATGATTCTTTCTTGTCTTTCAATTCCAAAGTTTATCAGCTGTAGCAGATGCAGCTAAATATCGTTTTCTGCAACATTTGCCTGATATAAATCCTCCTTGCCAGGGGGGTGGCTCTATAACATTTACAAATTGGGATTAAGCATATGAGACCCATACCTTGCTGAAGGCTCACAACAGACCACCATTGGTAAGGTTCTTTGTAGAGTCAGGCTGTAAATATTGGTGGAAGAAAATAAAAATTCCTAACACTTTCCTCTACCAGTAAAGTAAAAAGGGCACTGGGCTAGCAGTGAAGAAACCCAAGTATGATCTTGGCTCTGCCATTTGTTACCATGTAGTAAACTTAGGCAAGTCAGTTAAAACCTCTAGGTTCTAATATCTTCATCTATAAAATGGAATTCATGATACTTCCATGCCTGCTTACTTCACTGAGTAGTTGTAAGAATTAAATAACGTATACAAATGTAAGGTGTTATTTTGCACTATACAAATATAAGGTGTAATTATGATGCCTTAGTCCTAGACATCTTTATTTATCTTTATTGGATTGTGACTATTCTACTTACCAAGATGGAAAAAAGTGAATTGCTTCTCATAAGCTAATCTATTTAATATCCATATGTTATGAATTAGGAATTATGCAAGCCCATGTATAGCATAGTAGCAAATTTGGAACATCAGTTAGGATACTACTATATGCAAAGGATTGACAGTCAAAGTATGGAAACACATAATAATGTAAATAGATGCTATACATTTCTGCAAAACATGCCTAAAAATGGTCTTTAGCATATGCTTTCAAACTCTCTCTGGATTACAGCTTTCAAACACAACAAAAAACCTAATGGATTTGGACCAGAGATCTTTAAAACCTCCTCCACCCCCACAACTATCTTTATTTAGTACTAAATTTAGAGCAGATGGAGAAACCAGCAAGCAAGACAATGCTACATCTGCTAATATATTAATACTGCTGAGCTGAGCAACTAGAAAAATCTTGAGTGGTCTGTACGTGTTAGCAGAGCTACAAATAATGCAAGGCTCCTGCTTTTGAGGAATTTATAATTTATATGATTTAGACATAGTGTTGTTAGCTAACATTTATTGAGGATTTACTATGTGTTGGGCACTATTCTAACTGCTTTACTCAAATGGACTCATTTAATCTTCCTAACAACCCTGTAAAATAAATAGTTATATTATCCAGTCTACAGGAAGACACTGAGTCTCACAGAGATAAAGTGACTTTGCCCAAGATCACCTGGCTAGTAACACAATTGGGATTCCAAAGCTCACACTCCCAACCATATGCTAAACTGCTCCTTTAGAAAGCCACAGATAGGGCCAGGCACAGTGACTCACTCATGTCTGTAATCCCAGCATTTTGGGAGGCTGAGGTGGGAGGATGGCTGGAGCCCAGGATTTCAACACCAGCCTGGGCAACATAGCAAGACCTCATCACTACTTAAAAAAATTAGCTGGGCATGGTGGTGCACACCTGTAGTCTCAGCTACTTGAGAGGCTGAGGCAGGAGGATCGCTTGAGTCCAGGAGTTGGAGGCTGCAATGTGCTATGACCATGCCTCTGCACACCAGCTGGGGTGATAGAGCAAGACCCCATCTCAAAAAAAAAAAAAGAATTAAAAAAAGAAAGACACAGGAAGAAATAGAATGTCCTATGACTTCATTTCATACTTACCTAGTATTTATTATTTTTTAGAAGGGCAACCTACCCCAGTTAGAATGTTCTACAGGTCTGTATCATAGCACTTATGGTAACCCTTGCATACAGTAGGTGCTCAGTTAATATATATATTGATTTGATGACCAACAATATTATTTTAGAGCCTTAGGTTGCTTTGAACCTAGAATTATCACAAGAACTTAAAGCAGCTGATCAGTGTCATGACACATGTCAGATCTCTGAATTCCGGCAAGTCCCGTGTCCAATACATGTGTTCAGACTGCATTGCCATTACCATCTTCCCTTCTGCTTTCTCCGTGAAGGTTGTAAGTTCCTTGAGGGCAAGGATAGTGTCCAGGTCATCACTACATCCTCAGTGAACAGCCTGGTGCCCGGTGCATATTAGTGAGGAGTTTTAATCATGAGTAACAGGAGCTCAGCTGGTATTTGTTAAAGCAGAAAAGGAAGTTGGAAGGATGCTGGGAAACTCCTAGGTTCCAGCATCCTGGAACTGCAGGAAGAGCTGCAGGAAGCAGAGGAGCTCCAGAAACTGGACCCAGGGCTCCATGCTGCTGGGACTTTCAAGCCATCTCTTTCTCTGCTAGGGAAAAACACATCCCTCAGAGCCCTTAATTCACAGCCTTCTAGCTCAATAATGTGACACATGTCAAGGGGCTACTTCCTCTTCCCTAACTCCAGTGAGAATGATCTTGAGGAAGTCATGGATTGGCCAAGCTTAGGTGGTGAGCTCATTTCTGACTAATCATCTGGAGCACACCACTTGGCCATACCTAGAGTGTGTGCTTATCCCTGGGGATAAGTGGAGTGTGGGATTAGGGTAAGAATGATGTGGAAGCATGCCAGGTAGCCAAAATAGTAGCTGTCACACACCAGTAGGTAACTGAGGTAACTGATAATTGAGGATATGGGCTGGGAATGTGGAGTGAATTATTTCCTTAAAAAGTTGATTCCATATTGAAAAATAATAAGGCTTCCTTGTTATTCAACTTATATTCATTCATTCAACCAATAGTTTTTAAGTGTCTTATCAAGGGCCAGGCCTAGTTTTAGGTGCCAGGTATACTTACAGGAGACAAAACGGTCCCTATCCTCCTGAATTTCCATTCTAAAGGAGGGAGACTGGCAATTAACAAACAAATGTGCAAACACAGAATATGTCAGCTGGTAGTGTTATGAGAGTAATTAAAGCACGGTAAAGAGAATAGAAAGTGCAGAAGGGGGTTGCTGCTTTTTACAGAGAGAACAGGGTAGGTTGCTTTGATGAGGTGACATTTGAGCAGACACCTGAAGATGAGAAGGTGAGCTCTGTGGACAGCTGGGGATGGAACATTTCAAGCACAGGAAGGAGCAAGTGGAAAAGCTGTACAGTGGGCACTGGCATGGTACAAACAAGAGTAGTAAGGAGGCAGAAAGAGAGGGGAGGTCAAAGGCAGTGAGGTCAGAGCTTCAAGGCTTCCCTGAGCCTGGGCAGCTGTTGTTGGGGTTGTGGAGAATTCTAGATGGGGTCAGGGGAGCCAGGCTGCAATCTGGAGGTATTCTGTGTAAGCATGTGTGATAATTTGCCTAAAGAGAGATCAGAAGAAAGGGACCAGAATTTCCAAGAATCCAATAAATTGTTGTGATTTATTTTCTCAATCTAAATTCACATTCAATTCTGAACCTGTATTAGGAGTTCTCCAGAGGGATAGAGCCAATAGGATATGTGTATATATAAAAGCGAGTTTATCAGGGAGAATTGGCTCACATGATAGCAAGGGGAGGTCCCACAATAAGCCATCTGCAAGCTGGAAAAAGACAGAAGCTGGGAGTGTGGCTCAGTCCAAGTCCAAAAGCCTCAAAAGCAGGGAAGCCAATAATGCAGCCCTTAGTCTGAGGCTGAAGGCCCAAGAGCCCCCAGGAGCCACTGGTGGGGTTCCCAGACTTCAAAGGCTGAAGAACCTGGAGTCTGATGTCCAAGGATAGGAGGAGAGTAAGCAAGCATCCAGCACATGAAGAGAGAGAGCAAGGAGACTCAGCAAGCTGCTTTGTCCCCCTTCTTCTGCCTGCTTCGTTCCAGCCTCTGTTGGCAGCTGATTGGATGGTGCCCACCCACACTGAGTCCCAGTCCAACAACTGAAATGTCAATCTCCTCTGGCAACACCTTCACAGACACAACCAGAAACAATGCTTCCCCAGTCATGTAGGCATCCCTCAATTCAATCAGGTTGACATCTCTATTAACCATAACAAGTCCACCCCTTGTCAACTTGGCACTCACACACACCTTCTTAAATCATACTTATCTCCAAATAAAGACAATAACAAGGTCATAATTCCACCCAACATAATGTAACTATCCTTTGTACAATTGAAAATGCACTAATCCTTAACTTAAATACTATTACATAAAATTAACAACACTTAAATGCTGATGTGACGTCAGTAAATCTTATGTTACATCATAAAGGAACAAGAAAAGACAAAGATATCTGCTTAATACAAGTGTATATATGCACAAATGTATTATTAACAAAATAAGGAGAGAATACTCATGACAATTACAGTCCTCGTTTCTGAAATGGGTCATGTAGTGGCAGCTGGTATTGATAACTGTAAAGTTAGCCGAAAGAAAGGACGAGAGAGAGAGAGAGAGACCCAAGGTCAGGCAAGGAAGTTTATTAACCTGCCGGGCTGTTCCACCACAGTCAGGAGGCAGCCCTGAGCTTACAAAATGAGGGGTTTCTATGGGGGAGAGAGACTCTGGGATTGTTTGTCAGTTAACTTTACCACATATCATCTCTTGACCGGCTTACAGTATATTATCTTGTGAAAATAGGAATTTACAAGAGGGTGTAACCTAGGTTTCTCCTGACCTCTCCAGTGCCGCCCGGGGGGCTATAATCAGGGTTTGCTCAGCAAGTCTGGTGACCTTGCTGTGGCGCCTAGATAAGGGTTTAGGAATGCAGCTGCAGAGTATTCAGGGTAAGGGTCAGCTGCATTGCAGGGCGGGCGGGGGGGGGGGGGGTGGCGGGGGGGGGCGGTGGTCCCTGGGGCAGCTTGTCCCTAACCATAACTACCTTCTTCTACTACCCATTCTGTATTCCCTTTGCTATCTGGAAGCACCTCAGCTGGTTGTGGCTTTTTTACCTAGTGGCGTGACCCAAACCTTCATTTCTGAAGTCTAGGCCATTTGTAGTCCTGCCTGGATTGAGTTGCTGTAGTTTCCCATTGACCTTAATTACAGGGCAGGGTGATACTAAGAGACATCCTAAAGGATCTCCTAAACTGCAGACATTCTTCCTTTCCTCCATTGTGGAGTAGTAGTCTGATTTCATCTTGACAGTCTGGGTAAATCGCCCCAGGCAACACTGTAACTCACTTCCTAACCTGTTGACTCCGAAGCTTGAGTTGCCTAAAGTAGCTCCTCAAGCCACTTTTGTATTATGTCTCCTGGTGGCAGCATTTCTCCCTCTGGAACTAAGAACTCTAGGCAGCAGAACATAATGTCACTGGAACAAGAAGCAAACATTTTGCTAGTGGGTCACTAGGGGTGATGGTGAGTGGTGCCACTTCCACTTCCACTCCTTGATTCCTGGATCTGTGAATCCTGGCTATGGGAGAAACAGTACCATATACTAGACACTGATTCAGAGCATATACAGCCTTCTGGAGAAGACTTCAGTCCTATAAAGTATTGTCACCTAGTTGGCATTGTAACTGCAACTTCAAAAGGCCATTCCGCCATTCTATCAAGCCAGCTGCTTCAGGATGATAGGGAATACGGTAAGACCAGTGAATTCCATGAGCATGAGCCCACTGCTGCAATTCTTTGGCTGGGAAGTGAGTTCCTTCATCAGAAGCAATGCTGTGTGGAATACCATGGCAGTGGATAAGGCATTCTGTGAGCCCAAAGATGGCAGTCTTGGTAGAAGAATTGCATGCAGGAAAGTCAAATCCATATCGGAAATAACTGTCTGTCCCAAGGATAAACTGCTGCCCCTTCCACGATGGAAGTAGTTCAATGTAATCGGCCTATCATTAGGTAGTAGTTCCACTCAAAACTAGCAGCCTTTTGTGTCACTCAATAAATGGGCCAGAGTAACACGCCCAAATGAGGAATGTGTTGCCTTGAAAATACAAATAAGCTCACTAGGTTGTTGCACCTCTTTCATAGTTGTAGGAGAGGCGAGATGCAACAATTTATCCTTCACCTTAGAAGGAATATCTCAACAGGCCCCACACCACTGGAGTCCTAGAAATTTCACTGAGGCAGAAGGCCCCTGAATTTTAGTCAGATTTATTTCTCACCCCCGATATGCAAATGTATCACCAAATAAGGCCAGAGTGGTTGCTACTTCTCACTCACTAGGTCCAATCAGCATAATGTCAGCAATATAATGAACTGGTGTGATATCTTGTAGAAGGGAAAAGCAATCAAGGCCTCTGTGAACAAGATTATGACATACAGCTGGAATGTCAATATACCCCTGAGGTAGGACAGTGAAGGCAAATTGCTTCTGGTGGGCCTTATGGGCAGCAATGGAGAAAAGGGCATTTGCCAGATCAATAGTTGCATACCAGGCACCAGAGGATGTGTTAATTTGCTCAAGCAATGAAACCACATTTACTATAACAGCTGCAATTGGAGTCGCCACTTGGTTAAGCTAATGATAATCCACTGTCATTCTCCAAGATCCACATCTTCTGCACAGGCCAAATAGGAGACCTGAATGGGGATGTGGTGGGAATCACCACCCTCCGTGTTTCAAGTCCTTAATTAACTATTTTCCTAGGTAGAGGCATTCTTAATGGCTTCCATTTGGCCTTTCCCACTGTAATAGCCCTCATCCCACAGGCCAGGGAACCAATTTGGGAATTCTGCCAGCTACTAAGAATATCTATTCCAATTACGCATTCTAGCACTGGAGAAATGACCACAGGATGGATCCAGGGACTCACTGGACTCGCTATAAGTCAGACCTGAGATAAAACTCCATCAATTATCTGACACCTATAAGCCCCTAGTCTAATTGGAGGGCCACAATGATTTTTTTTTTTTTTTTTTTGAGATGGAATCTTGTTTGTCGCCCAGGCTGGAGTGCAGTGGTACAATCTCAGCTGACTGCAACCTCCACCTCCCGGATTCAAGTGATTCTCCTGCCTCACCCTCCCAAGTAGCTGGAACTACAGGTGCATGCCACTAGGCCCAGCTAATTTTTTGTGTTTTTAGTAGAGATGGGGTTTCACCATTTTGGTCAGGCAGGTCTTGATCTCCTGAACTCAAGTGATCCGCCTACCTCGGCCTCCCAAAGTACTGGGATTACAAGTGTGAGCCACCATGCCCAGCCCCACAGTGATATTTTGGCTCCCCTAAAATCAATGACAGTTCAGAACCAGTATCCAGTAGCCCCCCAAAACCCTGATTATTTATTTCTTCAGAGCACAGTTACCCTGCTAAAAGGCCAGAGGTTTCCTTGAGGAAGGTTAGGAGAAAGATTAACAGTATAAATTTTCAGCAGTATAGTGGGGTCCTTCCTCAAGTGGACCTGGCCTCCCTTTCATTCAAGGGGTTCTGGGTCTATAAACTAGCTTGAGTCTGGAAATTGATTGAAGGACCATGATTCTCTGTTTTTATAATTCAAATTGGACTTTTGTTCACCTGACCTGGAAGTTTTCTGCTTATACAGATCAAGTAAGAATGTAGTAGGCTTCCTGTCGATTTCACTTCTAGGAATACAATGATAAATTAGCCAATGCTAGAGCTCTATAGGTTTCAGACTATTCTGATTGCTGTTTTGCTTCTGCTGTCCATTACTAACCATGCCCACCTTGCCTTTGATGGTTGAGTGCTGCCACTTGGCCTCTGCCACCTCAGGATCCAATTATTCCCATTGCATTTAAGTTTTCCAGTTGAGTGGCTGTGGTTCCCACTGTAAGATCTGACATACAGAGAAGAGCAATCAAAGAGCTCTTCAAGGATGCTGGTGCTCCCTTCACAAATCTATTTCACAAGGAACTGGTGAAAGGTGTGTCTTCTGGACCCTCCCAGTTGGGATGAGTAGGTCCTTACTGACAAATCCAAATCCACTCTAACATTCCAATCTCTCTAAGCCTTGGGATCCTTCCTCTACATTAAACCAAGGGAGATCAGGCATTTCCAGCTCACTCACAGTGGGCCATCTTTCGATCCATGTTTCAGCTAACCAAGCAAATAAACTATTAGAACCCTTTTTTAACTCCCTGAGCTGCAACATTAAATGCAGAATCTCTGTTTAGTGGACCCATAGGAATGAGTTCAGCCTGATCCAACTTTATGGTCCTTCCTCCATTATCCCACACTCTTTTTTTTTTATACTTTAAGTTCTAGGGTACATGTGCACAACATGCAGTTTTGTTACATATGCATACATGTGTCATGTTGGTGTGCTGCACCCATTAACTCATCATTTACATTAGGTATATCTCCTAATGCTATCCCTCCCGCCTCCCCTCACCCCATGACAGGCCCCAGTGTGTGATGTTCCCCATCCTGTGTCCAAGTGTTCTCATTGTTCAATTCCCACCTATGAGTGAGAATACATGGTGTTTGGTTTTCTGTCCTTGCGATGGTTTGCTCAGAATGATGATTTCCAGCTTCATCCATGTCTCTACAAAGGACATGAACTCATCCTTTTTTATGGCTGCATAGTATTCCATAGTGTATATGTGCCATATTTTCTTTATCCAGTCTATCATTGATGGACATTTGGGTTGGTTCCAAGTCTTTGCTATTGTGAATAGTGCTGCAATAAACATACATGTGCATGTGTCTTTATAGCAGCATGATTTATAATCCTTTGGGTATATACCCAGTAATGGGATGGCTGGGTTAAATGGTATTTCTAGTTCTAGATCCTTGAGGAATCGCCACACTGTCTTCCACAATGGTTGAACTAGTTTATAGTCCCACCAACAGTGTAAAAGTGTTCCTGTTTCTCCACATCCTCTCCAGCACCTGTTGTTTCCTGACTTTTTAATGATCACCATTCTAACTGGTGTGAGATGGTATCTCATTGTGGTTTTGACTTGCATTTCTCTGATGGCCAGTGATGATGAGCATTTTTTCATGTGTCTGTTGGCTGCATAAATGTCTTCTTTTCAGAAGTGTCTGTTCATGTCCTTCGCCCACTTTTCCATGGGGTTGTTTGATTTTTTTCTTGTAAATTTGTTTAAGTTCTTTGTAGATTCTGGATATTAGCCCTTTGTCAGATGGGTAGATTTCAAAAATGTTCTCCCATTCTGTAGGTTGCCTGTTCACTCTGATGGTAGTTTCTTTTGCTGTGCAGAAGCTCTTTAGTTTAATTAGATCCCATTTGTCAATTTTGGCTTTTGTTGCCATTGCTTTTGGTGTTTTAGTCATGAAGTCCTTGCCCATGCCTATGTCCTGAATGGTATTGCCTAGGTTTTCTTCTAGGGTTTTTATGATTTTAAGTCTAAAATTTAATTCTTTAATCCAGCTTGAATTAATTTTTGTATAAGGTGTAAGGAAGGGATCCAGTTTCAGCTTTCTACATATGGCTAGCCAGTTTTCCCAGCATCATTTATTAAATAGGGAATCCTTTCTCCATTTCTTGTTTTTGTCAGATGTGTCAAAGATCAGATAGTTGTAGATGTGTGGTATTATTTCTGAGGGCTCTGTTCTGTTCCATTGGTCTATATCTCTGTTTTGGTACCAGTACCATGCTGTTTTGGTTACTGTAGTCTTGCAGTATAGTTTGAAGTCAGGTGGCATGATGCCTCCAGCTTTGTTCTTTTTGCTTAGGATTGTCTTGGCAATGCAGGCTCTTTTTTGGTTCCATATGAACTTTAAAGTAGTTTTTTCCAATTCTGTGGAGAAAGTCATGGGTAGCTTGATGGGGATGGCATTGAATCTATAAATTACCTTGGGCAGTATGGCCATTTTCACGATATTGATTCTTCCTATCCATGAGCATGGAATGTTCTTCCATTTGTTTGTGTCCTCTTTTATTTCGTTCAGCAGTGGTTTGTAATTCTCCTTGAAGGGTCCTTCACATCACTTGTAAGTTGGATTCCTAGGTATTTTATTCCTTTGAAGTAATTGTGAATGGGAGTTCACTCATGATTTGGCTCTCTGTTTGTCTGTTATTGGTGTATAGGAATGCTTGTGATTTTTGCACATTGATTTTGTATCCTGAGACTTTGCTGAAGTTGCTTATCAGCTTAAGGAGATTTTGGGCTGAGATGACTGGGTTTTCTAAATATACAACCATGTCATTTGGAAACAGGGACAATTTGACTTCCTCTTTTCCTAATTGAATACCCTTTATTGCTTTCTCCTGCCTGAGTGCCATGGCCAGAACTTCCAACACTATGTTGAATAGGAGTGGTGAGAGAGGGCATCCCTGTCTTGTGCCAGTTTTCAAAGGGAATGCTTCCAGTTTTTGCCCATTCAGTATGATATTGGCTGCATTATCCCACACTCTTAATATCCATTCCCATACCTGTTCCCTGGATTTCTGCTCATGTAAATTAGAAAACTCGAGTAGTTGGAGCCAGCATCCAGTAGCCCCCAAAAAGTCTGATTAGTATTTGGAGCATAGCATGCCTTCTCATGAGTCATACCCTGAACCTCACCTCTAAGGGCCTGTAGGAACTAGAGTCCAGTTAGAGTCCAGAGGCAAGGACAGGTGGTGGGGATGGGTCCTGAGGAGAACCAGCATTGTCTTTCCTGGCAGCTGCCTCAAGGGAGGACATCCCTGTTTCCCCGGGGCAATGCAGGGTTAATCTTAAAGATGGAAAGGCTGGTACTGGAGTGTGTGGGTAAAAGTATGTTGCCACTACGGGGGGTGGGGATGCCATTTCCTCTGGCAAAAAAGGCTCATTAGAATTTAGGAGTTAGGTGTCCCTAGCTTCATCAGAGTCCCCCATATTCCCATCCCAACTTACAGGGTCCCATTCTTTCCCAATCAAAGCCCTCCCTTTGACAGTAGACACTTGGTGAAGCTGAGCATGAACCTTCCATTGCAGGTCAGCCACTTGCATAAGAGCTTGTGTCTGATTTTCAGCAATTTCAGCTCTTTGTCCACAGAAGAGAAGATTCTTACCCAGGGCACCCTGAGAAACTTTTTGGCTATGTATGTGTATCTAGAACCAGGAAATAGAATCCCTCAGCTCATCCTTTTCGTTCATCACTTTGCCCAGTGAACTTAGGAGCAACCAGCCAACTTCATTATATTCCTTGGTTCTCCACAAATGTTCAAAGGTATCATATATAGAGTCACTAAACTCCTTGCCTCTTAGGAACAGGGAATCAGAAATATCAAATGCATTTATTTTGCGTAACTCTAAACAGTTCAAGCCAAGGACTATTAGTGCTGTCCATACTATTAGAAATAGAGTCTTTAGCATTTGGGTCTAATCAGATTAGATATCCAACTCCAGAAACCCCAAAACCGACAAAGGAAATTTATGCTTAAAATTATGTTCCTCTAGAACCACTCCTGATACCAAAACCTGTATTAGGTTCTCCACAGGGACAGAACCAATAGGATATATGTGTGTATATATAAAGGAGTTTATCAGGAAGAATTGGCTCACAGGATTATAAAGCGAAGTCCCATGACTGGCTGTCTGCAAGCTGGAGAAACAGAAGCCGGGAGCGTGGCTCGGTCCAAGTTTGAAAGCTTCAAAACCAGGAAAGCCGACAGTGCAGCCCTCAGGCTGAGGCCTACGGCCCGAGAGCCTCCAGGAGGCTGCCGGTGCAGGTCCCAGAGTCCAAAGGCTGAAGAACCTGGAGTCTGATGTCCAAGGGCAGGAGGAGAGGAAGCAAGCATCCTGCAGAGGAAAAGAGAGCACCGGAGAGGACCCAGGAAGTTGTTTCTTCCCCTTTTCTGCCAGCTTTGTTCCAGCCACTCTGGCAGTTGATTGGATGGTGCCCACCCACACTGAGGGTGGGTCTTCCTCTCCCAGTCCAGGGACTCAAATGTCAACCTCCTCTGGCAACACCTTCACAGACATATCCAGGAACAATGCTTCCCCAGACATCCAGGCATCCCTCAGTCCATTCAAGTGGACACCTAGTACTAACCATCACAGTACCTAATTCTAAACTCATTATTCGGCTGGGCATGGTGACTCATGCCTGTAATCCCAACACCTTGGGAGGCCAACGCAGGTGGATCACCTGAGGTCAGGAGTTCAAGACCAGCCTGACCAACATGGTGAAACCTCGTCTCCACTAACAATACAAAAATTACCCAGCCTGTAATCCCAGCTACTCGGGAGGCTGAGGCAGGAGAATCGCTTGAACCCAGGAGGCAGAGGCTGCAGTGAGCCAAGATCACGCCACTGCACTCCCGCCAGGGGGACAGAGCGAGACTCTTATCTCTAAATAAATAAATAAATTCATAATTTGTACTTTTTCTTAGCAAGAACTCATGTTCATCTCCCCCTTTCTTTCTCCCATGATGTAAACTTCAGGTTTCGCAAAATTTGGAACTTGATTTACACTGAACCTGAGAGAGGGGGTGGGGTGGAGGCTGATCACACAGGAACTGGTAGACTTCGATCTGGATTTTGACTTACTCTTGAGTGAGATCCGATATTACTGGAGGGTTTTAAGCAGAGTAGTGACATGATCTGAATTGTATCTTTAAAGGACCACTCTGACTGCTGGCATTGAGAAAGACTGTCTAAAGCAGCACTGTCCAGTTGAAATATAATGTGAGCCACATAGGTAATTTTAAATTTTCTAGTACCCACATTAGAAACTGCAAAAAAGGGACAGGTGAAATTAATTTTAGTCATGTCTTTTATTTAACCTGATATGTCCAAAATATTATTTCAACCTATAATCAATGTAAAAAATGATTGAACTATTATTATACATTCTTCTTTTCATACTGTCTTTAAAATCTAGTGACTTTTTTCCACTTACAGCACATCTTAATTTGGACTAGCCACATTTCAAGTGTCCGATAGCAACATGTGGCAAGTGGCTTTAACACAAGTCAAAAGCAATGTGCCCTGGCCCCCAATCTAGAAGGTTGGAGGCACTCCTTACCCCAGCCTCTGGGCTGGTGGAACACTGTGAGGGCAGTTTCCAAAACCCCAAAGGAGTTAAACCTCCTCTGAATGATGAGGGAACATCGTAGGCTCCAATTTGAAGTTTAATAGTGATAATGTCTGATCTGTATATAGCACTTTCTGTTCTAAGTGCTTTACATATGTTAAATCATTTAATCTTTTTTTTTTTTTTTAATAGAGACAGGGTCTCACTATTTTGGCCATGCTGGTCTCGAACTTCTGGCCTCAAGCAATCCTCCTGCCTTGGCCTCCCAAAGCACTGGAATTATAGATGAAAAATTATCTGCTTTTAAAGGGCTCCCCGATTGAGTTATGCTCACTTGGATAGTTTTACAGTCAACTGGGACTTCAATTATATCTGCAAAATCCACTCATAGTAATGCCTAGATTAGAGCTTTAATTAATAACCAGGAGATAAGAATCTTAAGAATTCTGCCTAGAGTTTTTCATCAAAAATGTTAAGTCAACTTTCCACAGATATATAACCTATGTTCAGAAAAGCACCCAAATCACATCTGAATAGATTAATTTTCACACAGTAAACACACCCATATTAACTCCTACCTAGATCAAGACTTTTAAAAGTTCTTTATAAATTCTTTGGTAGGCTGCCTCTGATGGCCCACCAATTACCCTGCTTCCTGGTATTTATGCTATCTGCAGTCCCTTACCCTTGAGTGTGCACTGGATTTACTGATTCGCTTCTAATGAATAGAATGTGGCAGAAGTAATGAGATGTCACTTTCAAGGTTAAATTATAAAAAGACTGTGGCTTGGGTGCTCATTCTATCTCAGGTTGCTTGACATGAGGGAAATCAGCTGCCATGTCATGAGGCAGCCCTGCGAAGAGACCCATGTGACAAGGGACCAAGGTCTGCCTACAACTACATGAGGAAGCTTGAAAGTGGATCCCTCGCTTGGGTCTTCAGATGAACCCACTGCCCTATAGCTGGCAGCTTAACTACAACCTCATGAGAGATCTTGTGCCAGAAGTACCCAGCTAAGTTGTACCGAGATTCCTGACCCACCAAGATTATGAGATCACTGTTTTGGGGGTAATTTGTTATGTAGCAACACCTAACTACTATTGAATTCTAGATTCAAATCCTTTATCAACTACAGCTATTGTAAATATGCTGTACTACTCTGTGGCTTGCTTTATCACTCTCTTGATAGTGTCTTTTATGAATAGAAGTTCCTAATTTTAACATTCAATTTAACTACCTTTTTCTTTATTATTCTTAGTGCTTCGATTTTGTTTTAGTAATCTTTGCCTACTCCAAAAAGGGAGCTTTTCTATATTCACATTTAGTGCTTGCCTCGGCAGCACATATACTAAAATTCTAAATTCACATTTATATATAAAATCCATTTGGAATTGATTTTTGTGTATTGTTTAAGGTAGGAATCAATGTAATCAATTTTTTCATTATTGAAATCTGATTGACTCTCCATTTATTGCAAAGGCAACTCTTTCTTTGTTGCACAGAAATTTCATATTTGTCATAAGTGACTAAATATGTGTGGGTTTTTTTCCCCTGAACGTCTTTCTATTCCATTGGTCTATTTGTCCTCCTTGCAACAATATTATACTAAGTGATTGCAGTTTTACTGTAAGTCTTGATATCCGATAATGTAAATCTTTTAATTTTGTTCTTCTTTTAAGATTGTCCTAGCTATTCTTGGTCTTTGCATGCCTATATAAACTTTAGAAACAGTTTCTCAATTTCTTCATAAACATATCCAAATAAAAACCTACAGTTATTTTGATTGGGTTGCATTGAAACTACAGATAAATTTAGGGATAAATGACATCTTTCCAATACTGAATATTCTTGGTTTATTAACATGGTATGCCTTTCCATTTATTTTACTTTTCTTCATCTGAATAATATTTTGTAGTTTTCAGTGGAGAGGTTTTGCATATATTTCATTAGATTTATTCCTAGATTTTTGATAGTTTTGATCCTTCTGTAAATGATATCATTAAAACATTTTCTATTAGTTTGTTGTTGGAATGTAGGCATAAAGTTGATTTTCTTTATATTGACTGAGTATTCAGCAATCTTATTAAATTCATCTATTTATCCTAACAGGTTATTTGCTTATTCTTTAAAATTTTCTATGTACATAATCATGTCACCTGCTAATGATGAAAGTTTTATTTCTTCCATTCCAATCTTCATTCTGTCTATCTATCTATCTATCTATCTATCTATCTATCTATCTATCTATATTGGTCTGGCTAAGACCTTCAAAGCAATATAGTACATGACCAGGCACAGTGGCTAATGCCTGTAATCCCAGCACTTTGGAAGGCTGAGGTGGGAGGATCTCTTGAGCCCAGGAGTTCAAGACCAGCCTGGGCAACATGGAGAGACCCCATCTCTATACAAAGTTTTAAAAATTAGCTGGGTGTGGTGGTGCACATTAAGGGTCTCTCCTATCCCTTTTTTTTTTTTTCTTTTAACAGTACTTTGAGTTGCTGTTTTATCTCATTCTTTTTTTTTTTTTTTTTTTTTTGAGATGGAGTTTCACTCTTCTTGCCCAGGCTGGAGTACAATGGCGTGATCTCGGCTCACCGCAACCTCCGCCTCCCAGGTTCAAGTGATTCTCCTACCTCAGCCTCCCCAGTAGCTGGGATTAGAAGCATGCTCCACCACGCCCAGCTAATTTTATATTTTTTTAGTAGAGATGGGGTTTCTCCATGTTGGTCAGGCTGGTCTCAAACTCCTGACCTCAAGTGATCTGCCCTCCTCAGCCTCCCAAAGCACTGGGATTACAAGCGTGAGCCACCACGCCTGGCTTTTATCTCTTATCTTAATAAGCTAAGAGTTCTTACTACAAATGACTATTAAATTTTATCAAAAAATGTTTTGTATCTGTGGAGATTGTCCCACAGTTTTTCCTCATTTATTTTATTAAGTGGAAAACACTGATTTTCAAATGTTAAATGAATCTTGCATTCCTGGAATAAACTCCTTTTATGAAGAGGTCTTATTCCTTTCATATTTCACTGGATTCAATTAGCTAATTATTTTCTTCAGGGTTTTTATGATAGAGACTAGCATGTAATTTTCCTTTCTTTTAATGTCCTTACATTTTGGCATCAAGGTTATGCTAAACTCATAAAATGAGTTGGAAAGTGTTCCCTCTTTTTCTACTTTCCAGAAGTGTTTGGAGAAGAAAGGTGTATTTCTTCCTCAATTGTTTAAAATGATTCACTAATCTGGCCCTCAAGATTTTTTTTTTGTAAGAAGGTTTCTTTTTTATCACAAATTCAATTTCTTTAATAAATAGAAAGTCTTGTTAGTCCTATTTACTTTCTGTGTCAGTTCTGGCAATTTTTTTTTTTAAGGAAGTTGTTTCAGTAACTTTGGAGTTATTTATAATATCCTTTTTTATCTTTCTAATGTAAGATCTGTAGCAATATCTTACAAACATAAGATCTGTAGGAATATCTCATTTTTCATTTCTGATACAGGTGTTTTGTAGACAATATTTTTCATAATCTATTATTGGATCAACTGATGAATGGATAAAATGTGGTATATCCATAGAATGGAATATTATTTGGTCATAAAAAGGAATAAAGGATTGATACAACATGGATACATCTTGAAAACATTATACTAGAAGAAGCCAGTCACGAAGGACCACATAATGTATGATTCCATCTATCTGAAATGTCCAAAATAGGCAAATCTATAGAGACAGCAGATTAGTGGTTGCCTAGGGATGGTAGGTTTGGGAGATGGGAAGGAGTGGGTGTGAGTGCCAATGAGTATGGGGTTTATTTGGGGGATACTGAAAATGTTCTAAAATTGATAGTGGTGATGGTTGTACAACTCTGTGAATATATGAAAAACTACCAAATTTTATGGCATGTGAATTATATCTCCATAAAGCTGCTTAAACAAATCTATCATTGGACAGATTAGATCCTCCTTCAGTTTTGTTCAAAACAAGTTGGAAACTACCTAACTTATAAAAGGTGTTAATCATTCATTTTTTTTCAACCTCAATATCAATATTCCAATTATCCCTTTCACTGGTATCCCAGAGGCTTTTCATTCTGGAACAATGCACAATACTACAGCAAAACACTTTGATTGCAATAATTCTCAGGAAGATAAACTCTACGAAATATTTCATATGAGAATATGCCTGTGTATCCTTAGAAAAGTCTTTACATATCTCCAGGGATACTATTACCTAGCCTGAAGGCCACTCTACTAGGCTATACTGCCTCTCGGTATAGGCATGCTGGGGAGGATTGTGCCCTGTTATCTGCTAGCTGTGTGAAAATGTATTCCATGGGAAGGCCCTTTGTAAGCCAGTTGGGATCAGCATTTGAGTTGCTGACCCAGACATGGGTACTTCTAAGGTACCCATGTCTGGGTCAACAACCGTAATCCCAGCACTTTAGAAGGCCGAGTGACAAGGTCATTTCCAGCCCAGGATGTGTCAAGAGATATAGTCAGACAAGCCTATGACATCTGGAAGCCATAACAATGTAGAAAACAACCCAGATAACCTTGGTTTCATTTGGTGACAGTGAACTAAACATTGTGTAGTTCTCTACCTGAGGCTGCCTGAATGATTTCTGGCAATTAAAGGTAGATTTATATAGCTGGACAACTTGATCCCTTGTCTTTCCCCTTTTACTTTTTCGTGGCTGCATTTCATCTTTGTACCTTCGATGTCTGCTGGGTGTATAATTAGCATCCTGACATCTGAGCAGCAGTGCTTCTCAGCTAGCTTTATTTAGGGGTGGAAATATTTTTTGCTTTGGATAAACTGAGGTACTGCTTCCCCCCAAAAAACTTCCTTGTTATACTGGATATGACAGCCTTTTAACCCTTGAAACATATCAAGGACACAGAAATATCTGTGTCTAGATTGCAGTTGGAGTTACCCTGTCCTTTAAGATATACATGAAATTGGCTCAACCCCTGTCACTCTCATTCCATGGGCTATGTTAAGGTCAATGTCCTCTTCACAATTTTCTGAAAATAACTGGGAAACATTGGTTCATGTAATCACCTCTGACTTCAGCTCCTGTGAACTGTATTAGTTTGGGGATTGTCTCACTCTCTTCCCTGCTGTCCTTTCTCCCCCCAGGTCAACCTAGTCATGGAATTTAGAACTTGTTCTCTTTTGGTGGTGTGCAGGGCTGGGGAGGGATCCCCAAGTCATATGTGTCTAGCAGACTTCAAAGAAAGTTAGGTAGAAAGTAGAGATTTAATTCCAAGCAATGCAGGCAACATAAAATTGAGTATCAGATATCTGTGTTCTTAAAAGTTTTCCCATTTTTCCTACCTGCATAGGGCTCCAGACTCCTGCCTGGGGCTTGGCTGTCTCCTCTCTGTTCTGATTCCCCTATACATTGCAAAAGCTAACATCCCAACTTTTTAGGCAGAGTAAATCTTTTTTCCAATCATTCCCATGGGTCTAGGTTTCTGTCTGCATATCATATGACACAAAACTAAAGCTTTAAAATTAGTACTTAAAAGGATTCACCCCATTAAAGTCACAGACAACCATTATCCTCCTTCCCACTTTTATTTCAGAGACTAGGGGTGGGTATTTTGTTTGTTTTTAATATTAATCAGGAAGAATTCCTAGGAAAACAAAGCACTGCATATTAACTGAATAACAGGATGACGGGGAAAACTGAACCAGTCAACACTATTTATTGAGTGCCTAATATGTTCCAGGCACCAAGCTAGGCACAGAGGGAAACAAAAGACACAGTTCTGCTCTTGGGAAGCTTACAATGCTAATGGGAAAGAGAAACATCGCTCACAGAAGCAAAATGAAAATAGTAAGTGCCAAGCACCAGGAAGGTCAGATGCAGGTGCTATAAGAGTAATATGCGGCCGGGCGCAGTGGACCATGCCTGTGTTCCCAGCACTTTGGGAGGCTGAGGCAGGCGGATCACAAGGTCAGGAGATCAAGAACATCTTGGCCAACATGGTGAAACCCCGTCTCTACCAAAAATACAAAAATTAGTTGGGCGTGGTAGTGCACACCTATAGTACCAGCTATATGGAGGCTGAGGCAGAAGAATCGCTTGAACCCAGGAGGCGGAGGTTGCAGGGAGCAGAGATCGCACCATTGCACTCTAGCCTGGCAACAGAGCGAGACTCCATCTCAAAAAAAAAAAAAAAAGAGTAATATGCTACCTAGTGGGGAGGCCAGGGAAGGTTTCCCTGAGGCTGTGGCTATAGGGCTGTGATCTGAAGGCCCAGGAAGGGTTAACTTGGGGAGAGGAGAAAGAGCATTCCAGGCAGAGGGAGCAGGCCTTGCAAAGGCTTTGCGACAACAGAAAGCCCTGACAAAGGACTGAAAGAAGACCCACGTGGCTAGGGCTGCAGAAGTGTAGAGGAAGATTAGATTGGGAAGGTGGGTAAGAAATGACCATTAAGTTTCAAGCAGGGGGAACATGAGACTCAAATGTGCATTTTGAAAAAAACAAAACACACAGACTCAGACTGCAGTATGGAGAATGGGACTGGAATGTTACAAAGGCTTGAGAGCAGCTGCTAACTGCCTGTAGCACCCATGGGGAGACACGCAATTGTTAAGATTACTCAGAGCAGCATCTTATCTGTGTGTGTGTTTTAATGTAATTTTTAAACTAAATGAATACACACAAATGGTTTAAAATGTAAAATAGTGCTAATACTATTAGGCTTATAAAAAATAGCGGTCCCCTGACCATCTGTCCCCACCCCCTTGACCCTTCTGGCCCCTTCTTCCACTCTTAACTATTCATCTGGTAGTCTCTCCTCCCCACCTTCTGCTTTTTAAAAACATACTATGCTTAGAGTACTATTTGTTTTTCACTTTTAGACATTGTTTACTTCCTACTAAGGAAGAAAATAATTTTGCGATCTTACCCGCCTCCCCGCTCTATTCTTATCCTGCCAAGAGGGAACATTCAGAGCATTACCAGCGCTTCCTTTTTAGTCTTCCCATGTAAGAAAAATACTGACTCATTCATTACCTGAAAAATCCATCAATCAGTAAGGACAGAACCAGCACATTTCACGATAAATTTATACCTTTGTTAGTAAAAAAGTACCTTCACTGTACATCTATCATGGACATATTTGAAGCAGTAAGGATTTTTACCCCTAAAGTAAAAACTACCAAATTTTTAAGTTGGCATAAGAGTATTCAAGGAAATCACAATATGTCCTACTTGCAAGACATAACAAAGTTATTTGCACTGGGAGGTGAAAATAATCTTCATAGGACTAATGTCTTGGGGAAGAAGCGTTAGCAAGGTCATGAGCTGATGATACTCCGTATCATCTCCAGATAGAATACCAAGACAGGCCACTCCTATTCACTGCTGCTAGGAGTGTAAAAGAGCATGGAAACCAGTGGGCAATTCCTACCCAGAACCTCCAAAAAGAAGTCAGATTTTCACCCTCAGAGAAATCAATTCTAAGGAAGGAAATACTCAGAGATACAAGGATTTATGCATAAGAATATTCATGATAGTATTATTTATAATAACGGAAAACAATCTCACTGCCTCCAAATAAAAAAACGGTTAAGTGATACTGTATCTATAGAATGCAATAATAGAAAATCATTAAATTCATGCTTTCAGAGAACACTTAATGCCGTGGGGAAATCCTCATAATATGCTAAATGAGAAAAACAGTTGAGGTCAGCCTACATGTAAAAATATACAGGTGTACATGTGTATAATATACACACATACCAACATAGGTAGAAGCACATACAAAATATCTAAACACACGCAAAACTTTTAAAACGCATAGAATAGACAGTTTTTTTCTCCCAATATGGTCTGCCACTCATATACCTCAGAATCACCTTGGGGGCTTATTAAAAATGCAAATTCTTGGGTATTACCCCAGACGTTTGAAAACAGAGCCTAAGTCTTTGAAAACAGAGCCTAAGGATCGCTGTCTACCTACACACCCTGAGTAATTCTCACCCACCCCTCAGTTTGGGGACCACTGGATCAGAAATAACAGCTCTCTGTGGGTGAAGGAATTACGAATAATTGTCTTCTTTTATTGCATCTTAAAAAAATTCTCTACCAAACATACGCTGCTTTTATAATTCAAAGTTCATTAAAAGTGCATTAATGAGGCATGAGTATTAAACAGAGCTGATTTAGGGTCTATCTGGGCAAGTGTAAACAACTTTGGAGAATTAGAACATGCACTTCTTTTTTCTTGCGACGGAGTCTTGCTCTTTCACCCAGGCAGTGCAGTGGTGTGATCTCGGCTCACTACAACCTCCGCCTCCTAGGTTCAAGCGATTCTTCTGCCTCAACCTCCCGAGTAGCTGGGATTATAGGTGCCCGCCACCATGCCCAGCTAATTTTTGTAGAGATGGGGTTTCACCACGTTGGCCAGGCTGGTCTCAAACTCCTGACCTCAAGTGATCCGCCCACCTCGGCCTCCCAAAGTGCTGGGATTACAGGTGAACCATGGTGCCTGGCCACAAGTGTGCATTTTTTAAAATCTAAAATACAGAATGAGACTCTGTCTCAAATAATAATAATAATAATAATAAAATAAAATCTAAAATAAGTAGGTATGTATGGATTCCTTACAATTGAGTCAGTTTAGGACAAAGGAAGTAATACATTAAGTGTAGACATGGAAATCATGAGCTCAATAAATTCTGCAGGTAAAAAACATAAATAGAATAATTTTGCAACGTATGGAGAATGGCATTTCTAAAGTTCCAAGATCTTCCTTGGCAAAAAGAGGATTCAGTAATCAAATAAATTTGGGACACAATACATAATATGGTCACCCTCCCCACTTAAGAGTCAAATCCTTGGGTAGATTACAGGTTCCGAGAAGTCCAATATAAACTTCTTTCTTAATTCTAGCTCCACAAATTCTTAGAATGTCTCTATCACTGAAAACAAATTCTAGCCCAGAAGAGGGTCTAGAAAAAGTTCTCATCATGGACTGATACTCTACACTTGACCCAACATATCGTTTCCACATTCCCATGGCCTCTGAGGGCTTAGCCCATATGTATTTATAGAGCCTGATTCTAAGGGCATGGCTCAAGTCAGCTACCAAGTAATGCTCAGGAACAGCAAAATTCGAGTGCCCAGGATACAAGATTAGAACATGTGAAGCAACTACAGATTTACTTTTTATCTACTGGTCTCTTTCACTAGGCTGTGTGCTTAGGGCTGGAATTTTGCCATTTGTCTATTCATTTATGTACTACCAACACAATAAAGTCTGGCACTTACTTAGTACTCAGTGAATGGGGCACCACCAAAGAGGTGGTGTAAATTCTTTCCGGTAAGTTCAGTAATGAAATGGGCTAGTTTCATTACCATGCACCACCACACCTAGCTAATCTTTGTAATTTTAGTAGAGACGGGGGTTTAGCCACGTTGCCCAGGCTGGTCTCGAACTCCTGACCTCAAGCAATCCATCCACCTTGGCCTCCCCAAGTGCTGGGATTACAGGTGTGAGCCACTGCCCCTGGCCAAGATGGAGTCTTGCTATGTCTCTATGGACTTGAACCCCTGGACTCAAGTGATCCTCTCACCTCAGCCTCCTGAGTAGGTGGCACTACAGGCACACACCACTGCACTCAGCTCTAGGTGGACATTTCTAAGGATGTGGCAGTGACTAAGACATAATAATCTCTATCCTCAGGGGCTTCATGCATTAGAGATACTCATCTGAGCCATTCTAGTCCTAGAGTCCTAGCCTCTTGCACAAGTTTAGGTACATTAGATGTCTAATTAATGCTTATTTGAATTGAATTTAGAAACCATGGCATGCTTTATGCATGATCAAAATTTGGCACTTTTTGCGGGCAGAGTCTATAGTAAGACAGACCATTCTAGAGACTGCATCAGAATGATCATATCTTAAGTAACCAGACCTATTTTGATCATTGTTTTTTGCTTTTTTTTTTTTTTTTTTTTTTGAGAGAGGGTCTTGCTCTGTTGCTCAGGCTGGAGTGCAATAGCATGATCATGGCTTACTGCAGCCTCAACCGCCCCAGGCTCCCACCTTGGCCTCCTGAGTAGCTGGACCACAGGCACACCACCATGCCTGGCTAAGTTTTGTATTTTTTGTAATGATGGGGTTTCACCATGTTGTGCAGGCTGGTCTGGAACTCCTGGGCTCAAGCAATCCGCCTGCCTTGGCCTCCAAATGCTGGGATTACAGGCATGAGCCACTGCCCCCAGCCAATCATCACTACTTTGGAGTCTCCACAACTAGCCAGGAGTCAAAAAATTTGGCCAGAGAAGCCCCAGAACCCAGAGGAAATTGAACAGTAAGTACTACAACAGTGTTTCTAAATATGTGTGCTGTAAAGCTCTCTAGGTTCCTGAGATGTTAACAGGTAGTACCTGGTGAAATAGGACTGAGAAAGGGGTTCAACAGAGCTGACAGGCCTCTGTACTGCAGGATTTCTCAACACCTTCAAGCAATGTGCTATGCTCCTTATATATGTTGTCTTGTTTAACAATCTATGACATAGGTCTTACTGTTTTTCCCATTTTTGAAATGAACAAGCTGAAGAAACTCAGAGAGTGGGTTACCTGCTCCAGACCACACAGAGGTACTACCACATATCAGAGAATGGGACTCTGGGATCAGGTCTTTCTGGCATCAAACACTGGTTTATGATCATTTGAAGCAATACTGTTTTTAGTATGTTGATGGACACTACACCACTCCTAGGAGGACAGACAGCAATAATGTGTTTCCCAAACTGATTTGACTGAGGAGCTCCTCTGAGTGAATCAGCACTGAAGGCTAGCTTTCCATGGAGCATGTTTTAAGAAACATTGTGGGGCAAATAACGTTTATTAATAGGGACACGTCAATGAAACCTCAGTTTAACAGATAAGCATTTTTTACCTCCAGGTTCATAAGCTTCACTTAATGGCTCATTTCTTTTGAATGTTATTTGGTATGACACTGCAATTCTAACACATTCACTCTTTAGGATTTGACTTACCTAGTAATTCCACTCATTATGTCACTAATTTTGGTAAACTATATTCACATCAAGAGTATAAACTAACTTGCTGTGTATCTCAATGGGCCTGCAATTTGCATTTCGGGGTGAGATGATTCTTTATTGTATATGACTGACCAAAACTTTGCAGGACAGCTAACATCCCTTATCCCTGCTGACTAAATACCAGTAGTAGTAGTACCACCACTACCACCACCGTACTCAGTCACTGTGACAAGAAAACATACCCATAATTTCAAACCTGCTTCTAGAGGAGCAGTGTCACCCCAGCTGAGAACCATGGGTTAAGACCCAAATAGAAAGTTTAATAAAATGTTAAAATAAACACCTAGCCAAACCCTGCATTCAGTATTCCAGCAAAGCTATGGTCATGCTATCATCAATCCTGCCTGTCCAACGTCTCATGACATTTCTCCCTCTTCTGTTAATAACACAAACAGATTCAATACAAACTGCCAAAATACCATTTTTAGCCACGAGGGCTGAGTCCTGTGCTCTTTGCCAATAGCAGCAATAAAGCTGGGCAGAAGCTAAGCCCAGGACTGCATGGAATATTGGCTATCTGTGGTAGTAGCACAAAATAAGATGTATAACTGAATAGTCTATCATTTTGACAAATCTGGACTTCAAAAAGGATGCTGGGTTTTTTTTCTCTTAAAAAGATTTATTATCAAAAAGTTTGCTCCCTTTAAATACTGAGCCAATTCATCAATGCAGCTCCATTCTTTTTAGGATTATTAGGGCCCAAATAATTTCAGACTAAAACAAGAAATAAAAAAACTGGACTATAGGTTCAGTAACATATTCACAGACATGTCAGTGTGCACTCAGGAACACTGGTTTCATTTCTTGATTGGAATGCTTATCACCATAAAATCTTCTGCTAGAGTCACTTCTTGGAGATCTAACACTGATTCAGCTTGCTTTTTTAGTTCTGCAATGCCATCTGTTTCTCCTTCTCTGGCCAAGGCAACTGGTTTGTACCTCTGACTGAAGTGAGTCAGAACCAGCCTCTTTGCACGGCACAACTTTGCAAATGTTGCTGCCATCTGTGGTGTGCTGTGGCCATGCTCCTTTGCTTTGTCCATCTGGGCATCATCCAGGGTTGCTTCGTGGATCAACAGGTCTGCTTCAAAGCACAGTTTTACTCCTCCATCACCCACAACCCCAGAGCAGTCACCCAATATGCAGATTTTTCTTCCAACAATAGGCTTTTTTAAGACATCTTGGGGAGAAATTGTAACCCCATTTTCCAGAACAACAGAAATTCCATTTTTCAGCTTCCCATAGGCAGGACCTGGTGGAACACCTAATGATGAAGGCAGATAACATTACATCATAGGAATGGAATTTATGACTTTTCAAGAGTCTATTTTAACAGCATTGCAAATAGCTAATGGAAAAGGCATCCATAATTGTTATAAATGTTTTACTACTTGTGGAAAACTGGATTTATACATTTTTAAAATTTCAGTGTTGATTGATATTAGCAATGCCTTAGTACTTGAAACATTTCCCATGCATACATGTCAGACAAGTTTTAGTCTCCTAAGTATCACTAGGACCTTATTGTAGTCACTGTAACATTCTTGATTCTCTGCTGTGCACAGAAACAACAGTTTTTGAGAGTGCTTTATTTAATAAGCTCACCTTTGGGTAAAATTTGAGAGTGTATTTAAATAGTGATATAGTCAGGCTGGGTGCACTGGCTCATGCCTGTAATCCTAGCATTGTGCGAGGCCGAGGCAGGTGCAGTGGTGCACACCTGTAGTCCCAGCTATATGGGAGGCCAAGGCACAAGAATTGCTTTAACCCAGGGGGCAGAAGTTGCAGTGAGCGAGCTGAGATCACACCACTGCACTCCAGCCTGGACAACAGAGTGAGACTGCCTCAAAAAAAAAAAAAAAAAAAAAAAAGATATAATCAACACCTAGTCAAAACAAGTACCTACAAAGTAACTTAATAAAAAAATTGTTAGCAGGATTGTTTGTATTACAAGATCAAGGAGCATTTTTTCAGGCAATTGTACATTATTAGTCTTCTTGGCAGACAGGGGCAGTTCCACATTTATCAAAGTGGGCTTAAATCTCGTATTAATTTAAAGTAAGACCTGATCATCACTATGGACAATACTTACAAACTAGTATAGTATGACCACCAATTCCAACACAGATCATGTTTAAAGTTTCCAAATATAATAGTATTTCCACAGGCTTTCAGGTAATAAAAATATCCTTGGCCTAAGTCACTTTTCCTCATTATCTAGCATTTTGTTTTA
Organism: Homo sapiens; assembly: GCF_000001405.40. Classification (NCBI taxonomy): domain Eukaryota; kingdom Metazoa; phylum Chordata; class Mammalia; order Primates; family Hominidae; genus Homo; species Homo sapiens. The sequence goes on along the minus strand of NC_000018.10, from coordinate 50,985,649 downwards.
GTTGAGGAAGAGATCACATAAATAAAAAAACAAACACACACAAAATGCCACTGTGCTTTTTACAGGCACTGCCACAGCATGCCTGTGAAGGCAGTGACACTGGAGATATAATGTACCTGGACTCTACCTCACAAGAGGTGCTGAAAAGATCCCCTCATGCATGCTGGCTTAGCGCTTAGCATAGAGGAGGTGTGAAGCCTTAGATGGGCCCCAAGCCCACCTCTGTATGCTTGCTTTCAACTACGATGAACCCTGATATCTAAAACTGGTTGAGGCACAGGGTTTTGAATACCAAATTAATTTAATCAAGGTTAAATTAGTAAGCAAAGTAGATACAGAAGTAAACTCTGAAAGCACATGGTTGCAGTTGTAAGGTTAAGAACGATGGCAAAAATTCTCAGACCGAAGATGTCATCAAAAACACGTATCAAAGGGAAGACATGAAAAAATAAAGCCTGGACCTAAAACCACCACCACTACCACCCAAATCACCTTGCCAACCAAGATAGTATAAGGTGAAGACAGACTAAGAATGTGGATCCAGGGAGATGAAGACAGGATTCAAATGTATACTTGGGTTTTGCTCTAAATAGCATTTTTTGGCCCCATGGATTTTCCTTAATAAGCAAACTTTGGACAAAGGGACTAAGTGGAGAAATTGTCAGTTTCAGGCCTGGGATAGAGGAGTGGAAGCTTACTATGACACTTTTTTTTTTTTGAGACAGAGTTTCGCTTTGTCACCCAAGCTGGAGTATAGTAACACTATCTTGGCTTACTGCAGCCTTGACCTCCCAGGTTCAAGTGATCCTCCTGCCTCAGCCCCCCAAGTAGCTGGGACTACAGGCACATGACACCACACCCAGTTACTTTTTGTATTTTTAGTAGAGATGGGGTTTCGCCATGTTGCCCAGGCTGGTCTTGAACTCCCGAACTCAAGTGATCCTCCCACCTCGGCCTCCCAAAGTGCTAGGATTACAGGCGTGAGCCACAACTCCTGGCCTTACTATGACATTTCTTATAGCTTCAGTCAACAGGAGCCCTATTGATGAGAAGGCGGGAAAAAACAAAAAACAAAAAAACACTTACCAAGGTCTTTAAGTTTCTGTGCATTGAGTTTACCTGGGCGTTTCTTTTCCACGACTGAAAACCCAAATGAGGGAATTCTGTGAAAGAGGCGAAATGCTTTTACAACAAATTGTTCATCATCAAACAGAAGGTATGAGTTTTCTTCTGAGTCTAACAGGATAGTTCTTCCTTGTTCCTCTTTGGGAGGACTGTCTGCTCTATTCACATGCGCAAATTCTTTTAGTTCTTCTGCAGGACATTGATCTGCTGTAGGAACCAGTTCATGAACCACATAATGGAAGACCAGCTCCGTGTGAGAGAGTTCCATGGTTCGCCAGATAAAGTCCCGAAGCCCTACAGGGCCATAGATTTCAATAGGCTGTTTGGACACCATGGAGCCACTCTGCAGGCTGATTGTGCAGAGGAGCCCAGGAAGGCCAAAGAAATGGTCTCCATGAAGGTGTGTGATGAAGATCTTGGTAATTCTCCCTTTTGATTGAGATAGAGAAATACGTTTGGAAATTTTTCATTAACTAAAAACCCATACAAAGCTATTTGAAACAAGCCTAACAATTTACATTAAAAATAGTAAATTGAATTTAAAAGTTCTACTTATCATCATAAACTTATTCATTTACATTTTGCTACATGATTCCAAAAACAAGAAGACAGGCTTTATTTCACCAGGTGGTTTTTTGTTTGTTTGTTTTTAATAGTTTTTTTTTTTTTAAAGAGACAGGTCTTGCTCTGTCATCCAGGCTGGAGTGCAGTGGTGTGATCATAGCTCACTGCAGCCTTGACCTCCTGGACTCAAGTGATCCTACTGCCTCAGCCTCCCAAGTAGCTAGGACTACAGACCCTACCACTATGCCTGGTTTTTTTTTTTTTTTTTTAATTTTGTAGAAATGAGGTCTTGCTATGTTGCCCAGGCTGGTCTCAAACTCCTGGCCTTAAGCAATTATCCCACCTTGGCCTCCCAAAGTGCTGGGATTACGGTGCCTAGCCCCACTAGATGGTTTCAATAAGATATAACATTTTTCATAAGACATCTTCATATTACATAGTTTTACAGCTTTCAGAGTATTTTAATACATTTTCTGTCACATAAAAAAACAAGTAGGCCAGGCACGGTGGCTCAACGCCTGTAATCCCAGCACTTTGGGAGACCGAGGCAGGAGGATCACCTGAGGTCGGGAGTTCGAGACCAGCCTGACCAACATAGAGAAACCCTATCTCTTCTAAACAAAAATACAAAATTAGCTGGTCGTGGTGGCGCATGCCTGTAATCCCAGCTACTCAGGAGGCTAAGGCAGCAGAATTACTTGAACCCAGGAGGCGGAGGTTGCGTGAGTCGAGATTGTGCCATTGCACTCCAGCCTGGGCAACAAGAGCGAAACTGTCTCAAAAAAAAAAAAAAAAAAAAAAAAAACACCAAGTAAAATATACAAGTGTACCAAAATAATTCACTTAACTATTAAATAGATAGGCCTCAAGTATTAAAAGCATCTAGCAATTACATTGCCCCCTACTGCTCCCTCTGAGAAAAGCAAACATATATTCCAGGAAAACAAAATGTTCCACTGGCTCCAACTGACTGGACCAGTGCCTGAACCCAAAATTGCCTTTTAAGGACTCCCTATACTGGACAGCGATTAACCAATCAAGTCACGGCCTGCTTGTCTGGGTGAGGTGGAAGAAGATGGAGAAAAAGGAAGAACGGTGAGGAAGGGAGGGGAAAAGGAGGAGGGAGAAGGGAGGTAGGAGAGGGAAAAAGATGAAGAACTGAGAAGGAAGGTGGGCAACAGAAGGCAGAATGCAGGAAAGCCGATCCCCTAAGCTATTATGTAAGGGTACTTGGGTCCATTCTTCCTTTCAGTCTGAACTAACACAACAGCTTTTTCAGTGCATATTGGCTTAGGTTATAACTTGGTTTAGCCAATGGTAAACTGAATTTATTGCTGGAATATGGCAGGATGCCACATCAGCATTTTCTGAGACACACCACATGACATTTCAAAAGTAACAACAAAAATTAACACATTTCTAGTGCAAAAGAGGCTTCTGGTCCTTTGCTCAAGGCCCACCTATTTTAAACGTTTGATGCTATAAAAGTACAGAAACAGTTTATTGATACCATAAAAGAACAGGAATAGTTTACTGTAATGTGATTTGTTCTATAACATCAAGTGTTCTCCAAGCAAGTCTTTCCAGAATTACTACATCCAAGCCCAGCCAGCAACAGAGAACAACAGATTGGCACAGGCTGATTGTGGACTTTGCGAATCCCCAGGAGGCACTCTAGAAGTTTCCTCGATATGCTCCTTTTTGCTGTTTTTTTACTGCCTGAATTCCTCATTTCCCCCGTCTCCCTGTCCGGGTTGCCAAGCCACCTCCATGTGTGACCTGAGGACTCTGCAGACAAAAAAACTACAGCAATAGGGCCGGGTGCAATGGCTCATGCCTGTAATCACAACACTTTGGGAGGCTGAGGTGGACGGATCACCTGAGGTTGGGAGTTTGAGACCAGTCTGATCAACTTGGAGAAACCCTGTCTCTACTAAAAATACAAAATTAGCTGGGTGTGATGGCACATGCCTGTAATCCCAGCTACTCAGGTGGCTGAGGCAGGAGAATCGCTTGAACCCAGGAGGTGGAGGTTGTGGTGAGCCGAGATCACGCCATTGCACTCCAGCCTGGGCAACAAGAGTGAAACTCCATCTCAAAAAAAAAAAAAAAAAAAAGAACTATAGCAGTCACTGAGTCCAGATCCCCCAGTGGCCTAAAAACTACCAATATCTGACTTTCTGGGCCCTTTCCCTATCCACTCTAAAACAAAGCCAAACTGAACACCAAAACAACCTGTGAACTCGAAGTGAGGCAAATTAAGTGACAAACTGCTTCCTACAGTTATCACAGTTTCAAGGAGACAAATACTTCATTTTTCAAGAAACCTGATTTCAAAGGGAGAAGGAATGGCAACCACAATTATCAAAGGTATGAGGAAGCTTTCAAATGAAGACACAAAAATGCCTGAGTTCCCTTTTCCTTGGGAACAAGGAAGTTATGGGGGAATATGTCATCCACAGAGGAATGGAATATTGAGCATTCTCTAAAAATGAAGACATAGGTATATTGACTGGATTTGGAAAAGCTGCAATATATTGTTTGTATACATTGCTCAGTTGAAAAAAAAAAGCAGGTTATGCCAAGAGCAGTATAATTCTATGTATGCAGAACTATACACACACACACACTCCCATACTATCACCATATCTATGTACATAGAAAATTCACCTATGAGGGGAGACTTGGACTTTTCTTATTTACACTTTTCTCTTTTGTTTGAATTTTTACAATAAGCATTTATACTTTTTATATCATTTAAAAAATCATGCTCTTATAATACTTTTAATAATCATTTCATGTGTACACATAAGTATAGGGTGTAGAATAATATACATGGAAGACTTGGAAGAGTAGGAGGGTGGCGGGGGGTGGGGGTGTGTGGTGAGGGATAATTAGTTACCTGATGGGTACAATGTACATTATCTGGTCATGAGTACATTAAATCCCAGACTTCACCACTATGTAATATATCCATTATCCCTAGAGGTAGTACAAGCTCAAAGGGTTTCAATGAATCAAATAATGATAGGTCCATAATAGGTTATGGAGAGAAATTAGTATGTACTGAGGGTGCTGCATTCCAGTTTGAGACTAGGGGCATCTGAAGTACTAGAGAGTCACAGGTAATGCTCTAGGATTACTATCTCACCTTCCTCTCTACGGCCAGAAATTTTTCTTTTTTTTTTTTTTTTTTTCGAGATGGAGTCTCACTCTGTTACCCAGGCTAGAGTGCAGTGGCACTATCTCGGCTCACCACAACCTCCGCCTCCTGGGTTCAAGCGATTCTCCTGCCTCAGCCTCCCAAGTAGCTGGGTTTACAGGCACCCGCCACCACGCCCAGCTAATTTTTGTATTTTCAGTAGAGATGGGGTTTCACCATGTTGGCCAGGCTGGTCTCAAACTCCTGACCTCGTGATCCACCTGCCTCGGCCTCCCAAAGTGCTGGGATTACAGGCATGAGCCACCATGCCTGGCCTCAGAAATTTTTTTTCTAAGCGTATAGAAATGTAGTAAACTAAAGGTTCCTTTGGGCTTTTGGGGTTGTGTTTTTTTTGTTTTCTTTTATTTTGTTTTGGGTTTTTTTGGCCAAGATTAGATTTATCAATTGTATGTATGAATGCATGCATTTATGTTTATTTATTTATTTGTTGAGACAGGGTCTTGCTCTGTCACCAGGCTGGAGTGCAGTGGCTCAATCATGGCTCATTGCAGCTTTGACCTCCTGGGCTCAAAGGATCCTCCTGCCTCAGCCTCCCACTGGGACCACATCTGGCTTTATTTCTTGTAAAGATGGAGTCTCTTTTTGTTGCCCAGCTTGGTCTCAAACTCCTGGCCTCAAGTGATCTTCCTGCCTTGACCTCCCAAAATGCTGGGATTACATGCATGAGCCACTGTGCCCAACTCCAACTGTTTATTTAAATCCTATATAGACTGGGCACAGTGGCTCACACCTGAATCCTAGCACTTTGGGAGGACAAGGCGGGTGGACTGCCTGAGCTCAGGAGTTTGACATCAGCCTGGGCAACATGGCAAAACCCCATCTCTATTAAAAATACAAAAAAAAATTAGCCAGGTGTCATGGTATGTGCCTGTAATCTCAGCTACTCAGGAGGCTGAGGCATAAGAATCACTTCAACCTGGGAGGCAGAGGTTGTAATGAGCCGAGATCGCACCACTGCACTCCAGCCTGAGCTACAGAGCAAGACTCTGTCTCAAAAAAAAACAAAAAACAGAAAATCATATATAAAGGAACTGTAAAATATACTTGTGGTGGATACTTTAGGTGATCCCTGTGGCCCCTACCTCCTGGTGTTCACGTCCTACAATCCCCTCTCCTTGAGTGTGGCTGGGACTTGTGACTTGCTTCTAACCAGCAGAATATGGCACAAGAATGCAATGCGATTACTTTATGGGACATAAGACTCCATCTTGCTAGCAGACTTACTCTAGAGTCTCCTTCTCCCATGCTGGCTATGAAGAAGCAAGCTACCATGAAGCAGAAACCTACAATGCAGAGAACTCAAGGAGCTCAGGGTGGACTGTCCTACCACTGTAAGGGTTCTGCCAACAACCTGAAAGAGCTGAGAAGCAGAATCTTCCCCAGTTGGGCCTCTGATGAAATTGTAACCCCAGCCAACACCTAGATTGCAGCCTAGTGAGACCCTGAAGCAGAAAACCTAGCTAAACCAGGCCCGAACTCCCTAACCTACAGTAACTAGGAGATAATAAATGCAAATAAGCCACTAAATTTATAATCTGTTATGCATTATTAGATAGTATCAGATAACTAACACAAGTATTAAATAAAAAGATGTATCCCCACAGCCAAACCTCTGGTACTCACACTTAACAATTTCTTGTTTCTATTTCAGTACACCTTGCCACCTCAACTCCTACTGTCTAAAATGTTAACTGTCAAGTCTCTACTCTGGCCTGTGCCTGTCCAGAGGGCTCTCATGAAGGTTCTCATGAAAGGAATCTCTGTACGATCCAAGAAAAGCAAAGAATAGCACCTGAATTATCTCAAAGTTTCAACACAAGACAGTATATAACTACGGTTCAATTGTACCTACCATATGTCCCAAACAATATGCATTAGCTCCTTCCTCCAACAACTCTTTTCCTGACTTCTTCTCTAGGTCCAGGACATCACCATCAGTAACTTGTATTAATTCTTCACTTCCTCACACACTAGACATTCAGTGACCATCTCCTCTTATTTCTACAAGTATCTCTTAAATTGAATCTCTCATCTCCATCTCTATACTTCAATATCCTCATTCTCTCTCTCTCTCACACACACACACATATACACAGTGATGATATGGTTTGTGTCCCCACCCAAATCTCATCTTGAACTGTAGCTCCCATAATCCCTACATCATGGGAGGGACCCGGTGGGAAGTAATTGAATCATGGGAGCAGGTTTTCTCATGCTGTTCTCGTGACAGTGAATAAGTCTCACGAGGTCTGATGGTTTGATAAAGGGGAGTTCCCCTGCACATGCTCTCTTGCCTGCCACCATGTAAGACATACCTTTGCCTTTGCCTTCCACCATGATTGTGGGGCCTCCCCAGCCTTGCGGAACTGCGATTAGTTCATTAAACCTCTTTTTTTTTTAAATAAATTACTCAGTCTTGGGTATTTCTTCATAGCAGTATGAAAATGGCCTGATACAGTAAATTGGTACTGGTAGAGTGGGATAATGCTATAAGGATACCTGAAAATGTGGAAGTGACTTTGGAACTGGGTAGCAGGCAGAGGCTGGAACAGTTTGGAGGGCTCAAAAGGAGACAGGAAAATATGGGAAGGTTTAGAATTTCCTAGAGACTTGGAGGGCTCAGAAGACAGGAAGACATGGGAAAGTTTGGAATTTCCTGTTGAATGGTTTTGACCAAAAAGTCCAGGCTGAGGTGGTCTCAGATGGAGATGAGGAACTTATTGGGAACTGAAGCAAAGGGATTCTTGCTATGCTTTAGCAAAGAGACTGGCAGCATTGTGCCCCTGCCCTAGAGATCTGTGGAACTTTGAACTTGAGAGAGATGCTTTAGGGTATCTGGCAGAAGAAATTTCTAGGCAGCAAAGCATTCAAGAAGTAACTTGGGTGCTCTTAAAAGCATTCACTTTTATGTATTCACAAAGATATGGTTTGGAATTGTAACTTATGTTTAAAGGGAACCAGAGCATAAAAGTTCAGAAAATTTGCATCCTGATGATGTAACAGAAAAGAAAATCCTATTTTCTGAGCAGAAATTCAAGCTAGCTGCAGAAATTTGTGTAAGTAATGAGGAGCCAAATGTTAATCACCAAGACAATGGGGAAAATGTTGCCAGAGCATGTCAGAGGTCTTCACAGCAGCCCCTCCCATCACGTGCCCAGAGGCCTAGGAGGGAAAAACGGTTTCCTGGCCTGGGCCCAGGGCCTTGCTGCTTCGTGCAGTCTTGGGACTTGGTGCCCTGCATCCCAGTGTGGCTTAAAGGGGCCAAGGTACAGCTCAGGCGGTTGCTTCAGAGACTGCAAGCCCCAAGCCTTAGCAGCTTAGATGTGGTGTTGGGCCTGCGGGTGCACAGAAGTCAAGAATTGAGGTTTGGGAACCTCCACCTAGATTTCAGAGGATGTATGGAAACATCTGGATGTCCAGGCAGAAATCTTCTGCAGGGGTGGAGCCCTCACAAAGAACCTCTACTAGGGCAGTGTGGAAGGGAAATATGGGGTGTGAGCCCCCACACATAGCCACTGGGACACTGCTTAGTAGAGTTGTGAGAAGAGAGCTACTGTCCTCCAGAACCCATAATGGCAGCTCTATTGACAGCTTACACTGTGTGCATGGAAAAGCTGCAGACACTCAACACCAACCCATGAAAACAGCCAGGAAGTGGGCTATACCCTGTAAAGCCACAGGAGTAGAGCTGCCCAAGACAATGGGAGCCCACCTCTTGCATCAGCATGCCCTGGATGTGAGACATGGAGTCAAAGGAGATCATTTCGGAGCTTTAAGATTTGACTGTCCTATTGGATTTTGGACTTGCGTGGGGCCTATAGCCCCTTTGTTTTGGCCAATTTCTCTCATTTGGAATGGGTATATTTACCCAATGCCTGTACCCCCATTGTATCTAAGAAGTAACTAACTTGCTTTTGATTTTACAGGTTCATAGGTAGAAGGGACTAGCCTTGTTTCAGATGAGACTTTGGACTGTGGGCTTTTAAATTAATGCTAAAATGAGTTAAGACTTTGGGGGACTATTGGGAAGGCATGATTGGTTTTGAAATGTGAGGACATAAGGTTCTGGAGGAGTCAGGGGTGGAATGATATGGTTTAGCTATGTCCCACCCAAATCTCATCTTGAATTGTAGCTCCCATTATCCCCACATGTCATGGGAGGGACCCAGTGGGAAGTAATTGAATCATGGGGGGCAGGTTCTCTCATGCTGTTCTCACGACAGTGAATAAGTCTCATGAGATCTGACGGGTTGATAAAGGGTGGTTCCCCTGCATATGCTTTCTTGCCTGCCACCACGTAAGACACGCCTTTGCTCTGCCTTTGCCTTCCACCATGATTGTGAGGCCTCCCCAGCCATGTGAACTGCGAGTCCATTAAACCTCTTTTTTGTTGTTGTTTTAATAAATTACCCAGTCTTGGGTATTTCTTCATAGCAGTATGAAAATGAACTGATACAAGTGAACTGCAATTGCCTTGGAACTGGTCTCCCTGATGCTATTCTCTCTCTCCCAATACATGTGCCATCAGAAAACTCTGTCCTAAAACACAAACGAGATTGCATTATTCCCCCTTAAAAACATGAATGGTTCCTTTTTCCCAGTAGAACAATAAAGTCTAAATATCTTACTATGCTACAGAGGACTTCACAGTCAGCCCTCACCTTTTCAGCATTCTTAGTTCCATCTAGCCTAGCCAAGTACTCAATGCTCCCCAACATGCCAGTTCTTTCCTGGAAACTTCCTTACTTGTTGCTCACTTTGTTGTCTGTTCCCTCAATGTCCATCTCTACCTCTCTCTCAGAAAAACTTCTATGAATCTCTTGGATCCTAGCTCAACTGTTAACAATCTCTGGGATGCCTTCTATTAATGAATGAATGGTCAGTTACTTCCCCCTCCTTTGTGCTCCAAAGTACTTAGAAAATACTTCCATTATTCTACTTATCACATTACATGATTGATTACTGTCCGTTTGCATGTCAGTTTCCATCACTGGACCAAGAGATCCCTGAACACTAGAAGTATCTTTCCTTTAGTCACCAAGTGCCAGGTACTGTGAAGAGTTGTAGGAATAATGACTTCAATACTATTTATCAAGACCTAATAAGTGAGAGGCACTGTGCTAAGTTGCTAAACGTCTTATCCATTCACTAAAGTAAGTTCCATGATCATTTATATACTTAGTAGATGCCTAGTTGAACAGATATAACTAGGCATCTACTAGGTATATAAATGATCATGGAACGTACTTTACAGTATAGGGAGATAAAGAACACAGAAACAAACTAAATAACATAATTTCAGATACTGATGATGCTAAGAAGTCAATAAAAATAGGACAAAGTAAAGGAATGACTGGGGTGAGAGAGGAACTACTTAATCCAGGAGGATTTGGGAAAGCCTCTGAGAAGATGGCATCTGAGCTAAGATTTAACTGAGAAAGAGGCAATCACACAGAGAATAAATGATTACATGTAATTCTCATAACACCCTTTCTAAGTAGACTTTTTATCCCCATTTTCAAGATCGGGAAAGTAAAGTTGAAGTTTGCTGATATGCTAAGGTCACAGGCCCAAGACACAGCCAGGACTAGAACCCAGGTCTGCCTGACTCTGAGCTGAAGCTTTTCACCACTGGACTGCTCTATCTCCCAGGTGCTGGCCTCTGCTCACTCCATTCCCCCTGATTGAAATGCCCTTCTTCTCCTCAGCCCTGAAATTCCTCCTCCTCCTTTGACAATCCACAGGTCAACTTCTCTGAGAAGTTTACCCTGATAACCCCAAGAGGAAAACAACATCTCCCTCCTCCAAACATTTCCTACCCTTTGCATCCTCTCATGAAAACTATCTCCTGGTGGAGGTAAGTATGTACACTGCTTCCTTGCTAAGGCAGTGTTCATCTAATATGCCTGGTGTATCCCACGACATTTCCCAAACCCCAAGCCTACATGAATCCTTGCTTTCAGCATCTACAGGATAAATGAAAAGCAAGTAAATAAGTAAATGAAGTTCAGTGGACGTGGCCAGATGCCTGCAGGCCTTCCAAGTCTCACCAGGGTGTAGCACTGAAGTGGGATGCAACCATCAGGGCTGTTTCTAAACAAAATGTCCAAGGAGAGCCAAGAAAATGAAGCAGAACAACAAAAAAATCTTAATGAGATAGCTGAAGGCACACTAACCTGCTTTAAGTTGGCTTTTCATAAGCTGTGTCTGTGTTCCCTCCCCACAGTCAAAGAGCCAGCACTCGCCTTCACACCGAAGGACCACAGCAGAGGCACCCCGGGTTGGAGATGGGTATGCTGCACCCGTCCCCAGGAATGTCACATCCATAGACATCTTCCACCCTGCAACAGAAAGATCATCTGGGGATTATTTCATATCACTGTACCAAAAACATATTCCTGTAATATTTATCTCTATTATTACTTTTTGGTTATTTAGAACAGTCTGGATTCTTGGTCTCTCATAGTATTCCACACATATCCACAGTAAGGTTTTAATAACTTGGCTAAAACTACAAGTTAACAAATCTTGTATAATTGTTCACACACCCAAACAAACAAAAATAACCAAACCCAGGCAATTAAAAACTATAGCTGAATTCTAACTATATGATGTTCTCAAAAAGGCAAAACTATGGAGACAGTAAAAATCGTGCTTGCTAGTGATACAGGGTGAGAGAAGGAAGAATGAACAGGCAGAGCACAGGGGATGTTTAAGGCAGTGAAACGATTCTGTATGATACAGTAAGACAGACATATGTCATTATACATTGGTCAACTGTACACAGAATAAACACCACTAGAGTGAATGAGCTCTAATGTAAACTTTAGTTGACAGTGTATCTGTATCAATATTGGCTCAACAACTGTAACACATGTAGCACATTTTTCATTTTTTTTTCATGAGCCCTTAAGCTTCTGAACATATACCGCATTAATGCAAGATGTTAATAAGGGGAAACTGAGGGGTGAGGGATAAGAGAGTATATGGGAACACTCTGTACTTTCTACTTACTAATTTTTTTAAAAAAAATCCTTCTAATAAACACTAAACAACAACAACTCTAGTTGAGATACAGGGCAAGAGATGGTATTTAATGATACTCACCATATGGTGTCTCTGATGCCCATAATGATCAGCCCTTTCCCTTTCTCTGAACAATCATAACAGTAATGCTCTATTATGCTCTATAGTCATGCTGATATTTCACAATAATGCTGAACAAATGTCTCACTCCCTACATGACATGGTCCATGACTCACGAGGACTTGGGACTCTGCTATTTTAAGTGATCAGCAACAACCTGTTGAATGTGCAGGTTTATTCCAACTCCTGGCACTATTCCTTTCACTATTTCTAGGTACATCTGACATCACTGATATACTTCTGAGATGGAATATATGTATCAAACAGAATATATTAGAATGAACTGAAATTTATACATAACTGATTATAGATTATCCACATTGATGGCAGGGAAGAAAACAAAGAAGCTTAAGAAAAACTACTGTAAGAGAATTTGACTGACAGCTAGATATAAAATATACAAAAACTTCAGTAACTCTTCTCAGTCTTAGCAATAACAAGATAAAAACAGAAATGGGGGAAAAACCCATTCTAAGAGCAAAAACAAAATTACCAGAAATAAAGTTAGCAGGAAAGGAACAGCACCCAAAAGATTCACACGAATAAAAGATACACATTATGTCCCTGATAGGATGACTTGATATCACAGAGATGTTCATCCTTCCTAAGCTAATGTAGATGTATTTGGTGGAAATTCTATCAGACTTCCAGTGGGATTTATTTTGGAACAGAAACAATCCAAAAATCATATGGAAGGAAAAATAAATGTCTGAGAAGGGATGAGAAAATTCCAAAAAGCAGTGAGTGGTGACCTGCTTTTCTAGGTATTAACATTTACTACAGCAATCTGACATAATTAAAACAGAATAGGCCGGGCACGGTGGCTCATGCCTGTTATCCCAGCACTTTGGGAGGCTGAGGAGGGTGGATCACCTAAGGTCAGGAGTTTGAGAGCAGCCTGGCCAAGATGGTGAAACCCTGTCTCTACTAAAAATACAAAAATTAGTCGTGCATGCTGGCGCACACCTGTAGTCCCAGCTACTTCAGGAGGCTGAGGCAGCAGAATTGCTTGAACCTGGGAGGCGGCAGTCATAGTGAGCCAAGATTGCACAATTGCACTCCAGCCTGGGTGACACAGTAAGACTCTGTCTCAACAAATACATACATACATACATACATACAAACAATAATATTGGCACAAAAATAGAGGTAAAAGGGAAGGGAAAGTTCAGAAATAAACCAGCTACCTATCGGAATCAATACAGTATATAACAAAGGTGTAAAAAGTGTGGTTTCTTTAATGAATGGCACTGACATAATTGGCTATTCTAGCAGAGAAAAAAGCAAAGAAAGATGCTCACTTTGCATTGTATATAAAAATACACTTCACGTAGTTAAGAAATTTAAATGTAAAAAATCCAATAACGTGTTCAAAAAAATTAGGAGAATGTTTATACATTTAACTGTGGAGATGGGAAGCCCTTATTGGCAAGACATAAAATCCAGAAACTTTAAAAACAGACATTTTCACTAAATAAAATCTTTTATATATATTGAGACTCATAAAGTCAAAGGACAAGAAAAAAAACCTGAAAAAAAAAAGTTTGGACCCCCTTATGACAGGGGGTTAATGCTCCTAAAAAAAAAAAGTTTATGCAAATGCATTCAAAATACAAAAATACTTGTGCAACAGAAAAACAGGCAAAGGATATATATATATATATATATATATATATATACACACACACACACACATATATACATATATATACATATATACACATATATATACATAAATATGTATATATATGAATCACAGAAGAAATCCAAATGGCCTATAAGCATGAAAAGGGTTCAAACAACTATCGTGTATCTATTTAAAAAATTTAAGTTAATAAATAAAAGATAAGGGTTCAGTCTCCAGGTAGTTAGTGGAATGCAAAATAAAGAACAAAGAGGCTGGGTATGGTAGCTCATGCCTGCAATCCCAGCATTTTGGGAGGCTGGGGTGGGAGGATCACTTGAGCCCAGGAGTTTGAGACCAGCCTAGGCAACATAGTGAGACACTGTCTCTACAAAAAAATTAAAAAACAAAAATCAGCTGGACATGGAGGCATGTGCTTATAGTCCCAGCTTTTCAGGAGGCCAAGGCAGGAGGATCATTGGAACCTGGAAGGTTAAGGCTGCAGTGAGCTGTGATTTCACTGCTGCACTCCAGCCTGCTTGACAGAACAAGACCCACTCTCACAACAAACAAAAAGAGAGACCATTTACCACACATCAGCTGGCAGGCAAATATCAATAGAGCAATGCTAGTCAGTGCTAACCAGGATGACGGTAAATGGCTACTGTCACAAACTAATGGTGACAAAGTTATGAATTGCGATTAGGCTTTCGGAGAATAATTTGGAATATATATTACCAGTAATAATGATGCTGTTGATAATTATATGCTTTCACCCAGTAATCCCATTTTTGGTAATCTACCCAAATAATAAAGAGCTATGTAAAATGACGTGTATTGTGTTGCTCTCAAGATGGCTAAAATATGAAAGCAATCTAAAAATGTCAATAGGAAAATGGCTGAATATTTTATTGTACATTTGTGCTATTATTTAGTCTATCAACTATTTATTCTGCAGCTAATAGAGTCTTCTGTAACTACTGTTGTGGAGGGATGACAAGGAGAAAAGTTACAGATGGCTATGGTATGATCTCGTTTTTATAACAATACCCCAAACCCCTACATTTATGTAAGACAGAGAAAGTCTGATGTGGGAGAGGATACACACCATCCTGTTAATATGGGTTATCTCAGGGGTAATTAAAGTGATGGGGTGGGGGCTGTGCGGGGGGTTAACTTTTCTTTTAAATTTATTGCATTATGTTTCAATGAGTGGCATTTTATTTTTTTTAAATTTATATTTACTTAATGCTGATGATTTTTTTTTTTTTTTGGAAATGTGTCATATGGCCAAACATGCTTCTCTAACTACACACTACCTAGTCTTCCCTTCCATTTTGGGAAACAGCCCCTCCCCATATTTCCTGCCCCCAACCCTCATACATAAGGTGGTGCATCTCTACCTTAAGCATAGCGTTGAGGTTATTGCTAACATCCCTTTCATGTGTTACTCTACATTATCACCTCCAAGATCAAGTCTTCCTCTGCTAAGAAAGGAGCTTTATTTGCAGAGGCTTCCTTATTGATTTGCAAGATAGGTAAGAATAAACAGAATGCAGAAAGTTAACATTTGTAAAGGCAAATTAACTGCAGAAGGAATAATAGAATATAATCACTTTGTCATCCCTAACAAATAATGGATTTAGATCAGTAGTACATAACCCCGGGGGCATATTAGAATCACCTGGAGAGCTTTTAAAACATATCAGTGAAGGTCAGGTACGGTGGCTCCTGCTTGTAAACTCAGCACTTTGGCAGGCTGAGGTGGCAGGATGGCTTGAGGCCAGGAATTCAAGAGCAGCCTGGGGAACATGGCAAGACTCTGTCTCTATAAAAAAATTAGCCAGGCATGGTGGCATACACCTGTAGTCCCAAACAAAACAAAAAACCCTATCAATAATTGGGCTCCATCCCAGAACATTTAGATAGGAAATTCTGCAAGTGAGACATGTTTTAGTATTAAAAAGTAAATAAATAAAATAAAAAGCCTTCTCCTGTGATCCTAACATGGAGTCCGATTTGAGAATCACTTAGTGAAAGGCTAACAGAGAACTGCAATGTATGGATCAGGTTGACCTAAACTCACTACTCAACTAATCAATCTTTTTAAAAAAAGTTTTATTCTGAAAAACTTCAGACACATACAGAAGTAGAGATTAGCATAATGCAATGCCATACACCCATCATTGAACTTCAACAACTGTTAACTCATAGGCAATCATGTTTCATCTATACACACCACCCCCATTACTCCAAGAATACTTGATAAGACAAACGGTGTGCTGTCTGATGGGAGTACCCCATTAGGCAGCACGCATTGTCTAGCTGTCTCTCTTTCTGACGTTAACAGCCGCTAGTGATCATTGCCAGGATCCATTATTTCATTAGGGGTTGCCAAAAGGTGATATTCTCTCATTTCTTTTGCATGTATTTGCTGGCATTCCCTGGTCAATTGTTACCCTACGGTGCTACTTGTACATAAAAGGTCCACAAAGAGAGGCAAGATGCTATCTAACTCCTGGTATGATACAATGTGAAAAACACAGTAATCCCCCATTAAGTTCTCTTGCCAAAAAATCGAACCTGACCTGAACAAGTCTGCAGGTCTAAATACCTGCTTATTAAAGGATACCAGAGATGGAAAAAGCAAAATCCTGGTTGTAGAAAACGTGAACCGTACAAATGACTTGTTCAAGTAAAATACAGGGAACAAAATAAAGAGCAAGAGAAAAAGATTAAGAGAGATCTAAGAGACATCAACCAAATATAACGTGTGTAGATTGTTTGGATACTGATTTGGACAAACTGGGTAAGAGGAAAGAGACAACTAGGAAAATGTAAATGCTGACTGGATAGTAGAGGGTAAAATGAAGTGCTAAGTACACTGATAATGGCTTTATGTTTTAAAAAGGTGTTATTGTGTTTTATAAACATGAACAAGGTAACAGATGGAATGGTACATTTCAGATTTGCTTCAAAATACTACAGTGGGGGAGAGGGTAACAGATGAAACAGAATTGATCATGAATTGGGAGTTCAGTTACTATTCAATTTTCATATATGACTTGAAGGTTTCCATAATAATTTTAAAACAAATATAATGAAAACCCTCCAAATAGGTCGGGAAGTAATCAGAAATTATTTAATCAATGGTGCATGTTTTGGGACATGCACCATTCTAGGCACTAGGAATTAAATGCGAGCAAACCAGATTAGGTCCCTGTCTTCTTGGAAAAAAAACAAAACAAAAACCCAGCTGCTTGCTTTCTCAAGACTGTGATCCACGTTCGGCGAAGTGCATATTCCAGTCGTGATCACAGTACTGTCATTTCACTCTGGGCCCGTGGATCTCGGTCCTGGCCGCAGATCACAATTCCCCGGTGATGATGGGGCATCAGCATTTGGAGGCTTCCCAAGCGATTCTACTGGTTGCCGGGTTGAGAACCGGCGCTCCTTCGTTTTCAGGCAGGCAGTGTCAACCCTGCAATCACCCTGTGGTGTGCCTAGGGCAGATATCGCTGTCCTCCATCTTAGAGCTGAAAGAACCGAGGCCGGGCGGCAGAGAGTAAGAGGCCAAGGCACAGGCAGGGCCAGAGGCCAGATTTCCGGCCTCCAGAGAGCCCAGGCTCCCCCACGAGACCGTGTTGGCCTCGAAAAAGGCTGGGTGGGCGGCGGCGCCGGGCGGCCGAGGCTCCGGCCCGCCGAGACTCCGGCCCGGGGCGGTGAACGAGGCGCGTCCTCGCTCCCGGGCGCTCCCCAGGCTTAGGTCCCCAGCGCCGGGCCGTGCCTGATCGAGCCGGCGAGTCCCGAGGAAGCGCGCCCGCCCCCCTCTGGTATGCCCTACCGCACTCACCCTCTCCCCGAGGCCCGCGCCAGGAGCCGAGGGAGGCGCAGGCCCGCACCCTGGCCCAGCTGTCCGCGGGGCTACAATGCGCCCGGGCGGAAGTGCGCCGCCGGCCGGGTCCCGCGCGGCCGCTCTAGGATGCGAGGGAGGTCCGCGCTCGGTGGCGCCCGCGCGGGACCTGGCTCTGGGCGCGCTTCCGGGCTCCCCCCGGGCCGCGAGGGCAGTGATTGAGTTTCCCTCTTTCCCAGGTCGCTGTGTGTCAGGTGGTAGCTATCGCCCTGAGGACCAGAGCGGGATAAACCAAAAGGGAAAAAGTTACTCTTCTTTTGTTTTCCGTGTAATATTTTCCACATAAGAGTGTTCTTCCTGATGTTTTGCTCATACATATGTGTCATTTTTGGTCTTTGGTTGGGATGAATCTTTACTGTCTTTCATCCACTAAGATCCTTTGCCTGACCATGCACCTTCATAAAGCCCCGTCCATATTCCATTTTCCTACTCTAGGTTGGAATATTTGCTTAACATCTGAAGCTGATTGTGCCATACTCACTCCAAGCCTTGGTGTTCTCTTAGGTAGCGGACGTGGGATTGAAAAACCCAGGCTGGCTGTATACAGAACGGGCACGTGGCGATTACAGACCACAGGGAAAAACTCCTTCAGTTTGAATAACAACTTTTAAAAAAAGTATTTCAAGCTCCTGTGTACTGCCAGATGCACTGATTTCGTGCTCAGCGTACTTGAGGTGGTCAAAATATCCAGCAGCTGGCCGGGCGCCGTGGCTCACACCTGTAATCCCATCACTTTGGGAGGCCAAGACGAGCGGATTGCCTGAGCTCAGGAGTTCGAGACCAACCTGGCCAACATGGCAAACCTCGTCTCTACTAAAAATACAAAAAAAAAAAAAAATTAGCCGGTCATGGTGGCACACGCCTGTAGTCCCAGCTACTCGGGAGGCTGAGGCATGAGAATCGCTTGAACCCAGGAGGTGCAGGTTGCGGTGAGCCAAGATCGCACCACTGCATTCCAGCCTGGGCGACAGAGCGAGACTCTGTTAAAAAAAAAAAAAAAAAAAAAAAAAAAAATCCAGCAGCTTCAAAATAGGAATCGGAGTGGTGTTTCTTGAAACTACCAGGACAGAGAGACTGCCACTTGTTTAAAAATCATTAACTCATCTACTTCTACTTATTGGGCTCTTTTAACCTTTATTCCAGTATTAATGGAGCTCTGACTTTGTGGATAGTATTATTTTTGGGGCTGAGAGATTTTAAAAATTTGTCATGGTCCCTGGTTTTGGGTTTTTGTTTGTTTGTTTGTTTGTGACAGGGTCTCACTCTATCACCCAGGTTGGAGCGCAGTGGCGCGATCTCAGCTCACTGCAACCTCTTCCTCCTGGACTCAACCAATCCTCCCACCTCGGCCTCCCAAGTATCAGTAGCTGGGACTACAGGACTACAACCTCCCAAGTAGCTGGCACTACAGGCAAGCCACCACACCCAGCTATTTTTTTTTTTTTTTTTTTGTAAAGATGGGGTTTCACTGTGTTGCCCAGGCTGGTGTGAAACTCCTGAGGTCAAGCGATCCACCCGCCTCAGTGTCCCAAAGTGCTGGGATTACAGGCGCGAGCCACCGTGCCCTGCCGGTCCCTGGTTTTAAGGAGCCTACACTCAGTCAGGAAACAATCCACTTAAAAGGATATGGAAAAAGGGAGATCACTAGCTAAGAGATGAGTGAGGAAGAGGTAGGATTTGAGCTGAATCTTGTAGGATGATGACACTTGAATTAATGTGGAAATAAAAAAAATAAAATGGACTTGGTCAAGTGGGGTCTAAATTAACAAAGCATTGAACACTGGAACTTGGACTTATCTCTCCTGACACTTGCCTAGCTAAAAGTTCCTTAAGAAGACACATAGCATTCTACAGCTTGGTCTTGATCACAATCAGCGAGGACAACAGTCCCCAACCTTTTTGGCACCAGGTACCAGTTTCATGGAAGATAACTTTTCCTTGGGAGCAGGGGGTGGGCATAGAGTTTTGGGATGAAACTGTTCCATCTCAGATCATCAGGCATTAGTTAGATTCTCATAAGAAGCATGCAACCCAGATCCCTCCCATGTGCAGTTCACAATAGGGGTCACAGGTCTATGAGAATCTGATGCCCCAGCTGACCTGACAGGAGGCAGAGCTCAGGCAATAATGCTTGCTGGCCTGCCGCTCACCTTCTGCTGTGTGGCCCAGTTCCTAACAGGCCACAGACCTTACTGGTTTGCAGCCCAGGGGTTTAAGACTCCTGAGCTAGGGATCTCCCAGAGCAGTATTCTCCATAGACCTGGCTAGGACTTATTTCTGCCCATCCATCAAAGCTTCCTACTCCCTTCTCAGAGGTTATCACACTTTTAGAGAATAGTGGATAGAACTGTTTGTTCATTTAAAAAATTTTCTATCATGGGAAATTTCAAACATATAAAAGTTGAGAAAATTATGAATGAACCTTTACATACAATCATCACTAAACTTCAACAGTTAGCAACATCTGATCCATCTTGTTACACCTATAATTCCTCTGTATTAGTCCATTTGCATTGCTATAAAAAAATACCTGAGACTGGGTAATTTATAAAGAAAAGAGGTTTATTTTGGCCCCCAGTTTTACAGGCTGTACAGAAAGTGGCTGCCGGCATCTGCTTCTGGTGAGGGCCTCAGGAAGTTTACAATCATGGCAAGGTAAAGAGGGAGCAGGCATGTCACATACTGAGGCAGCGAGGAGGAGGGGCAAGGCTTCTTTTAAGTAACCAGCTCCCCAGTGAACTAATAGAGTGAGAACTCAGTCATCACCAAGGGCATGGCACTAAGACATTCATGAGGGATGCACCCCCATGATCTGACACCTCCCTCTAGGCCCCACCTCCAACACTGGGGATCACATTTCAACATGAGATTTGGAGAGGACAACCATCCACAGTATCACCGTCTCTCTCCAAAGGCAACAACAACAACAAAAACAAAACCCTGGATTATTTTTTAGCAAATTCCAGGCAAAATATCATTTTATTCATAAATACCTCTATGAACATTTAAGGACCCTTTAAAAAAATCTCATCACAATATAATGATGGTCAGCATTGTAGTATGTAAATATATATAAAAGATAAGGACTTTAAGAATAGAACCATAATATCATTATATTATAAAAATAAGAAAATAATTCCTTAATATCATCAAATATGCAGTGACTGTTCAAATTTCCTAATTCTCTTATAACTTTTTAAATTTTTAAATTTTTTTATTTTTATGGGTCCATGGTAAGTATATGTATTTATGAGGTACATGAAATATTTTGATACAGGCATACAATGGGTAATAATCACATCAGGGTAAATGGGATTTTCCCCTGTTCTGTGATGTTTTGTCATTACTTTCTTTTCTTTCTTTCTTTTTTTTTTTTTTTTTTTTTTTTGAGACAAAGTCTCGCTCTTGTCCCCCAATCTGGAGTGCAGTGGCACAATCTCGGCTCACTGTAACCTCTGCCTCCTGGGTTCAAGTGACTTTCCTGCCTCAACCTCCCAAGTAGCTGGGATTACAGGTGCGTACCACCATACCGAGCTAATTTTTTTGTACTCTAAGTAGAGACAAGGTTTCACCGTGTTGGCCAGGCTGGTCTTGAACTCCTGACCTCAGGTGATCCACCCGCCTCGGCCTCCCAAAGTGCTGGGATTACAGGCGTGAGCCACCACGTCTGGCCGTCATTACTTTCAATGTCAAAAACCAGTTACTTTTGCAGCAACCTAATAATTTACATTCCCACCAACAGTGTATAAGGGTTCCTCTTTCTGCACATCCTTGCCAGCATTCATTATTGTCTTTCTTTGGGATAGAAGCAATTTGAACTGGGGTTAGATGATATCTTATTGTAGTTTTAATTTGCATTTCTCTGATGATCAATGATGTTGACCACCTTTTTATAGACCTCTTGACCATCTGTATGTCTTCTTTTGAGAGAAGTCCTATTAAGACTTTTAGCTCATTTTTAATTGATTAGATTTTTTCCTGTAGAGTTGTTGAGTTCCTTATAAATTCTGGTTATTAATCCTCTGTCAGATGGGTAGTTTGCAAATATTTTCTCCCACTCTGTGGGTTCCTCTTCACTTTGTTGGTTGTTTCCTTTGCTGTGCCAGAAACTTTTTAACTTGATGTGATCTCATTTGTCCATTTTTGCTCTGGTCGCCTGTACTTTTTGGGTATTACTCAAGAACTCTTTGTCCAGATCATTGTCCTGGAGAGTGTCCTCAGTGTTTTCTTTTAGTAGTTTCCCTAGTTCTATGTTGGGAGCTGAAAAGGCCAAAGGTATCATGACCAACTCAGCATTCCACTGGAGGCTATATGATCAAACAGCAAACTGTTTATCATGAATGCAGGATGTGGGCAAACTCACACTGTGCCTGCCACCAGAAGGTTTGCTGAGGGTGGTCACTGCCTGGCACCGGGCTCCTTGAGGTTATCTACTGGGACATCTAGAGCCTATTGTTCGAGGAATGCAGTTTTGCAAGCCCACTGTGGACCGAGCACCTGACCTTTTCTGCCACCCCACTTCTCACTATCTCTTTTACCAATAAATACGAAGGGCTGTAGAAAGTCTGGGTCCTTGTCCACTAGAAGCAAGGTGCCCCCGACCCCTTCTTCCAAACATACTTGTTTGTCTTTGTCTTTATTTGTCTTTGTCTTTATTCCCGCATTCACTCTCTTTGTTCAGTCCACCAGGGATCGAGGTCGGTAACAGTTCTAGGTCTTGAATTTAAGAACACAGTTTCAGTGTTATAATATTCTGCATTTGTCTGTGTACTTACTGTTACCAGTGAGTTTCCTACCTTCAGATGATATCTTTTTTTTTTTTATTTTTTGAGACAGGGTTTCACTCCCATTGCCCAGGCTGGAGTGTAATGGTGCTATCTCGGCTCACTGCTCTGCCTCCTGGGCTCAAGCGATTCTCCTGCCTCAGCTTCCCAAGTAGCTGGGACTACAGCTGCACACCACCACACCCAGCTAATTTTTGTATTTTTTGTAGAGACAGGGATTCACCATGTTGCCCAGGCTGGTCTCGAACTCCTGGGCTCAACCTCCCACCTCAGCCTCCCAAAGTGTTAGGATTACAGGTGTGAACCACCATGCCTGGCCCAGATGATATGTTATTGCTTGTTAACATCCTTTTCTTTCAGATTGAAGAATTCCCTTTAGCATTTCTTTTAGGACAGGTGCAGTGTTGACAAAATTCCTCAGCTTTTGTTTTTCTGGAAAAATCTTTATTTCTCCTTCATTTTTGAATATTTTCATTGGATACAATATTCTAGGATAAAAGCATTTTTCCTTCAGCACTTTAAATACATCATGCAATTCTCTCCTGGTCTGTAAGTTTTCCACAGAGAAATCTCCTGCCAGACATATTGGAGTTCTTTTATATGTTATTCTATTCATTTCAAGGAAGGAAGGAAGGAAGGAAAGAAAGAAGGACTCACTAGAGGGGCCCTACAGTTTATTTTAACTAACAGAAGAAATAATTAGCAAATTCGAAGCTGGGTCAACAGAAATTATGCAATCTAAAGAATAAAGAGAAAAAAGAATGAAGAAAGATAAATAAAACCTCAGAAAAATGTGGGTCATGGTTAGGCACACGAATGTTGGTGTATTGAGAATATCAGGAGAGGGAGAAAGAAGCAGAAGAAAAGAAATTATGGCTGAAATTTCTCCAAATTTATTGAAAAACAATAATCTCCACATCCTGAAGCTAACAAACTCCAAATAGGATAAATGCAAAGAGACCTACAGACAGGCACATCATAATAAAAATGCTGAAAGGCAAAGACAAGGAGGAAATCTCGAACATAGCAAGTGGAAAATGACTCATCACTTACAAGATTAAGAGATGACTTCTCAGCAGAAACAATGAAAGCCAGAAGGCAGTGGGATAACATATTTAAAGTGCACAAAGAAAAAAAACCTGTCAACCAAGAATTTTATATCCAGCAAAGCTATCTTTCAAAAATGAAGATTAATAAAGACTTTCTCAGATAAACAAAAACTGAGAGAATTTGTTGCTAGCAGAACTGCTTTATAAGAAATACCAGGCTGAGTGTGGTGGCTTATGCCTCTAATCCCAGGATTTTGGGAAGCTGATATGGAAGGATTGCTTAAACCCAGGAGTTTGAGACCACCTTGGGCAACATAAGGAGACCTCTTCTCTACAAAAAATAAAAATAAAAAAATAACTACACAAGCATGGTGGTGCACACCTGTAGTCCCAGCTACTTGGAAGGCTGAGGCAGGAGGATCACTTGAGCCTGGGAGGTTGAGGCTGCAGTTAGCTGTGACCACACCATTGTACTCCAGCTTGGGTGACAAAGTGAAACCCTGTTGGAAGAAACAAAAACAAAAAAGAAGCTGGGCACGGTGGCTCACACCTGTAATCCCAGCACTTTGGGAGGCCAAGGCAAGCAGATCACGAGATCAGGAGATCAAGACCATCCTGGCTAACATGGTGAAACCCCATCTCTACTAAAAATATATAAAAAAGCGGTGGCTCATGCCTGTAGTCCAAGCTACTCGGGAGGCTGAGGCAGGAGAATCGCTTGAACCCAGGAGGCGGAAGTTGCAGTGAGCCAAGATCGTGCTACTGCACTCCAGCCTGCATGGCAGAGCGAGACTCCATCTCAAAAACAAAAAAAGAAAAGAAAAAGAAAAAGAAAAAAGAAATACTAAAGGAATATCTTCAGGCTGAAAGCAAATGGCCTCCAGATGATAATTAAAATTCCCATGAACGAAAACCAAAATGAACTAGTAAAGGTGCACTCCTTGTAGCTGAATGGCAAGTTTTTTTCTGAAGGAAGTTCTAAGAAGCACAACCCTGTATCAATACACAAAATTCCTCCTCATTCCTTTTTACAGTTATCTAGTACTTGCTGTGTGATTTTGTATCATTTTATTCAGTCAGTCCTTTGGGTTGTTTCCAGTTTTGCTTTCTGCTTTTTGTTTTGTTTCGTTATCACAGTATGGTAACAAATAGTCTTGTTCATAAGTAATTTTTTATTTTTGCAAGTGTATCTTTGGCATAGATTTATACCAAGTGGGATGGATGGCTTAAAGGGTAAATACACATATAATTTTGCTATATATTGCTAAAATTCCCTCCATGAGCATTGTGCCATTTTGACTTCCGTTAAGCAATTTATGAGAGTGCCTTTTTCCTCAGATCTTCATCGCCAATAATGTTGTCAAACTTTTGGATTTTTGCCAATCTAATATCTTAATGTAGTTTAAAATGGCATTTATCTTTGATAAGTGCGCTATGTTGAGTATGTTTTCATAAATTTAAGATCCATTTGCTTTTTTTTTTTTTTTTTTTTTTTGAGATGGAGTCTTGCTCTGTCACCCAGGCTGGAGTGCACTTGCATGATCTTGGCTCACTGCAACCTCCGCCTCCCAGGTTCAAGTGATTCTGCCGCCTCAACCTCCCAAGTAGCTGGGATTACAGGTGCACGCCACCAGGCCAGCTAATTTTTGTATTTTTAGTAGAGACGGGGTTTCACCATGTTGGCCAGGCTGGTCTTGAACTCCTGACCTCAAGTGATGCGCCTGCCTCAGCATCCCAAAGTGCTAGGATTACATGTGTAAGCCACTGCACCTGGCCCCATTTGTATTTTTTTCTGTGAACTTTTTGTGCATATCTTTTGGTCAGTTTTCTATTGTATTAGTGGCCTTTATCTTCTCTTTTTTTTTTTGGTGCTTTCTATATATTAGGGATAATAACTCTTTTTTTTTTTTTGTAACAGGGTCTCACTCTGTCACCCAGGCTGGAGTGCAGTGGTGTGATCATGGCTCACTGCAGCCTCGATCTCCCTGGACTCAAGCGATCCTCCCACCTCAGCCCCCCAAGTAGCTGGGACCACAGGTGTGTGCCACCACACCCAGCTAATTTTTGCATTTTTTGTAGAGACAGGGTTTTGCCATGTTTCCCAGGCTTGTCTCAAACTCCTGAGCTCAAGCAATCCCCCCACCTCGGCCTCCCAAAGTGCTGGGACTAAAGGTGTGAGCCACTGCGCGTGGCCAATAACTCTTTAACTATGAAATAAGTTGCACATCTTTTACCCAATTTTTCATTTGTCTTTTTTCATTGCTTAACCACATGGACTTTTCCGTCAAAATACAATTTAAATCTTGATTTTGTCCCATTGTATTTGAGTGACCTGGATCAGGTGGTCATTTAACTTTTCAGAGCCTCTTTTTTTTTATTGGTAGAATGAGGTTAATAATTGCTCTTTTTGCCTTAAACTTTTGCTATAAGGACTAAATGGTGCTTGTTGAAATGCTTTGTAATGTGTTATTCAAATTTAAGTCATTTCAAAGTGATACTTAACACATCTAATACTATAATTTATACAGATAAGAGAAAGCTGCTTTCTCTTTTCTCTCTTGCTCTCTGCTTAGAGGTAATCTACATGTAATATAATAGTGGTCTCCTAGAATCAGTAAATGAACTTTGTCTACAGAGGTAATTAACATAGAATGAAGCGGGAAAATAGTGCCTTTGATTACAAATTAGTAAAAAAGTAGTAGGCAAGTTTTAGAGCCAACAAACTGCTAACATGGCAGGCTTCATCACTATTTTTCTTTCAAATTATAGTCAGAAATTGTTGATCATTTGATTATGTGAAATCAAGCACTGCTTAAACCTATAGAGTAGAGAAAGAGCCCTGTACTGGTCCAAAGGTAATGATTAACCTCAATAGATTGTTCACAGTCAGTTACAGATTCAGCTCCTTGTTCTACTCTTTACCCCCTTCTCACTATTGTGCTTGACTAGTCAAAAGAAAGAAAGAAAGAAGGAAAGAAAGAAAGAAAGAAAGAAAGAAAGAAAGAAAGAAAGAAAGAAAGAAAGAAAGAAAGAAAGAAAGAAAGGGAGGGAGGGAGGGAGGGAGGAAAGAAGGAAGGAAGGAAGGAAGGAAGGAAGGAAGGAAGGAAGGAAGGAAGGAAGGAAGGAAAGAAGGAAAGAAAGAAAGAGAGAAAGAGCCCTGGACTGGGTGAGAAAGAGATTTTGAGACTATATAAAATAAAAAACACAACTCCTGTCCTCATTTTGCATAAAGTCTGGTTGAATGATCTAATATATACACCCTTATAAACAGCTAAGATCTTCTTCATTCGATGTCAGTTAGAATTGTTGGTTACTAGAACAGAAGTTAATTTTGGCTAATTTAAGCAGACTGAAAGGAAACTGGATAATCCACAGAACTGACAGAAAACATGAGCTAATGGAGGCAGCAGGAACCACAGTCAAGGTCTTGCCTCAGAGCCTTCTTAGGGCATTGCCATGGACACAACACCAGTAGATACTGGCCTCTGTTCTTGGTTGCCATGAGGTAGGGAGCAGACGGATCCTCCCCACACCAGCTTTGGCTTCTATAGAGGAGGACAGAACACCTTATCCCCTGCAACACCACACATAGTGAGAAATCACTCCAAAATAACAGAGTTGAATGTCAAGTGTCACCCAAAACGTGTCTAATACACACCTCAAACTTAACTGACCCAAACAGAACTTTTGCTTTCTTCATCTAAGCCTGCTTCTTCCTCAGTTCATTCTACATTGTGTGTGTGTGTGTGATAGTGGCACTTGGATTTCACTCAAATGAACTATTTCCATACCCTTCTTGATAGCATTTTTAAATACTATCCTTCCAAATCTGTAGTGACTCTTTTCTAAGTGAAATTGGGACAGATGATCTGTTACAATAGCTACAATTTTATTTTATTTACTTAATTATTTATTATTTTATTTATTATTTTTTTGAGATGGAGTTTTGCTCTTGCCACCCAGGCTGGAGTGCAATGGCATGATTTCGGCTCACTGCAACCTGTGCCTCCCTGGTTCAAGCAATTCTCCAGCCTCAGCCTCCTGAGTAGCTGGGATTACAGGAGCCTGCCATCAATCCAGCTAGCTTTTGTATTTTTAGTAGAGACAGGGTTTCACCATGTTGACCAGGCTGGTCTCAAACTTCTGACCTCAGGTGATCCACCTGCCTTGGCCTCCCAAAGTGCTGGGATTACAGGCGTGAGCCACCATGCCCAGCCTATTTATTTATTTCTTGAGTCGTAATCTCACTCTGTTGTCCAGGCTGGAGTGCAGTGGTGCAATCTCGGCTCACTACAGCCTTTGCCTCCTGGGTTCAAGCAATTCTCCTGCCTCAGCCTCCTGAGTAGCTGAGATTTCAAGCACCTGCCACACACCTGCCTAATTTTTGTATTTTTAAGTAGAGATGAAGTTCCACCATGTTGGCCAGGGTGGTCTTGAATTCCTGACCTCAAGTGATCCGCCCGCTTTGGCCTCCCAAAGTGCTGGGATTTCAGGCGCGAGCCACCGCGCCCCACCTGTAATTTGCTTTTAAGTATTTCAGTCTACTGATGTATTATTAAGTATTTGTCAACTAATTTAAGCTTTAATTTTAGGGGGTGGTCAGCCAATAAGAGTACTGGAGTGATTGCCTTAAATCAGGAAGAGCTGCACTGCAAAAGTAGCTACCACAAGACCTTCTGCTATTATTTTGATAGAAAACCAATGATTTGCAAATTAGCATACTGAATGTCAAAAAATGGATTTTATTGGTTTGTTAGCATGATGAATGTTAGAAAGAAGCTCTCATTGGTAAAATGCAGGGTATTCAATATAGATAGATTGGCTGAAATAATTCAGAGATTTTCTCCACCCTTGGATTAACAAACTAAAGAATCTATTGAGATTATAGGTGCCTTGGAGTGGCACCTGAGCTTGGATTCCCTGGCTGTCTTGGGGAGAACCTTTTCTGATTTCATGATGCCAAGTAGAGGGCATAAAAATCCTGCCTCTGGGTTGTTCTTCTCCTTGAGCGAACCTTTACTAAATTGAATCTCTCCCCACATTTCAAATGTTGAATCCCTAAACCTCAATGTGACTGTATTTGGAGATGAGGTCTTTACAGAAGGAATTAAGGTTAAATCAAGTCATAAGGGTAGGGCCCGATTGAGGATTTGTGTCCTTAGTGCTGGAGTTCCAGCCTCCAGAACTGTGAAGAAATAATTTTTGTTTAAGCCACTCAGTTTCTGATATTTTGTTATGACAGCCTGAGTAGACTAAGAAGTATGAATTGTTTTGTGTCTGCTTATTTTTTAAATTATTTAGTTATTCTTCTTCTTTTTTTTTTTTTCTTTTTTTTGAGATGGAGTCTCACTCTGTAGCCCAGGCTGGAGTGCAGTGGTGCAATCTCAGCTCACTGCAAGCTCCGCCTCTCGGGTTCATACCATTTTCCTGCCTCAGCCTCCCAAGTAGCTGAAACTACAGGCGCCCGCTACCACGCCCGGCTAATTTTTTGTATATTTAGTAGAGATGGGGTTTCACCATGTTGGCCAGGATGGTCTCGATCTCTTGACCTCGTGATCCACCTGCCTCGGCTTCCCAAAGTGCTGGGATTACAGGAGTGAGCTACCACACCCGGCCAGTTATTATTCTTATTATTTTTTGAGACGGGGTCTCACTCTGCCACCCAGAATAGAGTGCAGTGGCACAGTCTCCACTCACTGCAGCCTTGACATCCCAGCCTCAAGCGATCCTCCCAATTCAGCCTCCCAAGTAGCTGGGTCCACAGGTGTATATAAACACACCTGGCTAATTTAATTTGTGTAGAGACAAGGTCTCACTATGTTGCCCAGACTGATCTCTAACTCCTAGGCTCAAGTGATTCCCCTGTTTCGGCCTCCCAAAGTGCTGGGATTATAGGTGTGAGTCATCATGCCTGGCCTGTGCCTGCTTATTAATGAATATTTGCTTAATGAATGTTTGTATACATGGCAGAATTTGGTCTGAGACTTGTTTTTATTAAAACCTAGTAGTAAGGTTGTAGGGGGTAGCTAACCCTTACCCACCTCAAACCTCTTTGGTATTGTTATTGACTTGAAAGTACCTGTTTTGGGAGCATGTGTCCGAATTGGTTTAGGTTAGCTCACAACATGGTCTGGAGTTGAGACAGTATATCTGGAAGAAAGATCATATCAGAAAATCTAGAAAGTCTAATTACCTTACCAATAGCTCTAATAGTTTTAGTGTTTCTCATCTGCAAAACTACATCCTGAATCAACTGCTCTGTTAGTCTGGGTCATCCAAGAAGGAACATCTCAGTCAGGACTCACTGCAGCCTTGACCTGCTGGGCTCAAGCAATCCACCCTCCTCGGCCTCCCGAGTAGCTGGGACTACAAGGGCACACTACCATGCTGGCTAATTTTTTGTATCTTTTGTACAGATGAGGTCTCACTGTGTTGCCCAGGCTGGCCTCGAACTACTGAGCTCAAGAAATCCTCCCACATCAGCTTCCCAAAGTGCTAGGATTACAGGCATGAGCCACCGTACCCAGCTGATATGCAAGTAATTTATATGAGAAGAAATGTCTGTGAAGGTGGGGAGGGAGCCAGGAAGAGCCTGCAAGAGCCTTCATAGCGTCATACAGATCTGATCCCAAGTGAAAGAGAGAGGAAAGAAAGAGAGGTTGAGTGAAGAAGTGCCTTAGGTTGAAGTACAGTTCTGAGCTTGGCAAGGCCACGGGGCAGGGCTTGAGCTAAAGCTATGCATCAGAGGACTCTCCTGTCTTCCAGGAATAGGCCTGTCATACCATCCCTGCTGTGAGAAGTCACTGGCTAAGAGCAGCCCACAGGAGGCATGGCTTCCATGTGAAAGCCATGATGAATTTCAGAGCGCAGCAATTGGGGATGGTAGTTACTTATATTCCCAGCAGTTGGAGATCTGCGAGGTTGTAAGTGTAATTTTTAGATCAGCTTGAGAAAGAAAATCATTTGTTTTTGAAGTTGTATTCTATTCAGTTTAGACACAGACCAGGTGGTATTTGAGGTCCACACTGTTCAGGATTCAAGAACAGAGCAGTTGTATTTGGGGAAGGAGGTGCTGCTGACCCACTGCTCTTGCTGAGGTATCTAGGTGTTATTTGCTATAGAGGCAACGATAGGCCTTTATTGGTCTGGCTACCTATTTCAGCCTCCATGCAAGTTGGGGCCTTTCACCATGCCAGCCCTCCCAATAAAGAAGTATGATGGAGTTGTCAAAAAGTGGTGTAGGCCGGCCGGGCACGGTGGCTCACGCCTGTAATCCCAGCACTCTGGGAGGCTGAGGTGGGAGAATCACCTGCACTCAGGAGGCAGAGGCTGCAATGAGCTGAGATCGCCCCACTGCACTCCAGCCTGTGTGACAGAGTGAGAACCTGTCTCAAAAAAAAAAAGAGGCGTAGGCTAGTTTTTCTCAACCTATCCCGGGAAAAGAAAGGGCCCTTTCATGAAGGTGATGGACTCTCTCCCTCCAAGAGACACAAGCATAGGATCATGTATTATTTCAGGGGCTTCGTGGACTCCTGGGAGCTATTCATGAATCCTGAGGCAAAAAAAGAACTTTTATCTGAGGGTCTCAGTAGGTATTTGTTATTATATAATTCCCCCCTTCATCACAAAATCAACATAGTCTCTCCTGATTTAGTATCTTAACATTAGGGTCTTGGTGTTTGCGTGTGAGAAGTGGGGAGAAGAAAAGGCGATAGAGAATTCCTTTAGTATCATAATTAAATCAAGTAAGAAGAGGAATAGGGTAGGGAGCTCAACAAAAGGGAATGAAAAGATGAGGAGCAAAACTAGTACTCCATAGGTGAATTTAAGTCCAACAATACATTCCCAAGAGATCAAGTATTCTGGAGAGAGAGAGAAAGAGAGAGAGTGTGTGTTAAGGTTTATATTACCAAGTTTTAAAAGTGTCCTATACACAGAGCCTTTAAAAACAAGATCATAAAGCATTTTATGCTTAAGAAAATTTTACTAAGAAAATATAAGAACACACATCTCATTACAACATATCACAACAGAGAAAAAATAATTCACATAATTCTGAAGTTTTTAGACTGATTCTTGGAACCATTTTTAACAAGTCAATCTGGTATAATATGTTCTATACAAGGCATTCCTCTTAAACTAGCATTCCCATAAGCAATTACTACAAGACTACCCATTCCGTCATCTTATCAACACTCAGATGTGAAAGGCTAAGCAATGACTTGCAATACGTGGCTTCCTTGAAGTCAATAATTAGTGCTTGGTATGTTAACAAAGGGAACACAAAAATATCAACTGCAAAAGTACGGTTTTAATTTCAGTTAAATTTAAAGGTCATTAGACAAAGTATAATAAAACATTGGGCAGACATTTTATATTGTCATATATTTAGCTAAACTAGGTCTTTTAAGAAAGTTCTTATTTCATACACATTTTTATATTACTACTTTCTAATTATTCTCACCTTTCAATGGAATATGTGTATACAATACATAGATATCACTTAAAATATACCTTATAATTGAATTGCAAATTGACAGGTGGATTCCTAAAGTGAATATTATAATATATAAGCACAACTGAAATTTATTTGCACAGAAGTGTTAACAGTTGTTGATTCTGTGAAGATTACCAAATCAAAAGATGTTAGTGAATTGGCTACTGAGACTTTTTGGTGTAATTTATTAAATTCAACACCAAATCTTTAATGTTCGTGTCGAATACTTAAAATGCTGAAGACTAAATGAATAAGACGTTTATATTATATTTGAATTATAAATGGGAACAAAGTAAAAATCAGATGAACTGGTAAAAGACTAAGTGAGGCCGGGCGCGGTGGCTCACGCCTGTAATCCCAGCACTTTGGGAGGCCGAGGCGGGTGGATCATGAGGTCAGGAGATCGAGACCATCCTGGCTAACACGGTGAAACCCCGTCTCTACTAAAAATACAAAAAATTAGCTGGGCGAGGTGGCGGGCGCCTGTAGTCCGAGCTACTCGGAAGGCTGAGGCAGGAGAATGGCATAACCCGGGAGGCGGAGCTTGCAGTGAGCTGAGATTGCGCCACTGCACTCCAGCCTGGGAGACAGAGCAAGGCTGTCTCAAAGAAAAGAAAAAAAAAAAAAAAAAAGAATAAGTGAGAATTCTCATCTGAAGTAACAATTCATGAAGGTATTAGATGAAATTGCCTACACAGAAGGCTTTCTTCACTGAGAGGGGTTTGAGCTAAAAACCCAGGCTCTGCCACACATCATAAGACCTTTGACAAGTCATTTAACCTCTCTGTGCCTCTGTCTCTGTCTGTAAATCAGGCACAGAAACAGAGGGTAAACAGAGGATTAAATATGTCGGATCCTTAGAACAGTGTCTGGTATAGAGTAGGTATTAACCACAAACTTTAGTTTGTCATTATCGGCCCACTGTATATACCAAATGTGTTGGTGATAATCCAATGGCTGTATAGGAATCAACGATTTGCTTGAATATATACTTAAAACTAGGAAAGGAAAAATTACTTTTCTAGAACATAAAAGAAAATCCTGAAAACCACTGAATATATACCCACAAGTTTCCCCTAGTCTTAACATTAAAAAGTGTGCTGAATGGAGGAATAACTCCCAATTGCAAAGTTTTTATTTGGAAAAAACAAGATTCTATAGCCATATGAAAAGTTTGTTGACAAAATGCTGTTTACCAAAAGACACTAAGCATTCAAATCACTTGACTTAATGTGTCTATTTTATGCAACTGAACTATGAACATATTTCCATATTTACTTTTCTCTTTGAGATGCACAATTTTCCTTATTCAAGAAAGGAAAATAATGTTTTTAAAATCTAATCACTAATCTATCTAAGTAACTTCTGGCAAGAATAGGATTTGTAATAATAGTCATGTCTTAATTAGGCCCACCTGAACTTACTGAAATTTGAAATAAAACACTGCTTTATTTTTTTCTCTGCTTACATTAAAAAAACTTACCCTGATTTCAGATGAGAAAGTT
Source organism: Homo sapiens (assembly GCF_000001405.40). NCBI lineage: Eukaryota > Metazoa > Chordata > Mammalia > Primates > Hominidae > Homo > Homo sapiens. The sequence goes on along the minus strand of NC_000018.10, from coordinate 50,952,219 downwards.
TTCTATGGTCAAATTGCTGTGAACTTTTTAAATATGAAGTATGTTACTTCAGCTCACCTGTAGAGAGTTTCATTTTAATAATTAGATGCACAAAGTGCAAATCACCAATCAGTTGAGAGCTATATGAATACATGGCACCTGAACACGTGTGGTCTTGTCTTGGATGGAAACAGGATGCTGGTGCCATTTCATTCTTAGGACTTCCCTTTAAATGGAAGCCCAGTAAAGAGCTATGGGTTTATATTAATGTTCTCGAGTATTACATAGGCTCACCAGAGCTGACCCCATTTTGGTGAATTCAACAGAACCCTGGAGATTTTTTTTTTTTTTTTTTTTTTTTTTTTTTTTTTTTTGAGATGGAGGCTCACTCTGTCGCCCAGGCTGGAGTGCAGCGGTGCGATCTCAGCTCACTGCAACCTCCACCTCCCGGGTTCACTCCTCAGACTCCCGAGTACCTGGGACTACAGGCGCCCGCCACCACGCCTGGCTAAGTTTTTGTATTTTTAGTAGAGACAGGGTTTCACCGTGTCAGCCAGGATGGTCTTGATCTCCTGACCTCGTGATCCGCCTGCCTTGGCCTCCCAAAGTGCTGGGATTATAGGCGTGAGCCACTGCGCCTGGCCATTCTGGAGCTTTTTAAGAGTATGAAGAAGTTAAAAAAAAAAAAAAAAAGACAACGTAACACGTCAAAGAAGAGAGGAGAAAAGAATATTATAACCTCTGTCATAAAGCTAGCAGAAACAAACAAACCAAAAAAAAGGTATGAAAAAGTTATCCTTGAAGGATACTGACTGGGCTTGAGGAAAAAAAACTATGGGAGCATTTGAAGTATTTTTCCCAAGGCAAGGCTTTCTTCACTCCGCCACCATCCCTTTTGGGTTTTCTGTTATCTGAGAGCCAGTAAATAATGCTTCATACTCCTTAATAATGACGTTTTGATCTTAATTCATTGGCAACTCATTTGCAAAAATGTAAAATCCTATTTCTCCAGAGGCTGACAAGTTACAGAAAAAGGACAAAGGATATAAGGCAAGTCATGTCATAAGAAAACTAAGAGAAATAAATGTCCATTTGATAGCTAATCTTTTACAAATGAAAATTGGTTACTAAGTTTACTAAGTATGCTACAAATCTATAATTTAGAATTAAAGAGTACTCTAGTTTTTATGTTTTCAGAAAAATATGTTCAAAAATTCTCTATTTTTGTTCTTGTAAACAGCCTGTAAAAACATAATAAAACTAGATGAAAACTATTCTGTGTAAGAACATAATTTCAGTTGATCTTTTTCATGTAACTTGAAGTATATGACACATAAACGCTAAAGAACTGCTCACTACATGCAGTATCCTGGAGCAATGCCTCTCAGCATGTTGTTCACTGTACCAGCAGCATAGGCATCACCTGGGAGCTTGTCAGAAGTGGACATTCTTGGCTGGGTGCAGTGGCTCATGCCTGTAATTCCAGCACTTTGGGAGGCTGAGGTGGTTGGATCACTTGAGGTCAGGAGTTCGAGACCAGCCCAGGCAACGTGGCAAAACCCCCACTCTTCTAAAAATACAAAAATTAGCTGGGTGGTTGCATAGACTTGCGCCTATAGTCCCAGCTACTCAGGAGGCTGAGGCGGGAGGATCGTTTGAGCCCAGGAAGTGGAGGTTGCAGTGAGCCAAGATCACGCCACTCACTGCAGCCTGAGTGAGAAAGGAAAAAGAAAGAGACCCTGTTTAAAAAAAAAAAAAAAAAAAAAAAAAAAAGCAGAATCTGAGGCCCCACCCCAGGCCCTATGCATCAGCATCAGAATCTTGTTAGTTCTCCAAAAGATTCTGCTGCCTGCTTTAAGGCAGTGATTGTGAGGGCAGAATCGGTGTGTCAGGGGTCCTCCTGAAGAGACACCAGCCAGGGCTCTGCCCCCGGGGGCCTGGAGGGAGGAGGAGCAAAGGCACCTGCATTTTAAAGCTTCACAGTGATCTGAGGCAACTTCTTGGTTATGAATCAAAAAATTTTAAAATATTTTAACTAAAATCTTGGACTAAAACTTCTCATTGTCAATAAACCTTACCCTTGCTAGTAATCCAATTTGTTCCATACAACAGGTGGTGGTGGGAGATTAGAAACACATGTATTCTTACCTTTTCCTACTACTTACTGACACTCTAATCATCAGAATTTCTTCTCAATTCAAAATAAAAGATTCTCTATTGCTGTTATTCAAAATAATTACCTTCTTGCTAGGTAAAGTCTCATCGAAGGTAATGTTTTAATTTCTTTTCCAGCTTGATGCCATTCTGGCCTCCCCCGATTTCCTCAATGCTCATAGTCCTTCCTGTATTCTTAGCTTAAATATTAAGCAATTTTACTTTAATTTACATCCAATAATTGATACTTGTTGAAAGATTGACTGGTAAATAACAATGACAATTGGGAGCTTTTTAAAAAAATAGAATTATTTTATTTAAGCAGGCTATATGCCATTTAGCCTATTTTTTTCCTTAAAATACTTAATAACTTCCATGAAGACTGTACCAGGCATACTTAATAAGCAAACTTCGTAGTAAAATTACTTTAATTCAGCATACGTTCCTGCCTTCAATAAACACTAAGCAAGAAACAGGTTTATATTTATTATATTTCTTAGGTTGAACTAAAATCAAGATTTCACACAGAGAGTATGTTTAGGCGTGATTTTGTTTTGATAAAGGGAACATGAAAAACAGAAGCCTCTCAGCCAGGTGCGGTGGTGCACACCTTTAGTCCAAGCTGCTCAGGAGGCTGAGGCAGGAGGAGAGCTTGAACCCAGGAGTTCCAGGCTGCAGTGCTCTATGACCCACGCCTGTGAACAGCCACCGCCCTCCAGCAAGGGTGACATAGCAAAACCCCATATCTAAAACAAACAAACCAAAACCCATAAACCTTTTGTCTTTAATTAAAAGAAAGGAATTGTGACCGTATGTTATGAAAAAGACTTCTGACTTTACTAATCTGTTCAATGAATTAACCAACTGCATTTTCCCATACTCCAAATGGCAATGCCATTGCGACCATTTTAAAATTATTAAATTATATTCAGAATTATGATGAATTGGACCAGGTGTGGTGGCTCACGCCTGTAATCCCAGCACTTTGGGAGGCCAAAGTGGGTGGATCACCTGAAGTCAGGATTTTGAGACCAGCCTGGCCAACATGGTGAAACCCCATCTCTACTAAAAATACAAAAATTAGCTGGGTGTGGTGGCCGGTGCCTGTAATCCCAGCTACTTGGGAGGCTAAGGCAGAAGAATCGCCTGAACCGAGGAGGCAGAGGTTGCAGAGATCATGCCACTACACTCCAGACTGGGCGACAAAAGCGAGACTCTGTCTCAAAAAAAAAAAAAAAAAAAATTGGCTGGGTGCGGTGGCTCACGCCTGTAATCCCAGCACTTTGGAAGGCTGAGGTGGGCGGATCGCGAGGTCAGGAAATCGAGACCCTCCTGGCCAACATGGTGAAATCCCGTCTCTACTAAAAATACAAAAATTAGCTGGGCGTGGTGGCGTGTACCTGTAGTCCCAGCTACTTGGGAGGCTGAGGCAGGAGAACTGCTTGAACCTGGGAGGCAGAGGTTGCAGTGAGCTGAGATCACACCACTGCACTCCAGCCTGGTAACAGAGTGAGACTCTGTCTCAAAAAAAAAAAAAAAAAAAAAGAATCAATTTGTATTCATAGGCAGAAGATGAAAAAAATGAAGTCTCTTTTTTCCTACAGAGCAATATCAAATACTGTGCATGCTCATATTATCGATGAATTATCTGTTGTTGTTACTATCCTAGAATGAGCATTTAAGTTTTCTTCCCTAAGAGCAAGCATGGTAGGCAGATATATTTTCCTTTAGAATTCTTCAATATGCAAGCCACACAAGAAAACTGTTCTGGATAGCCATTATTACCCATTTTACTGGGATTAAAAAAGGCATTTCCCAGATGAACACCAACCTTATTCATCCCCATTTAGCTCTAAATTAATGTTGGTGGTTTAAAAAAATTAAGTCTGCCTTCAATGGAGAAAGAGTTGTCACTACTAATGATATTCAAAGAAACAGTATCATAGTAACATTCCAAAATTATCTCAAGCAATAAAGAGCATCAGTTCTGGAATAAGGGCATAGTTTCTCCAGTTAAATATGACTCATTTTGATGTGAAGCATGACTAATTTAGATTTAAAAAGTCACGTGATGTTCCCATATGATTAGGTATCTTATACTCCCTCCTAGAATCATCTAGAAGTAACAAAAATATGTGTTTTTCATAAGCAAATCTAAATTTCTAGTTGGGCAATAAGATAGCATAACTGAAGCAATTAAATGTAAGATATTTATTAAATAAAAAGGTTACACTATGATTTTTATACACTGTTGAAAACAATGACTTTTATTTACTTAAAGCCAGCAGTAGTTCCCATTACTCTCATAATGTTATAGTTAAGGCTTGATTTAGTTCCAGAAAATAAATAGGGTAAATTTTTAATATTTCCCTAGCTCTGTCTGCTATAGGGAATTTCAGAGTATGAAGGTAAGATGAAGCAGATATATAAGAACATTTTTAGATAATGACAATTTTTCCTTAAAATTTGGTGAAAATTTAGTTTCTTCTCAAAATTCTGTACTTCTATCCATAAAAGTAAATTTCTATTTTAGTAGCTCTGTAAGAACTAGGCCAGAGAAGAGTATTACCCATAATAGTAAATAGCAAATACTTTGGCAAGTCTGAATTAGAGTACAAGTGAAGACATTCACAAACACACTTTTTACATCTCCTGGATGTGGTACGGGCTGTATGTTAGAATTAAAGCATCACAACTATCTGACTGTAGGGTGCTGGTGGGCAATGCAATCAATCAACACGTCTACCCCAACAGATGTGGAGACGCATGGAAAAAATACATCAACCAAAGTGGTCAGGGAGAACAAAACACAGAAAACACCATAAAACTGAAGACATTATCTCTTCTTGTCTGAAAAAAGGGGTTCCCTGGAGCACAGAAAGTATTTATCAGGGGAGTGCTTCTATTCTGTTATCACAGGAGGGCTTGATGCAGATTCTGGCCATTCATACACATCTGGCAGCAGGGAATCATATTCACTCCGCCATGTTCTTTCTTTAACATATTTGGCCTTGTCTTCAGGTTCTGGGTATCGGAAAGCCATTTTATTAGCATATAGGTATTCTGTAACCTGAAAAATAAGTAAGGTTATTGTGTAGGCTCTGAGTATTAACCTATTAGAGAGACAACGTACTATTATAACACAGGAAAATAAGTTTAGAAGAATGGCATTCTTCTTTTTTCACAGTAAAAAATAACATTGCTTTGACTCCTTTCAAAACATTTGGAAACTATGGAAAGTTTAAAAGATAAAACCAAACACATTTAAGTTCTACTGTGTCATTCTAGTAAATACATTTAGATAACCTGCCCAGCCTATGTCATTCCTCCCAGTCTTGCTGAAAGAGTGGCCTTTCTAGAGGGGCACAGAGACTATTTCCTAATCACAGCCAACTTGACCAGGAAGAAAACCTAACCCAAGGTGAGAGAGAGGTTTCTGCTCTAGAATTTGGATTAAGAGGCATAGTAATTATTATAAATCAGGATTTAGACACTAGAACTATAAGGTCAGGTGAAGTCAGGGCTAGAACCTATACAGGGGAACTGACACCACTATCACTGAGTGCCAGGCACTTTCTATGTGTTTTACAAGGATACCTCCTTTACTCTCGACAAGAACCCCAGGAGATAAGTGCTATCATTATTCTCATTCTGCATATGAGGAATGAGAGGAGTTTAAGTAACTTGCCCAAGGTAGTTACTTGAGAGCTGTTTCAAACCCAAAGCATTCTGAGTCTAGATATTAGACCCTCAACAGTAAGCTCGACTACTCCCCACCAAAGGTGGCTTGAGTGAATTTCAAATTCTCCACCCAAGCCACACACCATGATTGGTGGTGAGAATAAGCCCTTGAACCTCAGTTCTGATATAAAATGAGGAATGTGAAACACTTCCTCACAGGGTAGCACAGCACCTCTCACACAGTAAAGTTCTGAAGTCATGGTTTTATTTATTTATTTATTTATTTATTTATTTAAGATGGAGCCTTGCTCTGTTATGGATTTATTTATTTATTTATTTGAGATGAAGCCTTGCTCTGTCACCCAGGCTGGAGTGCAGTGGCACGATCTCAGCTCACTGCAACCTCCATCTCCTGGGTTCAAGCGATTCTCCTGCCTCAGCCTCCCCAGTAGCTGGGACTACAGGCATGCAACACCATGCCTGGTAAATTTTTGTATGTTCAGTAGAGATGGGGTTTTGCCATGTTGGCTAGGCTGCTCCTGAACTCTTGACCGCAGGTGATCCGCCTGCCTCAGCCTACCTAAGTGCTAAGATTACAGGCATGAGCCACCATGCCCGGCAGGTTTTATTTTAACTTAAAAAAATGTAGTGACATATGGTAGAAAAAATTCAAACAATTATAAGATGTCGCTCTCCTCCTCTAATTCTCATTCCAAATGGTAACCATTATTAAAGTTTCATATTTCAACTTTCTAAAAGAAAAATCTCAGAATAAGATGGTTATTAAAAAATAATCCTTGGTACCAAGAACTCAATCTCAGTGTATTTTGTGATAGAAAATGTGTTCAATTGTTTTCTGTTCTATTATAGAAAACATATTTTACTAATATTTTATTATCACTGACTAGGAAAAAGAAGTAGGGAAGGGCTAGATCCTCAGTGGCAGGTAACTGCAATAAAGATCTGAGGTTAAAAACCTAAGGGCTGGCTGGGCGTGGTGGCTCACACCTATGATCCCAGCACTTTGGGAGGCTGAGGCAGGTGGATCACCTGACGTCAGGAGTTTATGAGACCAGGCTGGCCAACATGGTGAAACCCTGTCTCTACTAAAAATACAAAAATTAGTCAGGCGTGGTGGCGGGCACCTGTAATCCCAGCTACTCAGGAGGCTGAGGCAGGAGAATCACTTGAACTTGGGAGGCAGAGGTTGTGTTGAACTGAGATTGCACCACTTCACTCCAGCCTGGGCGACAGAGTTGAGACTCCATCTCAAAAACAAACAAACAAACAAAAAACCTAAGGGCCAAATAAACATAACATGTCATTAGTACAGTTTGTTGACCAAATTGCTCTTCTCAGTTTTTGTACTAAACAGGAAAAACAGGAATGATATAAAAAGACAGGCAGAGATTTTTGCTTCCAGGAGGATGGAATAAACACATTTTTCCTCATTCCTTCCGACCTTGGAGAGCTGAACACGTGGCCTGCCTGATGTGAGGGGCAGTGGGAGGTGTTCTGAAGCCAGTGAGCAGCATAATTAACATAAATAAATAAATATAAATTTATAAATAAATGAATGAAGGAGAGAAGGCGGCAGACTAGACACAGAAACTCTCACTTGTGGCAGAGCATGGGAGGGAGAATGAGGCAGTGGCCACCATGCATACAATAAGAAGTCAGCTAAAATTTTAAGGAACTGCCAAAGGTCAATGTGAGCTAGTGTTTTATTCTGGAACAACTGCAAGCTTTAGACATAAGGGGGGCTCACACTCACTGCAAATCTCTTTCCCACAGGCTGGTAGTAACCACAGAAAAAGATTACGGGCAAGGCATGAGATTGGAGAAAGCTCCCCTTGGTCCTGGAGGCATGCAGAAGGTGACTGGTGGCTGTCAGAGGAGCACACACAGCCCTGCTCATAGAGCCAAAGGGGTGAATCAGTGGCTATTTGGGGTGGGGACAGACACAAAGCTCTGCCTCCTCTACTCACCACTTCCTTATTTGCTCCTAAAAAGAAAAGCCTATGCCACTGCAGACACAGCACACTCTCTACTCCTGCCTCTGGGGAAACGCAGAGACATGAACCTGGGCCTCTGTTGCTATACTAATCCTAAGCAGAGGTCTCCTTCTATGACCTCATGTACTACCTCTCATTTGGATATACCAATTATTTCTCTCTCTTTTTTCTTTCTTAGAGACAGGGTCTTGCTCTGTCACCCACACTGGAGTGCAGTGGTATGATCATAGCTCACTGCAGCCTTGGCCTCCTGTGTTTAAGTGATCCTCCCACCCCAGCCTCCTGAGTAGGTGGGACTACAGGCACATATCACTGTGCCCGGCTAATTTTTTTTTTGGTAGAGATGAGATCTTGCTTTGTTGTCCAGGGATGGTCTTAAACTTACAGCCTCAAGTCATCCTCCTGCCTTGGCCTTTGAAAGTGCTGTGATTACAGGAGTGAGCCACTCTGCCTGGCCCAGTAATCTCTTAACTGACTAATATCTTCCAAAATCTCTCCCACCTGTAATATCATTCTATAAATTCTAAAGTTGGACTCTATCATCCTAGTTCTGGGCTCTAAAATCTTCAACTGTTTTGCAGTAGAAGGTAATCATACTCCTTAGCCTGGCATTTGTATATTTGTACAGCTGGCTTTAATATAACTTTCAAATTTTCTTCCATGCCATTTCCCTACCTGTTCCCCCAGGCTCAACTATTATTCCCTGAACATACCATCCTTTACCAATTCCCAATCTTTGCTTAGGTTACAGGCACCAAAATAATGTAATAATAAAATTAATAGTCAAAGCTGGCCACAGTGGCTCACATCTATAATCCCAGCACTTTGGGAGGCCAAGGTGGGCAGATCTCCTGAGCTCAGGAGTTTGAGACCAGTCTGGGCAACAATGCAAACCCCCATCTGTACCAAAAATGCAAAAAACAATTAGCTGGACATGATGGTGCATGCCTGTGGTCCCAGCTACTCGGGAGGCTGAGGTGGGAAGATCGCTTGAGCCTGGGAGGCAGAGGTTGCAGTGAGCTGAGATCACGTCGCTGCACTCCAACCTGGGTGACAGAGTAAAACTCGGCCTCAAAATAAATAAATAAATAAATAAATAAATTTAATAGTCAAAATGATAAAATTTTATGATCAACTGTATGGAAGTTGAAATTGTGGCTGATAAATTCCACAGTCAATCCTAATGTTTAAGAAAAATCTTAGTAATCTAGAAATAGAAGACTACTTCTTTTAAAAAGTAGAAAATACTTATTTCAATCAAAAGCTAGCATCATATTTAATATTAACATACAAAGATGTTAGCCAGGTGTGGTGGCATGTGCCTCTAGCTACTCGGGAGGCTGTGGTAGAAGGATCACTTGAGCCTAGGAGTTTGAGATCAGCTTGGCAACATAGACTCTGTCTCTAAATTGAAAAAAAAATACAAGAATACCCTTATCAACCTAATTGCTTAAGACTATTCTGCAGTTTCAGCTGATTTATAGTTAGAGAAAAACGGACTATGCATATTAAAAAAAGAAAAAATTACTTGCAGACAATTAAAAACTCAACAATTCCAAATGAAATGAAAAACTATTAAAATAAGATTGTTCAAAAAACTGGTCATCAAGTAAATTCATAAAAATGAATGTTTTCAAATTAGTATTATTCCTACCTTTTCCTATATATTAGAAATGATCAATGAGAAGATACTTGGAAAGAAAAAAAAGTCTTTGTTAGAAAAACAGAAATTTAAAAATATTTAGAAAAAAGTAAAAATGCCATATTCAGATGAAGAAAACAAAATTATACTGAAACACTTTTTAAAAAAGATCTTAATAAGTAAAGAGAGATAGTGATTGGAGAATACTCAATACTGAAAGACCCAACTTCACCAATTTATAAATGCAACAATTTCATACAAAGTTGCAGAGTTTTTTAAAATTAAAAAAGCAGATACAAAAACTTGTCCAGAAGAAAACAATTTAGAACAGTCAAGAAAACACTGAAAAAGCATAATGATGGGAAAGATAAAGTACTAAATGTTACATTATACACATTATAAAATTTAAAACAGTGTCAGATAGTAAACAAAAATGGTCAGGAATAGAAATCCCAGGAACAGATTCAATTCCCAATTAACTGTAAACAACGGACGCATTAATCAATAAATAATGCTGGGGCAACTGGTTAACTACTCAGGAAAAAATGTTTCCCTTTCTCATATCATACATTAAAATAAATCCCAGAGAGATTAAAAAAGTTTTATTTTAGAAAATGCAAGTAGACAGTTATGATTTTGGAGTGACAGAAGGCATTAATATTCATAAAAGGTGAGGAGAGAATCCACAAAATAAACAAATAATTCCATAAAAAACTTTTAAAAGACATGTCAAACAATTCTATAAAGTTAAAACAAATGACAAGTGGGAAAATATCTGCACCACAGCAAACAGTATATATACACTTAATATATATATATTAATTCTTCAATCTCACTAATAATGCCTTAATAATGAGAAACAATTTTACCTATTAAATATGCAAGATTAAAAAAATAATTCTAAGTATTGGAAAAAGTGTGGAAAAAGATACACTCATATCTAATTGCTGCAATGTAAATCAGTACTTTTTCTGAAGAGCTCATTTGACAATATGCATCAGAAGCCTTAAAACACCTTAAAAACCTTTGTTCTTAAGCTTAGAATTTATCCCAAAAAAAAAAAAAACCATCACAGCCCGGGCGTGGTGGCTCACGCCTGTAATCCCAGCAGTTTGAGAGGCCAGGGCCGGTGGATCACCTGAGGTCAGGAGTTCGAGACCAGCCTGACCAACATGGTGAAACCCCGTCTCTACTAAAAATACAAAAAATTAGCTGGGCATGGTGGTGGGCATCTGTAATCCCAGCTACTTGGGAGGCTGAGGCAGGAGAGTTGTTTAAACCTGGGAGGCAGAGGTTGCAGTGAGCCGTGAGCTGAGATTCCGCCACTGCACTCAAGCCTGGGTGACAGAGCAAGACTCTGTCTCAAAAAAAAAAAAAAAAAAAAAAAAAAAAAAAGAAACCATCACAAATACACACAAAGATTTATCTGTAAAGACAGATGTTCATTACGCTGTTATTTCTTTCTTTCTTTTTTTTTTTTTTTTTTTGAGATGGAGTTTTGCTCTTGTGGCCCAGGCTGGAGTGCAATGGCACGATCTCAGCTCACTGCAACCTCCTTCTCCCAGGTTCAAGTGATTCTCCTGCCTCAGCCTCCAGAGTAGCTGGGATTACAGGTGCCCACCACCATGCCTGGCTAACTTTTTTTGTATTTTTAGTAGAGACGGGGTTTCACCATGTTGGCTGGGCTGGTCTCGAACTCCTGACCTCAGATGTTCCACCTGCTTCGGCCTCCCAAAATGCTGGGATTACAGGTGTAAGCCACTGCGCCCAGCCTACAGTGTTATTTCTAACAATAAGAAGCTAAAAACTTAAATGTCCAAAAACAGAGAAATGATGAAACAAATTTTGAAAAAATAATAAAGAGAATGCCATGCAGCATTAATGATCACATACATGAGAATTATTATTAAGTTACATGGAAAAGACTTACAATATATTAAGGGGAAAAAGTGCAGTAAGAAACCAATTATAAGAATGGGCACAGGCCAGGTGCTGTGGCTCATGCCAGTAATCCAAGCACTGTGGGAGTCCAAGGCAGGAGGATCGCTTCAGGCCAAGGGGTTAGAGACCAGCCTGGGCAACACAGGAAGACCCCTATCTCTATTCTTTAAAACAATTTTTCAAAAAGGCACAAGTGACTACATGCATGTGTGTATGCATGTATGTGTTTGCAAAGAAAAAAGACTAGAAGGCAACAAACCCAAAATAATCATGTGTGTTATATTCTGGTAGTAAGAATATGGGCCTAAAATTTCTTCTTTGCAGCCTTCTAAATGTTTCAGATTTATCTTAATAAACCTGTATTTCTTGTATAAGAAAATGTCATTAAAATTAATGTGAAGAAGTTTAAGTTATTACTTACTTTAATAGCAATGTTAATAGAAACTTCCTGAATATTAGCAAGCGGTGGGTAAAGTCTCCCTTGGGCTAGCTCTTCATCTGTCAATTGGCTTGTCAGGGCCTGAAGAGAAAAACAGCATTTTGCTTTTGTTTGTTTAAATAACAGAATAAGGACCCAGTAAATGGAAAAAGCATTGGGGAAACAGAGAGTAAAACAGGTAATATAATTCCTCTTATTTCTTGAAGGAATACACTTAAACCACTGCAGAAATTAAAACTGTTCATCACTAAACAATAAATAACCAGATTTAAAGACTTATTGATTATATTCTGCTTTATATTACACATGTAGAGCTTGGCTTAATTGCAATGGCTACTTTGAAAACAGACATTAATTGTATTAATGTGAGTTCTTCAGAAATACTTCAAAGTCTGGAGCTCCCATAGGCCAGCACTCCAAATAATACCAGTACTTGTCCATTAAAAACATGCAAGGAGTTATCTATGCTGTCACAATATATTCAGATATACAAATTGCAAGTATAGTCTAAGTGTTATTAAAACGAGAGGATTCAGTTTACAAAAATTTAAGTCATGATTAAAAAAATTAATTTTATGCATAAATAGGCAAATCATAAAAGTAATTTGAGTAACTTCCTTTTCATTAATAAGGCAGATTTAACCCATTCTCTCTCTGCCTTTAATTTTCAGATCTACTCATCTTTATAATTCATCCTTTATAAAATAAACAACATTTAAAACATTTACCTTTGCAGCTTCTAGGAAAACACTGTCACTAATATGCCGGGTGTTACAGAGAATAACAGCTAAAGCCACACCTAGAACACATTTTAAAGTTTACTAGTATGGTCACTTTTCAAATTATGAAAGAAGTAAATTCCTATATTCAGGCAAATAAATGGTAATCCATCCACATCGCAAACAGCTCCCCCCAAACAGAAAACAGCCAAGAAGAAACAGAAATCTGAGTTAAAATCAAACGATCTTTAATAATTCTTATTCGCTAAGTAATTTCAGAAATATCAAATGGCTTTTCTCAGTTTAGTTTTTACATTTATGAAAATGACAAATACATACAATTCATCAACGCTTGTTTTAACTCCAGTTCCCAGCCCACCTCTAACACTCCACTTCTTGCTCTACAGAGGCAATGACAATTTTTTTTAGCTGATTGTTTCTCTCTCTCACTCTTAAATAACTTATGTTTCTTGTGATTTTTTTTTCTCTCTCTCTCTCTTTTTTTTTTTCTTTTTTTTTTTGCCTTCTCTTATTGTGCTGATCTTGCATTTTCTGTTTTGGAGATCACTGACTCTTTCCTGTAGGAGTAAATATTTAGCGCTCTTTCATATTTTCAGCTTTCTTTCTTCTTCCCAATATAGTTAGAGCATAATTGTGGTTCAATCAATATTCAATGTTTATATCATGGTTACTTTTCCTTTTCTGCATAACTTTGTCTTTCCTGAAGTTAATAATTGTCCTTTTTCCTTTACTTTGATTTTTTAGTATTTAACATTGTTATTTCACCCTTGAACTCTCACTCAATTGTCTACATTTTCTTCTATTTTAGCTACTTTATATATTCTCGAATTTCCTGCTCTAGAATATATCTACTAAAGCTCCATTCTGGTCTGGTTGTCCCCCATTCCAGCTATGGAGCTGTCATCCTAGAAAACCCCTTTATCATTACAGGCCTCTTTGCTTCTTTCTAAGTTGATTCCATTTCCCAAATACAACTTTTCCTAGTTTATTACTCCCTCTTTTGGTAGGGTACATTCTCCCAAGGCTTTCTGAAGAACAGTGCATGGGAGATATATATTTTTTGAAATCTTGCATTTCTGAAAATGTGTTTGTTTACTTCTTTCTACTTATATTTGATAGTTTGTCTAGGTTTAGAATTCTGGCTTGGAAATATTTTTCCTTCAGAACTGTGAGGTATTATTCCAATACCATCTAGCTTCCAGTGCTGGTGAGAAGCATCAATCTGAGTTCAGAGCCTTTTCAGGTGATTGTTTTCGTTTAATCTCTGGATGCATGTAGGATCCCTTTTAAAAAAAAATTTTTTTGGCAACAGGGTCTCGCTCTGTCACTCAGGCTGGAGTACAGTGGCACAAGCTCACTGCAACCTCAACCTCCCTGGACTCAAGCGATCCTCCTACCTCAGCTTCCTGAGTAGCTGGGATTACAGGCATGTACCATCGCACCTGGCTAATTTTTTTATTTTTTGTAGAGACAGGGTTTTACTATGTTGCCCAGGCTGGTTTCAAACTTCTGGACTCATGCAATCCTCTTGCCTCAGCCTCCCAAAGTGCTGGGATTACAGGCATGAGCCACTGTGCCCAGCCAGATCCTTATTTTTATACCTAACGGTCTACAATTTCATAACACTGTGCCTTGATGTGCATTATTTTAATTCATCATGTTTAGCATTCAGTGAGTAGGCGCTTCCTATCTGAAAACACGAGTCTTTCAGTTTTGGGAAATGTTCATGAAGTCTTGAGGATTCACTTCCCTCCATTTTTCTGTTCTTGTTCCCTGACATTTATATTTTCTGATATTGTACCTCTTGGATTGGCTCTCTAATTTTCTTTATTTTCCTTCTCCTGTCCTTTGCTCTCTTTTTAGGTGACTTAACTCATCTTTTTCTTCTTTCTGCTATCAAACTTTATTTTTAGGAGCTTGTTTTGCTTTCTATTTTTTTAAAAAATAAAAATCTGTCTTTATAGGATATAATATTTTGTCCCCCTGAGGATATTGATAATTTTTAAAACTTTCCTTCTCTTCCCATTATCCTTGTTTTTTTCCCCAAGATGTCTTTTTCTGTTTGTCTGCTTTGGTCTCTTTTATGAAAATCTTTAATAAAGAGACTTTCTTCAGATGACTAGTAATCTTCAAGCATTTCTCACATTTAAGAGTTAAGAACTAGAGAAAATGATTGGAAGCTATGAGCATGAGGGTGGGGTTTACCTCCTCTGAGCATCACCGCACATGCTTTTAAACTTCCTATTTTCTAGCACCTCTGTCCTCAACTATGTCTGGTGTCTCCCAGCCTAGAAACACTGTTTTACTCTATTCAAAGAATATCCCAACTGGCTTTGAGGAAGGGTAGTCACCAGATTACCTCATGACTGAGAAGATCACATGGTTAATAGCATTTTTTTAAGTAGAGAATGTGGTCCATTTAGATTTAATGTGGTTTTTACTTTTACTTTTAGTTTTTTTTTTTTCAAGTAATTGGGGCAGATTTAGCCCCCAAACATTTAGTCTCATCACTCTCATCTCATCTTGTCTTGCCTATGTTCCTTTTCCTCTTTTTTCTTGCTTTTCGGATTTTTGTTGTTTCATTTCATCCCAACATTACCTTACCATAAACAGGAAGTCTTTGTAGTGTTTTAATGGTTATCCTAAAATTTATATCATGCATCTTTAACCACCAACGTTCTACATTAAATTTTTTTTTGAGACAGGGTCTCGCTCTATTGCCCAGGCTACAGTGCTGTGGCACGACCAAAGCTTGCTGTAACCTCAAACTCCTAGGCTCAAGTGATCATCTGTCCTCGGTGTCTGGAGTAGCTGGGACTACAGGCACATGTCACCACACCTGGCTAGTTAAATTTTTTTTGTGTGTGTAGAGACAGAGTCTCCCTATGTTGCCAGGGCTAGTCTCAAACTCTTGGCCTCAAGTGATCCTCCCATCTTGACATCCCAAAGTGCTGGGATTATGGGTGTGAGCCAATGTCCCCAGCTCCACATTATAATTTTTAATTTACCTTCCTGTCAATCAATGTAAGTCCCACATAACAGCTTAACTCTATTTAACGGAGCTATTGTTGTTGTGCATTTTAATTCTCTCTATATATATTTTTCAAAATCCCATGTGATGTTTGTTTCACTCTATATAAACAACATTCATTTTGTTGTACCCACCCACTTATTCATAACTTTCTTTGCTTTTCATTCCTTCCTACACCTTAGGGTTTCTATGTGGGATTATTTTCTTTTTCCCTAAGGAACAAAATTTCCTTTCCTTTAATATAAAAACAGTCTGCCAGGTGGTGAATCCCCGGTTTTTTGTTTTTCTGAAAAATGTCTTCATTTTGCTTTAATTCTTGAAGGATATTTTCACTGTGTAATGAATTCTAGGTTGGCAAGTATTTCCCATAAGCAACTTTAATAGGTCATTACCACTGCCTTGGTATCTTATTGTCACTGAGGAGTCTGCTGTCAGTCTAACGGTCGCTTCTTTGAAGGAAATCTTTTTGTTCTGACTGCTTTCATATTCTTCTCTTTGTGGTGATTCTGAAGCCTCACAATAATGTTCCTAGATGTAGATTTCTTTTTATGCATCCCACATGGGTTTCTGTGAGCTTTTTGAATATTGATTGTCAATCACCAGTTCTAAAAAAAAAACTCAGCCATGAGGCCGGCACATGTTGCCTCTGCTTCATTCTCATTTCTTCTAGGACTTCAATTAAAGATCTATCAATGAAATGTATGTCCCTTACCTATTTTTTTTTCTTTTTGGTCTCTCTGTGCTGCATTCTGGATTGCTTCTTCTGAGATATTTTCCAGTTGATTAATTCTCTCTGGTCTAATCTGCCATAAGCCTCATTCACTCTTTTTTTTTTTTTTTTTTTTTGAGACAGGGTCTTGCTCTGTCACCCAGGCTGGAGTGCAGTGGCCCAATCATGACTCACTCCAGCCTTGACCTCCCAAGCTCGAGTGATCTTCCCATCTCAGCCTCCTGAATAGCTAGGACTACAGGCATATGCCACTATGCCTGGCTAATTTTTTTTTTTTTTTTAATTTTATAGAGATGGGGGTCTCACTACGTTGCCAGGGCTGGTCTCAAACTCCTGGGCTCAAGCAATTCTTCCACCTTGGTCTCGCAAAGTGCTGGGATTACAGGCATGAGCCACTACACCCAGCTCACTCAGTTCTTATAGACTACTACATTTTTCAATTCTAGAATTTAGTGGTACTTGTCTTAAGTTTTTAAGATTGGCTTTTATCTCTATAAACATAATAAGCATATTTGTTTCATAGCATTTACGGTATATCCAGGGTTTCAGTGTGTCTGTTTTTCTTGTTTTTGCTGGTTTTGGCTTCTGTTGTTATGTCTCTTTATGTGCCTCATTATCTTTTTTTTTATTTTTCTACTTAGGTTGTACTTGAAAATTTATAAAAATAATTTGAGGACTAGGATGCCATTATCTTATTTCAGAGAAATTTTTGTTTGCTTCCGCTGGGCACTTGTGGGCACTGGCAGTCCCGAACAGAGGCTTGAGGTTTTCTAAATCACCCATTGCTGCTGCAAACTATACCCCCAATCCAAGGTACAGCACTTTAGGGTTTCAGTCCAGAGTGGGAGGTAGTGCCAGACTCGGACATGGTGCCGATCTTGTCCACTTTCCATGAAAAGCACAGCTGTACCTCTTAGCCACTTTCTTCCTGGTCTATATTTCCACTGTAAAACTGGCTTCAAAAGCTTGTTCTGTGCATTTGTTCCCTCCCTAACCTTGGTCCAGAATTCTCCAATATTCCATTAGAGTCAATATCTTATCCCTTTGACCCTTTTAAAGTCTTAAAAAAAATTTTCATCCGGTTGTTATAGTTGCTCAACTAGGTCATTCAAATATTAACAGTTTTTTTTTTAAGTTGCTTTATAAACAGACTTTCAGCCAATCCTCCTGCTTTTAGGCTCATTTCTGCCTCAAATGCCAGGTCATTTTATTTTATTTTTTTGAGACAGTCTCACTTTGTTGCCCAGGCTGGAGTGCACTGGCATGATGATGGCTCACTGCAGCCTGGACCTCCCAGGCTCATGCGATCCTTCCATCTCAGCCTCCTGACTAGCTGGGAATAGGGGTGTGCACCACTACACCTGGTTAATTTTTTTAATTTTTGGAAGAAACAAGGTCTCACTATGTTGCCCAGGCTGGTGTCAAACTTCTGGCCTCAAGCAATCCTCCTGCCTCGGCCTCCCAAAATGTTGGGATTACAGGCGAGAGCCACCATGCCTGACCAGGTCATTTTTAATGTCTATATTTATGGTATCCATAGCTGTTATTTAAGTTAGGATTTTAAAGTGTTATATAAAAATAATCAACTGCTAAATTCCTTAATACTCAGATATGATATAAAATATGGTTTTGCTGAATTTAGAACAACCATTCGACCCAGCAATCCTATTATTGGGTATATACTCAAAGGAATATAAATCATTCTACCATAAAGACACATGCATGTGTATGTTCACTGCAGCACTATTCACAATAGTAAAGACATAGAATTAATCTAAATGCCCATCAATGGTAAACTGGATAAAGTAAATGTGGCACATATACACCATGTGTATAAATAAAAAAAAATACTATGCAGCCAAAAAAATGAATGAGATCACGTCCTTTGCAGTAACATGCATGGAGCTGGAGGCTATTATCCTAAGTGAACTAACACAGGAACAGAAAACCAAATGCCGTATGTTCTCACTTGCAAGTGGAGCTAAGTGATAAGAACTCATGGACACAAAGAAGGGAACAACAGACACTGGGGCCTACTTAAGGGTAGAGGGCGGGAAGAGGGTAAGGATCAAACAACTACCTATCGGGTAGCATGCTTATTAGCCGGGTGATGAAATAATCTATACATGAAACCCCCTGCAACACACAATTTACCTATATAACAAACCTTCATATGTACCCCTGGAACTAAAAAAAAAAAGTTTAAAAAAATAGCTTTGTTAAAATCAGCAGAAAAGTATTTCCTTTCCTGCCCTCATGTCTTTTAGGCCATAGAAATGTTACTGAATAGAACACATTAATTTTGAACATTATCAAGTTCTAGAAAGAGATTATGGATGACAGGACAGTTTCTATTATAGAAGTTAGGTCTCAAGAGACATATAGGAAAACATGAGGGGCAAAAAAAAGGAGAAAAATATAGAAAAGTACCAGGATATTCACAGACTAAATACCCTCTTTACTTTGACAACAGTTATACATGCTTGCCTGATGCCAGCCTATATAAACTTGTCATATCTTAATTAGAGCCTGCTGTCAGCTAGTCAGGGAAAGACCTACCAGAAGAAAAAAGACACAAGTGCAAAAGAAAATCATACAAAATTCCTGTTTTACTCAACACAGTCTTGCTTAAAAGAAAGAGACAACTGAGGATCACTAGAAATTTATGGAAAATACAGCACAAAGGCAGAAACATTGAAAGGAATCCTAATAATTCTCCAGAAAAAGCTCAATGAGTACTGTAACCATTTTTGCTTTAAAAGTAGCTATTTAGAAAGAGCAATTCTAGAATAAAAAAGGTATTGGGAATAAAAATAAGTTGTTGAACTGAGGTAATGATAAACGATATTAAGCAATTATTATTAATTTCCTTTGGTGTGATACCAGTATACTGGGTGTATCTTACAAAATAAGAACACCTGGCTGGGCGTGGTGGCTCACACCTGTAATCCCAGCACTTTGGGATGGGCAGAACACCTGAGGTCAGGAGTTCGAGACCAGCCTGGTCAACATGGTGAAACCCCATCTCTACTAAAAATACAAAAATTAGCTGAGTGTGGTGGTGCATGCCTGTAGTCCCAGATACTCGGGAGGCTGAGGCAGGGGAACTGCTTGAACCTGGGAAATAAATCTATCAGTCACGATGGTAACCATCAGAAGAACTCCCAGCAAATTATTGACAATGGTTCTGAGAAGTATGATTAAGGAGGTACACCAAGGGGAGATAGAAAGGGTTACATAATTTTGTGCCATTCTGTTCCTCTGCATTTTTACAAATCATGCAATATATTATTTCTATAATAAAAACAAATTTAATTAACAATATGAATAAATTTTCAGAGAAAGTGGAGCATGCTGAATTTGATGAATTCCTTGAGTTTCCTTGTACATTTATACCAAAATTCTGTAATACTGTTGCTCAGTTCAGTCTCCCATTCCAAAGAATTCCATTAAGTATTTTTACATAATTAACTATTGCTCTATAACATAAATAATGGTGGCATTTACCTGGAAAAATATAAACATTGTTTCCTTGACCTGGTGTAAAGACTCGCCCATCTGTAAGTTTCACTGGCCCAAATGGACTGCCACTGGCAAACAAACACCTGCCCTGTTAATAAAATGAAATAACTTCAATTTTGTTATTTTCTGTGGATGAGAAAATTGAGGTGAATTCATACAAAATCAAGTCCTGAAGTAAAATAGACCAATATATTACTTGGAAGCAAGGCATAATATACTATATAACAATCTTTTCGTTACAATCCTTTTGTTAGAATGAGGTTTGTTTCATGTGTAGTATACATTCAATAAATAAATAATAAAGTTAAAAATCATTTATTACTAAAAATTTAAAAACCAGACACTTATTTTTAAGAAATTTAAGGCCAGGCACAGAAGCTTACACCTGCAGTCCCAGCACTTTGGGAGGCCAAGGTGGGCAGATCACTGGAGGCCAGGAGTTTGAGATGGCCTGGAACAGAGTGAAACCCCTATCTCTACAAAAAATACAAAAAATACAAAAAATTAGCTGGGTGTGTTGGCCCATGCCTGTAATCTCAGCTACTCAGGAGCCTGAGGCGGGAGAATCACTTGAACCCAGGAGGCAGAGGTTGCAGTGAGCCGATAGCACGCCACTGCACTCCAGCCTGGGCAACAGAGCGAGACTCCATCTCAAAAAAAAAAGAAAAAGAAAAAAAAAAGAAATTTAAAATGTAGACGGCCAATAAATACCATTCCATATTATAAAGACCAATATAAACACTGATGAATGAAGGGGAAATACCAAAACAAATGGCTGTCATTTACTATATATCCGCTAAAACTAATTACCAAGTGCTTTATATGTGTTTAACTCAGTTAATTTTGCCATCATGAAAACTTCATCATCATCTCCATTTCACTAATTTTAAAAAATCAGAAAACTAAGGCTTTAATATTTTCAAATACTTTGTCAAAAGTCACACATCAAAACTGTAGTAGTTAAATCTTAATCTAGATTTTTTTGTAACTCCATAGCCACAGGTTTTCAATGATGCTATAATACCCAGCAGTAGGCAGTTTATAACACAGGCATGTGGCATGACCACAGTATCACTCCAGGAAAACAAATGGCCTGATGCCTTGTTAAAGAAGAATACTTCTCCAAATTTGTCACATCTATCCAATTTTGATACTATGCTCTATAATGGCATATAATAAATGTTACTGGCATATTCAGTATTTCTAAGAGAATTAATTGTGTTATTATTCTTTATAGCATTGTAGACCCTTGGCTTTAGTGGATTTAACATTCAAGAATTTGACTCCAGGTAATCTGAAGGTCAATAATGCAGAGTAACCACTACTTTTACAAGACATACTTTCCATTTCAAAATGATACAAGGTTTAAGAGTAGAAGCAAGCTAACTATGCTAGTAGGGCAGAGCTGACTATCTTAGACTTGCAACTCTATATTGTTATATCATTTTCTACCTATTCTATGGATAGCTATTACAATTATCTATCTGTTCTAAACATTACTTGTGACTAAAAATTTTGTTTCTTTGATGATTAAGGTTAGTTCATGGTTAATGTCATACATGTTATCACAATAAGTACATAATTATTTTTCTGGCACCATTAATTTTAATAGTCTTATAAGGTAGATTATACAATATAGCACATCATGGAAAAAATGTTCTCATGGTATCAGTAAGTTTGGAAATTTAGAAAGATCTTGGGAATCTCTTCAATAATGACAAGATTCTATAGCAGTTCACGTTCTCCAGGTCACCATCCCTGCCTCCCTGCCCATTTAACTCAATAATTAATCCATGGCTTAAACGTGGCCAGATTTTAATGATAATAGTATATTCTTATTCTGAAGTCCAACTTGGTCTATGTAAGCAGCTGGCAATTCAACTATGAAGATTTTTTTTTAGAGTATTTTTCTCGCTGAGCAGCAAACGGTGTTGGAGTAACACCTCCCTGGTGAAAACAAAATGGGACTAAAAATTTAACAGGTGACGACTAGTCAAAATTCTATGCCATTATTTCATGTAACACTAAGAAAGAATTTATGTAAAAGTAAACTATGACACCATGCTCTTTTTATTTATTTATTTTTGAGACGGGGTCTCATTCTGTTGCCCAGGCTGGAGTTCAGTGGCACGATCACAGCTCACTGCAGCCTCAACCTCCTGGGCTCAAGCAATCCTCCCACCTCAGCCTCCCAAGTAGCTAAGACCACAGGTGTGCGCCACCATGCTTGGCTAATTTTTAAATTTTTTATACAGACAGGGTTTCGCTACGTTGCCTAGGCTGGTCTCAAACTCATGGGCTCAAGCAATCCTTGATCTTAAAACTGATGAAATATAGTATATCAAACTAGTCTCCTTGGGGAATTTTTATTTATTCCAATAAAGTACATTTATTACAATAATATTTATACAAAAAACAAAATTCTTAAATGAGCAGTCTTCTGGTGATATACCACTACTACTCGAAACACTTAAATTTTTTATATTTTGGAAATGTCAACGATCCATGATGCATTTAATATATTTACCCAAGAGTCATTGTAGAAGACTAAGATTTAATTTGGGGAACAATAACCATTAGTTTTAAGTAGTAAAACCTGGTGAAGAGGACAGGCAATCAAGCTAAAAGTAATAAAAAGATAAGACAGTATACTAAAGAGACTAATTTTTAAATATCTGTATGGTGATTTTGTGATTGATTTAGAAGAAGAGATTTCAATAATTATTATATCAATTGGAAACTAACAGTCATGAGAATTTATTTTGACTAATGGAGTGGTCAAAAAGGTCAAAAAGGAATTTTGAGAGAATACATGTGTCAACATAAAGGTTGTTTTTTTGTTGGTTTTTTTTTTTTTTTTGAGACAGTCTTGCTCTGTTGCCCAGGCTGGAGTGCAGTGGCACGATCTTGGCTCACACAGCCTCTGCCTCCTGGGTTCAGACTATTCTCCAGCCTCAGCCTCCTGAGTAGCTGGGACTACAGGTGTGAGCCACCACACCTGGCTAATTTTTTTGTATTTTTAGTAGAGACAGGGTTTCACCTGTATTTTTAGTTGGCCAGGCAGATCTTGAACTCCTGGCCTCAAGTGGTCTGCCCACCTTGGCATTCCAAAGTGCTGGGATTACAGGCATGAACCACTGTGCCTGGCCTACACAGTGTTTAACAATGGGAAAAAAAAAAAAAAGAATGCCAAATATATCAAAAGTATGAATATTAAGTTCAGGAAGTTCTGAGAGTTCTGCTTTGGCAATGATTTTCTGGGTTGTTTCATACCAAATTTTCCTCTGGTTACAATTTAAAAAACCAGATAAAATACATTTTTAAAAATTTTTGTAAGCAAGCAGAGACCTAACAAGATAGTGAGAGTTTGGTGTTGGGGAAGAGAGGTTTCCAAGATTCAAAAGAAGAGGGAAGCAAGATATATGAGCCTAGCATTTGAAGCTCTTCCCCTCAAGATGACTGCTGATTTCCAAATCAAAAGCTGTGACTGAGACCCTGAACAGCAAAGCCACCCAAAGTCTCATGATGACAGAGAGGAAAATGGATGTTCAGGGACCGTTAAGGATGAGAGGTGCTGATAAATACCTCAGGACTTTTGATGATTCATACCCAAAGGGGTGGATATCAGGAGAAAGGGCAAACTGGAAATACCCCAGGCCTCATGTGGACCACATCCTGACTGGATTATGGCGATCTACTTGAAAAAGTAAAGTCCCTTTCTCCAAAAATAACTTTATCCACAGCCTTAAATTATTGCTATAGTTCTTTT